>NC_000006.12:119010183-119313214 GCF_000001405.40 Homo sapiens
CTACTATAAACAGTGCTGAAATTTTGTCAACAATCCGTAGTTATCTGCTTAGGTTAAATACACAAAAAAATGAAACTGTTGAGTTAAAGGACATGCCTGTCTTTAAGGCTTTCATATGTGCTGATAAATCCCTTTCGAGGAAAATTATACAATTTTGAATCCCCATCAGCAGTTTCTGAGTGCTTATTTCTTTATCGTTATTAACACTGCATGGTCTCAATTTTTTTATCATTGTTAATTTTATGGTGATGGAATGGCATCTCATTGATTTCATTTCCAGTTCTTAAATTATACAAATTATTTTTTCCTGCTTATTTTTAGCTTGTAAAAAGATAATCTGGGTGTCTGTATTTTTCTTATTGTTTTGTAAATACTCTTAAAAGTGTTAAAGACATGAACTCTTCATTGGTCAATTTGTCAGTCTCTTCATCTCTCCCAGTTTTTCCTCTTTTTAAATTTTGCTTATGGTGTGTTTTGATATAAAGAAGTTTTAGCTTTAACTGTACAAATATTCCATGTTTCAATTCACAACTTTGATATCATGTTCAAACAGCCTTCTCTGTCCTCAGGTTTGTCATTTTTGTTTTCATATTTTATTTATATTCATATCCATGATTTTCATATTATATTCCAATCCTTAACCCACCTGGAACTTTGCCGATATGAGATTGAAGAAGAGCTCTAACTTCCCTCTTTTCTCCTCTTTCATTTATATCTAGTCTTAAAAGGGCAATGTCACAGACTGTAATTCAAATTAAGCCTACTGATTCTAGCTACCATCCTCAGTTTCTGTTGAAATTGTAGAAAAAGAGGCAGTATAGAGAATAATAAGCTATTTTTTGGCAAAAGGGTAGAGAACTCTCTCTTGTTCTTTTCCTATGTGGTGATATTCTGTTTTGCTTCTCCCCACAACAGCACCTTAGTTTAATGTTTTTGACAGTAAATTTTACCTGGTGGAACATAATCAGAGTGTCATGAAAAATTCAACACCAATTAAAGTTTTTAAATTATTTTTATTCTAGATATGTTACCTTTACTGAGACTTACCTACCTATACAATGTCACCAGAATAAGTTATTATTATTAAAATCTATAACATAGGCAACAGGTCTAAAGAATTCTTGCCTCTTGATTGGCTGTATTCAACTTGTCTTCCAGTACTTCCTTTAGGTTTTCTAGCTCTTGTTGAAGCTGATTTTTATCCTCTTCCAGGTTTAGTTTATCTTTGTTATGTTGTTCTTCCAAATCCTTAGAAAAAGAAATTTTTTAAAAATTAACAAAATTGCAAGTATTATATACTTTGAAGACTCTAAGAAAAAGACTATTCTGTTTTGTATTTTGAAACTTTGCTCTTCAAATTAGCCTTACCCTTAATTAACAATATCTGAATTAACAGTGACACCCATAGTGGCTTAGATTCTATCATTCTGACTCATTTATAATGTAGTTATACTTTTTTTAAATGGTGAGAACATGTGACTGGACTAGATCAAGCTGAAGTCCAAAAACAGAAAAGTGTGAGATAAAAAATTCTAATTACCTCTTGAATTCAAAATTCTTTTTTTCCCTCAAATTCTTTTATGTTTGCATAAAAAATGAAATCCAGTGACACTTCTACAAATCAGTGGTCTAGCACTGGAACACAGTAGAGAATGAGCAAGTATAAAATGAAGGCAAATTAAAGAGCAAAACTGGTAAAACTGATAATTACTGAAGATCACTTACTATTTGCCAGGCATGCTACTTAACACTTGGGTAACAAAGGCAATAAGATATGGAGCCTGCCCTTAATAAGCTCATGGTATCAAACAATTAAAGAATATTAACTAAATTAGACATGCATAGGGAGTACGGGAGTATATGGAAGGGGAACTAATAACGTCTAGCTTGGCAGGGAAACCTTTAGAGAGAAAGCAATTCCTAAGCATGGTTTGAAGGAAGAAAAGGTGATGGAGCAGGAGGGGAACATCACATTCTAGGCACGGGAAAAAGCATGTGCTAAGGCTTTTTCACACCACAAAGGGACAAAGGAGCACAGTATGTTACAAGCAGTTCAATATTTCTGTAGTGTAAAATGAGAAGAAGAATCAATAGGGTTCTGTGTCAGAGGACCCCAAGACAAACCCAAGTTTGATGATTTACATTCACGGGTATAGTCACACTCATGGCTGTGATTATGGCACAGGACTCAAAGCACACACCACAAAGGAAAAAGACACATGGGGTGAAGTCTGCCAGAAACCAGACACAGGTACAAAGTTTCCAAAAGCCCTCTCACACAGGACACACTTAATACCTCCAGACACCTGTAACAACTTGTGTGAAATGTTGTCCTTATACAAGACAGGCTGAATACCTCCAGCAACCTGTGACAATTTGTGTGAAATGTTGTCTACTAGGAAAGCTCATGAGAGACTTAGTACCCAGGTTTTTTATCGGCAACTGATCATACAGGTACCATCTTCCTGTCACATGTCAAAATTCCAGATTCCCAGAAGGAAAGCAGGTGTTCAGCATAAACCACATTGGCTGTGTGGTTAGGCCACAGCTTAGGCCAGTGAGTCATTCTTATTAGGGAATGGGGGGATCTCCAGAAATCCAAGTTCCCAGATGCCAGCCAAGGGCCAACTTGCCTTTCTAAGGATGGTAGCCTCAAGCCTCCTATGTTAACAGTTTTCTGCATGGGTTCTCTGTATATTCACTCTCAGTTGTGGTGGGTCAACTACAGTTATGGACAGTACAATCCTTTTTGATAACTCAATAATAAGACAATAGAAGTCGTCTTCAGCTAAATGTTCCTTAAGAGAGAATCTGACACTAGAGGAAGACTATTTTGGAAGGAGGCTGGTTTCAGCTCAGGTTCAGACATGAGGTAGACAGGCAAGAGTGGAAGAAAGAGCAAGTGATACACAAGTTACTCTGATAAAAAAAAAAAGAAGGGTAGAAATAATGCTGCAATAGGGTGGTGAATATATTCACCTATAGGAAATTTCATGTCATCTGTCTTACGGCAACCATGTTTTAAAGAAAGACTTTAAGAAATTTAATTAGCTTAAGGCAGGTGCTAGAAAATTAAAATTTAATCAGGTGAAGGGATAATGAGGAGTAAAGTAATGAGGTAAAAATGACGTTGATGAAAGATGCCTCAATTCTAGCACTTATAACTTAATAGAGAGGAATAAAGGCTAAAGGCAGGACATATGCAATTTAAATATTCCAATAAGAAAGAAAGTGGCTACAGTGAAAATGAATGTAGAAATGAAAAGTAATACCAAAAGATAGCTAGGAAACAGAGTACAGAAGAAGCAGTTACCATGAAACACTTTTCTATAAAACTCTGAACACGTGATACAGGCACCCAGAACTGCTAAGCATGCACATGCCTCACTAACTAATGCTGTGCAAACTGGTTCTGGAATAGTGACCTGGCACAGAGAATACTACAGTCAGAGTCTTGAGAAATAACATGTCATTAATTTTTGTCTCTGGCTACATAAACATATAGTAGTAAGTTTAGTAAGAAATAACATTCTAATGGGAAGTTTTATTTGAATTTTAAATTAAGTTTAGGTCTTAAATATTTTTCCCAACTAGTCATGTCACAAAAGGAAAGCACACTGAGGCAGATCTCAATTCATATCCTATCTCTTCTTAATAGCGCTGTGGCTCTCACGAAATCATCGAGGTTTATTAAACCTATTTTACCATCTATATAATAAAAATGACTTTAATCTCCAAGTCGTAAGTATTAAGGTATATATAAAAAAGCTCTTTGTAAACTGTAAAGTACCATTAGTGAAATATATAACAACCATCATTACTAAATGCCTACATGATGGTATTTAGATGTCTGGGATTTGACAGATCTGGAACCTGAGTTCAAGGCCTGACTGAGTCTTACTAGTTGCATGTGCTTGAGCACATCCCCTCTTCAGTAAAATGTGTAGAGAAATCAAACCAAAGTGTCATAAGAATTAGATTTTTTAAAAGATGCAAAACATTACTGTAGTATGTGGTACATAGTAAGAAGTACTAATAACTAATTTTTATCATCATGTGCTAGAACATGGCTTGGTACTCAACACTTTATCTGACTTAATCCTCGAAGGAACATTTTAAGTTGAATCATATCTTTTGTCAGATGAGGAGCCTAAGGCATAGCTTTTGAGGCCCAAAGTAATACAGTTAATAGGCAAAGAGCTCAGTGTAAGGCCAAGGTCTGTCAGATACTTTGCTTTTTCTACTCTGCAATTCTGTCTGTCATATATTACTATTAGCAAGCTGAATACTTAATTGTGGAAGAAACAAACAAAACAAAACATAAATCATTTTCTCAAAGAAGAAAACTATCTACGAGAGAATACATACTTTCAACTAGTTGAGGCTTCCTGAAGAGCACACCTATTAAATTGTCTCATGAAGAGACAGCTCAAGAACAAAAACAGTGTTTCTATTATGGCTTATATGAAGTAGCAATGTCTTAAATAAATTCAATAAGCTATATCTCATTTCAAGAACTACCAGGTATGTTACTCTTTGAACCATGACTTCAAGAATGATTACAAGACAGAAACCATCAAAATGAAGGAAATCAGCTGAGTGCGGTAGCTCACACCTATAATTCCAGCATTTTGGGAGGCTGAGGTGGGAGGATCACTTGAGGTCAGGAGTTCGAGACCAGCCTGGCCAACATGGTGAAACCCTGTCTGTACTAAAAATACAAAAATTAGCCAGGTGTGGTGGCATGCGCCTGTAGTCCCAGCTACTCAGGAGGCTGAGGCAGGAGACTTGTTTGAACCTGGGAGGTGGAGGTTGCAATGAGCCGAGATTGTGCCACTGCACTGCACTCCAGACTGAGAGACAGAGCGAGACTCTGTCTCAAAAAAAAAAAAGAAAAAGAAAAGAAAAGCAGCAGCAGCAGCAAATCATTGCTCTACAATATAGGTCACACTGGACTACTGAGAGGTGACAGTGTGCTGGCAGTCCTCAGAGCCCTCGCTTGCTCTCGGCGCCTCCTCTGCCTGGGTTCCCACTCTGGTGGCACTTGAGGAGCCCTTCGGCCTGCCGCTGCACTGCGGGAGCCCCTTTCTGGACTGGCCAAGGCCAGAGCCGGCTCCCTCAACTTGCAGGGAGGTGTGGAGGGAGAGGCACAAGCAGGAATTGAGGCTGCACGCAGCACTTGCGGGCCAGCTGGAGTTCTGGGTGGGTGTGGGCTTGGCGGGCCCCACACTCAGAGCGGCCGGCCGGCCCTGCGGGCCCCGGGCAGTGAGGGGCTTAGCACCCGGGCCAGCGGCTGCGGAGGGTGTACTGGGTCCCCCAGCAGTGCCAGCCCACCGATGCTGCACTCGATTTTTTGCCGGGCCTTAGCTGCCTTCCCACGGGGCAGGCCTCGGGACTGCAGCCCGCCATGCCTGAGCCTTCCCCCGCCTCCGTGGGTTCCTGTGCAACCCGAGCCTCCCCCGACGAATGCTGCCCCCTGCTCCACGGCGCCCAGTCCCATCGACCGCCCAAGGGCTGAGGAGTGCGAGCACATGGCACGGAACTGGCAGGCAGCTCCACCTGCAGCCCCGGTGCGGGATCCACTAGGTGAAGCCAGCTGGGCTCCTGAGTCTGGTGGGGACCTGGAGAGTCTTTATGTCTAGCTCAGGGATTGTAAATACACCAATCAGCACCCTGTGTTTAGCTCAAGGTTTGTGAGTGCACCAATCGACACTCTGTATCTAGCTGCTCTGGTGGGGCCTTGGAGAACCTTTATGTCTAGCTCAGGGATTGTAAATACACCAATCGACACTCTGTATCTAGCTCAAGGTTTGTAAACACACCAATCAGCACCCTGTGTTTAGCTCAAGGTTTGTGAGTGCACCAATTGACACTCTGTATCTAGCTGCTCTGGTGGGGCCTTGGAGAACCTGTGTGTGAAACTCTGTAACTAACTAATCTGATGGGAATGTGGAGAACCTTTGTATCTAGCTCAGGGATTGTAAATGCACCAATCAGCGCCCTGACAAAACAGGCCACTCAGCTCTACCAATCAGCAGGATGTGGGTGGGGCCAGATAAGAGAATAAAAGCAGGCTGCCCGAGCCAGCATTGACAACCCGCTCGGGTCCCCTTCCACACTGTGGAAGCTTTGTTCTTTCACTCTTTGCAATAAATCTTGCTACTGCTCACTCTTTGGGTCCACGCTGCTTTTATGAGCTGTAACACTCACCACGAAGATCTGCAGCTTCACTCCTGAGCCTAGCAAGACCACGAGCCCACTGGGAGGAACGAACAACTCCAGACGCGCTACCTTAAGAGCTGTAACACTCACCGCGAAGGTCTGCAGCTTCACTCCTGAGCCAGTGAGACCACCAACCCACCAGAAGGAAGAAACTCCGAACACATCTGAACATCAGAAGGGGCAGACTCCAGACGCGCCACCTTAAGAGCTGTAACACTCACCGCGGGGGTCCGTGGGTTTATTCTTGAAGTCAGTGAGACCAAGAACCCACCAATTCCGGACACACTACTACAGAAATATCATCAATTTACAATGCAATGATAAATTAAATTTTTACTCACCATTTGCAGTTTTTTCTTATCCCTAATTGCATTACTGTGGACAGCTTCAATTGCCATATGGTGCTTCCAAGCTAATTCTTCCAAAGTCTTAGAATGGGCCTCGTTTAATTGAGTCACCTCCTCTTCCAATCTACTTTGCAGGTTTTTAAGTTCCCTTTCATAATATTCTTGCTGAGTTCTCTTTGCTTCATTTACTTTCTAAAATTAAAACAAAGATCAATAATCGGCACCTGCTTTTTTCATTACTGTTATTAGGGTAATTTGAATACCCTATAAATATGGAAGCTTGAATAAACTGAGTGCTACGGGATCTAGACTATGAAACATGACAACAAATCATTAGTGTTCTCAGAAAGTGAAAGGGGAGCCTATACAAAATCAAAAATGTTAAAGCAAGAGATAAAATAGACTATTATCATATTAGACCAAATGTGAGTTAATACATCTGCAAGCTTAAGAGTAAAGGGCTGGGCCGGGTGCAGTGGCTCACGCCTGTAATCCCAGCACTTTGGGAGGCCGAGGCGGGTGGATCACGAGGTCAGGAGATCAAGACCATCCTGGCTAACACGGTGAAACCCCGTCTCTACTAAAAATACAAAAAATTAGCTGGGCGCGGTGGCGGGTGCCTGTAGTCCCAGCTACTTGGGAGGCTGAGGCAGGAGAATGGCGTGAAACTGGGAGACAGAGTTTGCAGTGAGCTGAGATTGCACCACTGCACTCCAGCCTGGGCGACAGAGCGAGACTCCATCTCAAAAAAAAAAAAAAGAGTAAAGGGCTTCCTTTTATGTCAAAATAGTACACAAAATGGCTTACCAGTTAACCCACTCAAAGGATATCACTCAATACAATTTTGAATGCCAATTACGTACCTTTTGGGCATTCACAGTTCTAATAATGAAAAAAATACAAAGACTATGGCAATATAGTTTTATAAGTTCTATGAAAAAGGGATGTTGACACAGGTTTGGATTTTTTTGTCTCCACCAGATCTCATGTTGAAATGTGACCTCCAATGTTGGAGATGTGACTAGTGGGAGGTGTCTGGATCATGGGGGTAAATCCCATATGAATAGCTTGGTGCTGTCCTTGCAATAATGAGTGAGCTCTCACTCTATGAGTTTATGTGAGATCTGGTTGTTTAAAGGAGCCTGGCACCTCCTTCCTCTCTCTCGCTCTCTCTCTTGTCCTGTGACATGCTGGCTCCCCTCCTCCTTCCAGCATGATTGTAAGCTTCCTGAGGCCTCACCAGAAACAGATGCCAGTACTACATTTCATGCACGGACCGCAGAACTGCAAGCCAAATATCCGTCTTCTCTTCATAAATTACCCAGTCTCAGGTATTCCCTTACAGCAATGCAAAATGAACTAATGCAGATGTATATCCCGTGTTATGGGAGTATATTAGAAGGATGCCTAACTTGGACGCGGTGAGAAAGTGCATGTGCGTGTGCATGTGTGTGTGTGTTTCAGAGAGAGAGAGACAAAGACAGAGACAGAGAGATATCAGGGAAGGCTTTTCAGAAGAGAAAGCATCTGAGCTGGTGATGACATTCTCTCATTTAATTCTTACAACAACCCCAGAGGAAATTAATGATAAGAAAATGTCAAGCCTAGGTCTGTTGTCAAAAGCCTACATTCATAACTGTTTCTATTGTTGTGCAGCATTGGAAAGATGGCAAGTAGCTAACCAGATGGGAAAGTTTAGGGAGACAGAAAGTCTGTGCAGCTAAGCAGTCTGGATAGAATACAGGATACAAGGTGATAAAGTGGTGAAAGACGGGGCTCAGAAGTAGGCAGGAATAAAATAATGAGATGGGGTCTTTTACACCAAGAACTTTGAATTTTCTTCTGAAGGGACTGAGAAATCACTGAAGTTTTAAGCAAATTATATACTTTTAAAAACAATCATCTTGGAAGCAGGCTGGTGAGCCAACTGAAATCAGAGATTGCTGCTAGGCAGTTGTGACTATAATCCAGGCAAGCAATGACACGTGCCTAAACCTCGGATCTATAAATGGGTATGAGCAGGGGAGGATGGAATAAAAATATATTAAGGAAGTAGAACCAACAGGACTCTGTAACAGATAAAGGGGCTGAGAAAACAGTAATCAAGAATGACTTTCAGCTTTTTGATTTAGCAACTAGATAGACAGTGGTGCTATTGGTTGAAATAAGGAGTAAAAGAAACTTAGTACTTTTGAGAGGAGAAAGTTCTGGGCATGGTAACTTGATGTTTGTGAAAAACATAAATGGAGATATCTAGTGGAAAGGATAAAAGACTTAAATTCAGAGAAAATGTCTGGCCTGGACCTAAAGATTTAGAAGCTATCACTGAATAAGTGACAGTTGATGTTACTGGAATGAATGAGTGCGTAGAATTAGATGAAAATACTGGAAACATCAATGGTAAGGGAACAGATGGAGGAGGGAAGTTCACAAAGAAGACTGTAAGGCCAAGGAGGTACGAGAAAAATGTGAAAGAATGTGAAATACCAAGAGATGAGAGATTGTAAATCAGTGGGTAGTAAGTACCACAGTAAGATATGATCCACCAAGTCCACCAATCAGGATGGCACTGAGGGCTGAGGCAAAAGCAAATTCTGTGGACTGATGGTCAGAGAGGACTGCACCAGGTTAAGGAATGAATGGAAGTAAGTAAAGAGCAAAGAGAATAGATATTTTCAAAATACTTAGACGTTGAGGGAAAGAGAAAGAAAAGTATGTCCAAAACTCCCACTTGGTATTGTGGGCATCTGAAAAACTGGAATACATATTCAGCAATTACTCTATAAATGATGTTTCACTTGTTAAACTAGAAATTCAATTATCTTGGTATACATTTTCAGAGCTTGAAGCTTGTCATATTTTCAGTTCTACAGAAATTTCCTACATGGATATGCAGTAATATATTTCATTAATAGAAAACGAATAATGATTATAAGTATACACTCCACTGAAATAAGAGTTTATTCAATTTCTGGCTTGAAATAGGTTGAAATGTCTTAAAGTTTTTATATTATATAGATTGTTACCCACATATTTTGAACATACATACAGCATAGGATAGTCTAGCTATATACCCATTTCCTCAAAATTAGAACCAAAAATAACTACTAAAGTAGGAAATGTATTGTTACTGGGGAGTAGCAAGAAATACTCCAAATACTTCAAATGTGAAAAAGAGAAAAACGGAACTCTTTCGGGGGGAATGGAGTGTCCATTACTTTTTACCTTCTCCAGTTCTAGAATCTGTTGCTTCTGCTCTTCATCCAGACTTTGGGTTTTGCTTCGCAAAAAAGCTCTTTCCTCTTCAAGTTGAGATAATCTCTCATTGACTCTCGATTTTTCTGATTCTAAATCTTTAATTGTAACTTCCTGGGTCATTTGAGTTGCTTGAAGCATTCCAATATGACCTATCCCCCAAAAAGAAAATCCCTTCAATTTAAAAATCAGTTGTACTATGAGATAAACAGTTTACATTTAATAACACAACTGTACTTTATACTTAAGTAAAATAAATGGTCTACATGTACAAATTTTCCTTTTGTTTCTTCACTACATAAAATGGAAATATTTACATGAAAATACTTCTTAGCGCACTAGAATAATTTAAATTAAAACGTCATTTTCACATGATTAATGTTGCTTCCTGCACCTCGTACCGTTTTACTGGTTTTTTTTGTTTTTGTTTTTGTTTTTTTAAGATTGCAAGCTAAACAGGTTGAAGTAGGCGCAACTCCTCAGTAGGCTTCATAAGAAAGTCTCCTGGGAATAAAAGAAGGACGGAGAGGATGCACTGACTGACACTGTGGCGCCAAAATGAGTGATTCGTTCTTTTCTAATTTATTTTCAAATTCTAACATAAAAAGGAAGAAGTTTGTATGTAGGAAACAAAGATGGCAGATAGCAGTTTGGTTGAAATTGAATTTGTTTCAGGCAAGAGGCCAGATAAAGACCTAAAGTGGAGCTTGTAGTTCCAGCTACTTGGGAGGTTGAGATGGGAGGATTGTTTGAGCCCAGGAGTTCAAGGTTGCAGTGAGCTATGACTGCACCTGTAACAGCCACTGCACTATGTCCTGCAACATAGCGAGACCTCATCTCCAAATAAAAACAACCAACCAACCAACAACTAAGGTGATGTAAGACACAGATAAAGACAGCAAGGTTATGAAAGAATCTCTTAAATGACAGCAAAAAGCAGGGAAGGTGGAGAAAAATGAGGAGAGACAGAGAGATGAAAAGTGAGTGAAGAAAAAGGTCTCATAGAAAGGATAGTTTAAGGCAGAGGTTCTCAAAGTACCCAGGACCAGCATCACCAGCATCACCTGGGAACTCTGGTTAGAAATGTGACCCACCCCAGACCTAAAAGTGAATCAGAAACTCTGAGGGTGGGGCCCAGCATCTGTAGTTTCACAAACCCTTCAGGTCACTCCAATGTGCACTAAAGGCTATTAAAAACAACTATTTTAGAGGAAGGAAAATCTGAGATTCACTGATAAGCCAATCAAAATCAAATGAGATCCTCAAAGAACCAGCTCAAACAGCCTTCCTGGGCACACTAAACACTTAGACAAAATATAACTTCAGAACTGACACAAGTCACCCACTTCCTCCAGTAATGGTTGTGAAAAAGCATACCAGCCACTTGAGAAATAGGCAAGTCAGCTTTAGTATGTAAAAATGAACCTTAGTAACAAGCCCTAAGAAATGAACTGCTGTAATTTACAAACTTCAACTAATTTGAGCACTTTAAAATGTGTATTTTTTCAGTGAGACCTCATCTTTAAAAAAGTTAGCCCGTGGCATACCTAGAGTCCCAGCTACTGGGAAGGCTAAGG
This sequence comes from Homo sapiens, assembly GCF_000001405.40. NCBI lineage: Eukaryota > Metazoa > Chordata > Mammalia > Primates > Hominidae > Homo > Homo sapiens. Next base: position 119,021,585 of record NC_000006.12, read on the forward strand.
CAAGAGGATTACTTAAGCCCAGGAGTTTTAGGCTGCAGTGAGCTATGATCAGGCCACTGCACTCAAGCCTGAGCAACAGAACAAGATCCCATCTCTAAAAACTAAATAAATGCTGGCATGGTGGCTCACACCTGAAATCCCAGCACTTTGGGAGGCCAAGGTGGGAGAACTGCTAGAGCCCAGGAGTTTGAGGTCACCCTAGGCAACATGGCAAGACCCCGTCTTTACAAAAAATTAAAAAATTAGCCAGCCAAGGTGGTGCATGCCTGTGGTCCCAGCTACTCAGGAAGCTGAAGTGGGAGGATCACTTGAGCCCAGGAAGTCCAGGCTACAGTGAGTTGTGTTCATGCCACTGCACTCCAGTCTAGGTGACAGAACAAGACCTTGTCTCAAAAAATAAAATAAAATAAAATGTATATTTTTAAAGGACAACACCTCTTGAAAAGTGTGCTTCATTTTTCGTTCTTTCTTTTTTTTTTTTTTTTTTTTTTTTTGATACAGCCTTGCTCTGTTGCTCAGGCTGAAGTGCACTGGCGCAATCTCGGCTCACTGCAACCTCTGCCACCAGGTTCAAGTAATTCTCATGCCTCAGCCTCCTTAGTAGCTGGAATTACAAGTGTGTACCACCATGCCCAGCTAATTTTTGTTATTTTTAGTAGAGATGTGGTTTCACCTCGTTGGTCAGGCTGGTCTCAAACCTCTGGCCACAAGTGATCTGCCCACTTTGGCCTCCCAAAGTGCTGAGATTATAGGTGTAAGCCACCATGCCCAGCCCGTTTTTCTTTTAGTGACTACTTTATTGGTATTTTACCTGCTATTGGTATTTTTCCTCACAAAGGAAAACTCTCAAGTTTTCTATAAAAATATATTCCTAAAAATAAAAAATATTTGTGTATCTTATAAGTAATTAGTAACATATTGAGTCCTTTAACTTATTTACAGTCTAAATAGTTTTAAAATGTTAGAAGAAAAAATAAATGCTACCTTAAATTAACATTTAAGTGTTGGGGCCGAGCGTGGTGGCTCATGCCTGTAATCCCAGCACTTTGGGAGGCTGAGGCAGGGAGACTGCCTGAGCTCAGGAGTTCGAGACCAGCCTGGGCAACACGGTGAAACTCCATCTCTACTAAAAATACAAAAAAATTAGCCAAGCATGGTGGCGGGCACCTGTAGTCCCAGCTACTCAGGAAGCTGAGGCAGGAGAATTGCTTGAACCCAGGAGGCAGAGGTTGCAATGAGCCGAGATTGAGCCACTGCACTCCCGTCTGGGCGACAGAGCAAGACTCTGTCTCCAAAAAAATAAATAAATAAAGTGTTGATTTTAGCTAAGCATTACATCAAAAACTGTGGTCACACATACTAGCTTTGAGGACAAGATCTGAAGCTTGCTGTTGTAAACGTTCTCTGGCAGCTGCTAGCTCACTTTCCACTTCTTTGTGCTTGCTTAATAGGGCCATTTCTCCCTCCTTGGCATCATCAAGCTGTTTTTGAAGAACCTAAGAAAGATTAAATAGCCATTGTTAAAATGCAGGAATAATACTAAGCTAAATAATTCATTTAAATTATAAGGGTCAGCTTTCTCTTATTCAGAAGTCATACTAAACTATATACCAATTTTTAAATCTGTAAGTATTAGTGATTTATAACTTGATGTTTTCATAAACATGACCCAATCAGGAAAGGCTATTCCACACTTTCTAATCCATTCTAATGTTGCACAGATATTAAAAACATGGCTATGAAATTTTCTAAGCCAACAAAACAAAACTTGTGGACTTCCGGCATTTTTTTCCCCCAGACTTGTGCAATACCCCTATTAAATTCAGGTTTAGAAAGCAAGCAATTTCTTGATCAAATTCTAAATATCAGCTAGCAGGCAAACCATTATTAGTGAAAGGAAAAGAAAAAAATGTATTTAAACTTTAAGCCCAATATTAAAATCCTTTTGTAAATAATTAGCAATATTGTCCGCCCCCCCCCCCAGGAACAGCGTATTACCTCGCTAAGCTCACTCACCCAGGCTGGTTTCTAACACCTGGCCTGAAGCGATCCTCCTGCCTGGGCCCCCCAAAGTGCTGGGATTACAGGTGTGTACCACTGTGCCTAGCCAATAATTAGACAAGGTTTTAAGCTTGTCTTTTTGGGCCCCTAATATCTGAAAGTCTGAAATAACAACTACAGGGTAATACAAATTATCCTGTCATTGATTTTTCTCACAAAGGAAAAGCAGGAAAAGTTAAAAAAAAAAAAAAAAAAAAGTCTAAGTGGTGTGAAGCCACTGATTCTAAGTGGGCCAGACTGCTCTCCAGCCTACAAAACAAATATTTTTAAAAGAAAAAAAATCCATGTGTTGAATATAATATTCTTTACTTACCTGAACATTGTTCTCTGCTATGGCAAGTGCCGTCTGAAGCTTTTGGCATTTGTCAAGAAGACTTCCAGCTTCATCCTGTACCATCTGTAACTCTGTCTTTAATTTTCCTATAGTTTTTCGTAAAATTGCTTCTTGTCCCTGAAATTCTTTTCTAAGATCAGCTTCCTTTTCTTTGCTGGCCTGTAGGCTTTCTGCTGTAAAAAGCTGTGACCTTTTCAAAGTATCAAGCTCACGTTCATAAAAGGACTGAGCTTTATTCAACTTGCCTTCATAATCCTCAATTAGTTTCTTCCGTTCAAGTCTTAGCTCCTCAAGCATTTTGTTTAGGGACTCCACCTCCATTCTGTGTAGTTCCTCTGCCTTTTCCTGGCCTTTATTTACTGAGGCACTGTGATCCTGCTGTGACTTCAATAGCTCTTGTATCTCCCGTCTGTGAGCAGCTTGCAAGTCTTCCAATGCCAATCGTTTGTCTTTTTCAAACTGTACTTGAAGTTGTCCAAAGCTCCGTAATTTTTCTTCAAATTTCCTTCTAATCTCTTCGACTTCTCTAGACATGGTCACTATGCGTTGGACATGCTGGGCTTCTGCACAAAGTTGCATGTCCTCAACTCTGTGCTTATAAGCTTCAAATTCTGTCAAAGCCTGCTGCTTCATTTTTATGTGATCTTCTAATGATGATTCTAAAACTTGAATCTTTCTTCTAAGGTCTAGCTCCTCTGTTACTTTGCTTTTATACTGCAATATTTTTTCTCTTGTTTCAGCAAGAATTTGTTGAATTTCTTCTTCATGAGCATCTTTGAGGGCTTGAATTGCAGATTCATGCTCATCATTTTTAGTGTTTAAAGCATATATTACCTGCATGGTTTTGAATAAGAAGGGAGAAGGATTGTGAATCCATATTATTTTCTAACTTGAAGTCAATTCTTTCATTTGGATTGATATTTTTCTATGCACATAATATTGGCTACAGCTAATGTTAAATATGGAATCTTGATGCAATTGTTTTTTTACTCATAGATTGATTTGCTTAGCAAATTTCTATCTTAGCACAGTCTTAAGATTTGTATTTAAAGACTTTTTAGTTATAATTTTAAAACATTCAAATTTAAGACTATTTTTTACTACAAATGAAACAGCAAAGAGGAAATGGACAAAGGAGGCAATTGGCCTAAGAGAAAGGAGTTCTCATATGTCCCAATCTAGCTTACCGGGGACTGTGAAGGGGTGTTCAGGAGAAAAAGTCTCATAGTAAGACTCTGCCCTATATTGGTGTCCTAGAGATACGAGAGGCTTCACATGAAGAGAAGCCCTAGGCCCTAAGTCTTCCCAAAAGCCTTTTATCTTTGTAATGGCCTGTTTAAATATTTCAAATTTTAAACTTTCCTTTCCCAATTCCCCTATAGTTTGCTTCTAAAGCTGATCCTCTTCTCTCTTCAAGTTTCTAGTGATCTCTTTATAAAATCCAATTTGTACTTTTTCTCTTCATATTTCAAATGCTGTAGTTTTACTCTTTGGCTAATTTTCTCTCTGCCTCCAAGCAACCCAATTCCTTAAGCCAGAGTTTTGAGTACAGGTCTTTATTTTCATTTTAGTTCCTAGGTTTTAATGATTTCACTGAGATGTCCCAACCTTAATTTCAAATGACAACAAATTCCCTGCACAGTAACACTCTCCTTCCTTCCCTCTGTTCCTCGGATGCCATCCATCATGCCACTGTGGTCACACGGTGAAATTTTCATGACTGTTATTTAAGGCTTTGAGATGAGCCCACTTTCTTCCCCCGGAAGCGAAAAGAAGTAAACACTGTACAATCAAAAAATCCAGCAGCTAAAAATCAGTGTCTGGAGATTTGCTCATTTTAATGTGATATTACTCTGGCTTTAGAAATGAATTCCAGCATCAGATACCAGAAACTGCAGTTATGATGGAAAACTGCTGCCATTTTTTGTAGAGAAATTATTCATGCAGCCTGAGGTAACTGTGGCAGACTGGCTGGCTCTCCAAATACCACAGTAACTCCAGATCCCACTCGCTAAAGATAGGCTGTCACTGTCTGGGACAGCAGTTGTGCTTGCAAAAGAAACAAGAAGGCTGCCTCAACACAGGGGCATCACTTTCTCCACATAGGGCTTTGTCTTCCAGATCCAGTGGCCCTGTCCATATACTCGCTTAGTCTGCCATCATACCAAAGGTAAAAAGATTGAGAGATGGCAGGAACCCATCTGTCTTGCCATGCTATCCCTTTTTGCAAAGTCTACAGGAAAAAATGTGAACAGAAGTACTTATTCACATTCTGTTTTTAAAAAACCCTAATTTCAAATTCCAAATTATGTTCCCAATAAGGTAACACAGATCCCAAGCAGGACTCCTTCATTTACACATTTACTCATAAAGGTAGCTTATAAGCCAAGAAAGCTGACTGACTTCCTATTCCCATCCCCTTGGGTCATATCCGCCCACCAAGTCAAATGGCCATAAAAGACTGAAAGGATCTGTGATATAACAAGTGTACCAAAAATATAATTCTAAGCCCCCAACCGATTGAACGGACCCTCCTCTTAGCCAAGTGGACCCCAAAGAAACCTGAAAAAATAGTTTAGGCCATGACTGAAAGGGAGGGGTCAGACATGCCTCATTATGGATTGGACATGCTGGGCTTTTCTGCACTCTATACTTCGGGATTTAGACACAACTGACCGACGTTAACATTAAAACAGAGATCATAAGACTGACAAAACAGACTCTTCATAGCAATAAAATACCAAATTCCAAACAACATCATGTGATACTATACCAAGAGTCAGGTTGGAGTTTGGTATTTTATTGCAAGCCCTGAAGAAAATCAAAGTATTTTACCCTAAAATTTTTTTGTTTGACATTCCATATTCTGAAATGCCCCTGTAAAGCTGCCTCCTGTAAAGTAAATTTGCATTCTGTAGAGAATCTCCTTCCCATACTCGGTCTTCTCCAGAGAGCATGACACCTTTTAAGGTCTGATAAGAGATATTTACCATCTATTCTCTCTGAAGCCTGCTACCTGGAGGCCTCATCTACATGACAAGAACCTTGGCGTCCACAACCCCCTTATCTAACTAAACTCAAGCATTTCTTTATGCTGAATTCAACTCTTTAGTCAGGGCTTACCTCTTTCAACCAATTGCCAATCAGGAAATCTCTGAATCCACCTATGACCTAAAACCTCCCTCACGCCCACCTAGAGATGTCCCACTTTCCAGGCTGAACATTACACATACTGATTTATGTCTTTGCCTGTAACTTCTGTCTCCCTACAATGTATAAACCAAGTTGTAACCAAACCACCTTGCGCATATGTTCTCAAGATTCCCTGAGGCTGTGTCACAGACCATGGTCTTTAAGTTTGGCAAAATAAACCTCTAAATTGACTGAGACCTGTCTCACATACTTTTTGGTTTACATAAGAAATATATATTTGGTCTCTTCCCCCAGTTCCTGACATAGAGCTCCTAAGACTTTTGTAATTTCCTGTGCGATAGGATCATTGGACACAGTGAAATATAGCAGGGACCCCACCTCTCCTTTTAGGGACCTGCAAACCCCCAAACATGGAAATAAAGGAAAACCCCAAAGTTCCTTTAAGAAACATTCCAGGCATCTAGCTAGCCCCGGAGGTAATTCAGTAACTTGTTAAACGAAAAGGTAGCAGAACAATAGCCAAGGAAGTTAAAGCTCCAGAGATGTTTGCTTTTCCTACAGAAACTAAAGATAACATCCTAACATACATCCTTGAGTTGTCTTTTAGAGGCTTGAAACCCCACTGAATGGATCTGCTGGCATACAGACTCCAGATAAGGGGGAAATGAAGACTAAATTTTAGCTATTACCCTTTGTTTTATTAGTAAGTTTCTTCCTGAGGAACTTAGAGAAAGTCATTCCCTCTAGCAAGTCAGCATTTTTCTACTGAACTTAAATGTTTTAAACAAAGCTTCCCTTCCTTAATCAACTGCAAATCCGAAGAGTTCTGAATCTACCTACCATCTGTGAGTGCCCCCCACTTCAAATGTCCTGCCCTTTTAAGCTTAAGCCAATGTGTAACCTCCTTGTATTGATTTATGATTTTGCCTGTAGCTTCTGCTTTCTTGAAATTTACCCCTGCCTTTAAAAATCCTTGCCTGCAAGCCTAAAAATCCTTGCCTGCAAGCCATCAGGGAGGCCAGATTTGAGCATTTAGCTGGCTGGTCCCCCCCTGCTTAGCACTCTGCAATAGGCAACTTTCTGTCACTGCAAAAACCTTGATGTGTGTTTTCACTGTGCCAGTTGAGCAGACTCCAGTTCTGTTCTTTAACAGCAGAGCTCCTAAATCCCTTGGAATCTCTTGCGGGATAGGAGCATCTTTTGTTCTAATGACATGACTCCTAGTGGGCTCTTGGGAAGGCCTCAGGATTGGGGCTGGCTGCCAGAGGAACCCATCATGTGACTATACAGTTGGAACTTCCAGCCCCATACAGGGTCCTCTAGGGAGGAGACAAGGTCGGAGAGTTGAGTTGATCACCAACAACCAATGATTTAATCAACCATGCCTACACAGCGGAGCCTTCATAAAAACACAAAAGTCAAGTTTCCAGATTTCTGAACACGTGGAGGTGCTGGGAGGGTGGCATGCCTGGAAAATGCAAAGAAACTCCACATTCCTTCCCACAGACCCTGCCCTATGCATCTCTTCCCTCTAACTAACTTCTTCTGTACCCTATAAATGGGGGTAAACATGTTTTTCTGAGTTCTGAGAGCCATTCTAGCAAATTAATCCAACCCAAGGGAGGGTAGTGTGAACCCTCTACTTACTTTTTTGCCAGAAGAACTTGCAGTTGGCATCTGAATGAGGGCAGTCTTGTGGGATTGAGCCTTTAACCTGTGGAATCTGATGCTATCTTCAGGCAGATAGTGTCAGAAATGAACTGAATTATAGTATACTCATTTGGTGTCCACTAGAGAACTGGTTGTTGGGAGAGAAAATCCACACACATTTTGGTGACCAGAGGTGAGGTGTTATGTGTTCTATCCAGTGTAAGGGTAGGAAAACCTGTTTTTTCCTATCTCATATAGGGACACTAAGGAAAAACAAGCCAACCAGCCAGAGAGAAGCCCATTTGCTAGAGTGCCTAGAGCAACACTGGTATAGGCCACAGGCTTCAGGCCTTTCCAAGGCTGGTCAGTCCTAGCCACAAGGAAGGAAAAGAGAATTCAACGAGGTAAAATCCAAAGAGAGAACTAAGTCACATCATTAGCATTCTGTGCATTCTGTTCCAGGAAATGATCTGGGAAAGAACCAGTCCCTGGTGGAATTCATATTTTGGGGATGAAATGAGGGAAGGAGGAAATATGTGAGTTTCCCCTTGTCGACAATTTATTGAAATAATCTTCTCTTTTTTCTAATATTAAATTTCCCTCGAAGCTTTGATGAATCAGTTCCAGTCCTGCCTCCTTTAATGAGTCTTCCATGACCACCCAAATCCATAAGAGTCTATCTTTTCTTTATATCTAGAACCTCCATTGCCTTACCTCACTCACTCCTGATTGTCAGTAAATATATAATTAAATTTGGAGGAGTCTTGATAAGGTTGGAAAGATGTATGAGGATATTAGAGACCCTAAAAAGAAGCTGAAGATATAAAAGCACGGTAGCAATCAAAAAGGTGAAATTTAAAAAGAAAAATGTACAAATTAAAGCATTAAGTTAGAATAGGATTTAAGTAAACAAAACATGGCAAATAATTTAAAAAATATTATAGTGAGGAGCTTTTATTTCACTTGACATTCTAATGCAGGAGTTAGCAAACTACAACCTGTAGGCCAAATATGGCTGCTGCTTGTCTTTGTATTAATAAATAAAATATTATTGGAGCACAGTTATGTCCACTTGTTTATGTATTGCCTATAGCTGCTTTCCCACTATGACAGCAAAGTTGAGTAGTTGTGGAAAACACCTTATTACAAACTCCTGTTCTAATCTATACATAGAAAAGCCATCTTATCAGCCAAAATTGGCAGCCACAAATAAAAAATAATAAAAGATCTAAATTTGCAATAGCTTGGTTTACTCCCTATTAAATAGTACAGGGTTCTTTCCACTACCACTCATACACTGAGAAAACCAATTAAGAGATTCTGGAAGCATATTTTATAAAAGAATATATATTCATGCTGACCATATATTGGTATTTCCCAAGGAAAGCCATGTTAAATAAGTTTCTAAAAACTTAAAAAGAAATAACAAAATGAAGCCAAACATAATAACAAATTAATACTGCTTTCATTAGTGATCACTTGAAATACACCACTACTAACTTATTTTTAAGTAAGAATGCTACATATGAATTTTCAAGTTGAGCTTAACTGGATATAGTATCCTCTAATTGTTCATTTTTCTATGTAATTATAAAGGTAACTATTTATTAGTGTCCTTCTCTGAACACTATTTTTCAGATCAAGGTAATATAAAAATTCCCTATGTTCTTTGAACATACAGAAGATATAACAAAGGTTTGACACTAGATAAAATCACTTAATTTCTTCAAGCTTTGAGTTTCTCAAATATTAAATAAAGATCATATTATCTACCTTAGCAGCACCATTGATATAAGATCAACTGATCACTGAAATTTCAAAAATTGATGTTATGTAACTATTTAAAAATATATATGTAAGGCACTAAAACATGGTAAGACTTCCTTATTAGTTGTATTATTTATTTATGGAGAGGGTGAGACTAATTTTAAAAGGAACTTTAGTAAATGATCATAATCACCCATAAAATTGGCTATTTTTTTACAAATAGAAAAAAAAACTCTCTTAAAGTCTCTTTTCATAAAGTACTTTAAAAGACATTAAGAAACATTTGCACTTTTTATGGAACTATGAACATTCATGGGATGGAATAGTATAGGAATCATTTCAGCAATTTCATAGTTCATTTTATGAACTATGTAACATTTCATAGTTCCGTTTTATGCCAATGATGCATAATTTAACTACGTATTTAATGATGAATAAGCAATAGTAATTTTTACTTTTCCTATAAATCTTTTACTTTTAACTATGTATTTCATGATGAATAAGCAATAGTAATTTTTACTTTTCCTATGATAAATCTTTTTTTTCCTATGATAAATCAGATAATCTTTCCCCCAGGTAAAATGTGAACAATTCTAGATCCTAGGTTTAACATGATACTTAGGTAAAATAAGAAGTTTCTGAAATAGTCCTCATTTATGCCTGCTCTGGACCAAATTGCCTACCTCAAAAATTCTTATGTTGAAGCCCTAACGCCCAATATGATGGTATTTGGAGACGGGACCTTTGGGAGGTAATTAGGTTTAGATGAGACCAACAAAGTGGAGCCCTCATTCTGGGACTGGTGCTATTACATGAAGAGACACCAGAGAGACTGCCTCTGCTCTCTCTCTGTAGTGTGACGACACATCAAGAAGGTGACCACCTGCAAGCCAGGAACAGAGCGCTCACTGTGGAACTGAATTGGCTGCTACCTTGATCTTGGACTTCCCAGCTCCCAGACTGTAAGAAATAAATTTTTATTGTTTGAGCCACTCAGTCCAGGTTATTACATTATGGCAGCTCAAGCTGAATAATATCTTGGCAATATGTAAATACGTTCCCATTAAAATCTAACTCATTAGTCATAAGATAAATTCACTGAAAGAGTAATAAAGCACATTTGTAATAACATACATTCACTAAAGTGATATATATTAGCTTAGTAATGTAAAACATTTTAACTGGACCTTAATTGTTGCATATTACACCAACAGGCTTAACATTGCTAAGGTAAGGGAATCACTGAATAAATGATGGTATATTCATACAGTGTAATACCATGAAACCATCAAAAGCACATTTCATTTGGAAGAGTATTTCACAATATAAGAAAAAATGATATAAGGCAAGTATACAACGTTACATACAATAAGATCCCATTTTACAGGAGGAAAAAGTGAGTACAGATATATAGATATAGATATGTAAAGAAATAAACCAGGCCTGGCACGATGGCTCACTCCTGTAATACCAGCACTTCGGGAGGCCTAGGTGGGCGGATTACCTGAGATCAGGAGTTCAAGACCAGCCTGGCCAACATGGCGAAACCCTATCTTTACTAAAAATACAAAAATTAGCTGGGCATGGTGGTACGTGCCTATAATCCCAGACACTTGGGAGGCTGAGGCAGAAGAATTGCTTGAACCTGAGAGGCGGAGGTTGCAGTGAGCCAAGATCATGCTACTGCACTCCAACCTGGGCAACAAAGTAACTCTGTCTCAAAACAAAAAAAAAAAGAAAAGAAATAAACCAAATTTTTACCGATGAGATTTCAGTATTTCTACACATTCTATAATGAATGTATGTTCCTATTATAATCAGAAAATATTAGACCTTTTTAATAAGTTAACAGTGACTGCCAGTCTCAGTCTCATTTTTTTACTATTAAATTCTGGATACTGCTTCTCTATCCCTTCCAGACCAGGGAGGGGGTGGGGGAGGGGGAGAGGGAGAGGGAAGAGGGAGAGGAAGAGGAAGAGGGAGAGGGAGAGGGAGAGGGAAGAGAAGGAGAAGGAGAAGGAAGAGGAGGAAGAGGAGGAGAAGAGCAGGAGAAGAGGGGGGAGAGGGAGGGGGAGGAGGAGGAGGAAGGGAGGAAAAGAGGAAGGGAGGGAGCAGGGAGGTGGAAAGGGAAGGGAAGAAAAAGGGTGGGAAAAGACTCTCCCTCAGAATACATAACCACTACATGAGGCAAAAGGTAGCTTACCAAGTTAATAAAAGAGTAATCTCGGATTCAGTAATTGTTTAAAAATAGATCTGGTACATTTTAAACAAAGAGAATGTTTGTATTATTAAATCTTCAATTCTTCTAGTTGAGCTAATCACCAAAAGGTTACTTGAGCCATAAGACATCAGAGTTAAAGAATATTGAAAACTCTCAAACTTCTCAAAAACAGTGGGTTACTTCCTTCTGCCAGAGGCTATTCTATCGGTTCCAGAGCAGGAACATACACTAAACCTCTGTACCTCAATTTATATTCAATGGTACTCCCAGACCAGCCTTATAAATATAATTTTTTTGCAAATTATCCAATTTATTAAAAAAATTATTAAATATTCCTGATGAGCCCTAAGTAGCTTACTAAGGGAATCTTATGTTTCTATAAAATGGGTCACTGTTTGGAGCCGGGGTATTAGCACCACATCTCAATATGTCATCCTTACTGTATAAGGGCATGTTAATAAAATGTTTTTAAAACTGGCTTGCTTCGGAGGTGATGAAATTGCACAAATCCTTCCATATTTTCTTACCTATTTTACTGGTGATCAATAACAGCACACATTTATGCTACCTAAATTATCTGGATGACAGGATCAATCACTGCAACATAAGAAAAGGCCAGGTGCGGTGGCTCACGCCTGTAATTCCAGCACTTTGGGAGGCCAAGGTGGTCAAATCATGAGGTCAGGAGTTCAAGACCAGCCTGGTCAACATGGTGAAACCCCGTCTCTACTAAAAATACAAAAAATTATCTGGGCGTAGTGGCAGGTGCCTGTATTCCCAGCTACTCAGGAGGCTGAGGCCGGAGAATCGCTTGTACCCAGGAGGTGGAGGTTGCAGTGAGCCAAGATTATGCCGCTGCACTCCAGCCCGGACGACAGAGTGAGACTCCGTCTCAAAAAAAAAAAAAAGAAAGAAAGAAACTAAAGAAGTTACAGAATTAGGCCACTGCGGTGGCTCACACCTGTAATCCCAGGACTTTGGGAGGCCCAGATGGGTGGATCACCTGAGGCTAGGAGTTCAAGTCCAGCCTGGCCAACATGGCAAAACCCCATCTCTACTAAAAGTACAAAAATTAGTCAGACATGGTGGCACGCGTCTGTAATCCCAGCTACCCAGGAGGCTGAGGCAGGAGAATTGCTTGTCCTGGGAGGCAGAGGCTGCAGTGAGCCGAGATCATGCCACTGCACTCCAGCCTGAGTGACAGAGTGAGACTCTGTCTCAAAAAAAAAAAAAAAAAAAAAAAAAAAAAATATATATATATATATATATATAGAGAGAGAGAGAGAGAGAGAGAGAGAGAGAGAGTTAAATCCAAGAAATAGTCCCAAGTACCTCAGGCTAATAAAATGAGGTAGATGAAAGAAAAAATATTAAAATGAGGAGATCATAAACGAACATACATTCTAAAGAAAAAAGCAAGAACCAAAACTCATAGAGTATCGCTTAGTGCAAAGTGAATGTTAGAAAGAAAAATCCCAAACTCTTTCACCACCAAGCATTTGTATATACATATGCATGAATTTTCTTTTTTCTGAATCATTTGAAAATAAGTTGCAGCTATCAGAACCCATCACTAAATATCTTAGTACATTGTTTCATAAGATCAAAGACAGTAGCATTATTATTCCCAGGAAATTTAACTTAATAGAATATTATCTAACACAGAGCCTATATTTAAATTCACCAAATTATGCCAATAGTGAAATCTACAATAGCTTTTCTTTGTCAATGAAGATCCAGTCAAGGATCCCACATTGTATTGAGTCGTCATATTCTTTGTCTGTTTTAATATATAGTTTTTTTTTTTTTTAAAAAAACCTTTGCTTTTTGTTTTTTTATTTCATCATATTAACATTTTTTAGAGAGCCTAGGCTGGATATTTTCTAGAATGCATATATTTTTATAGTCTTTATTTTATAGGTTTTTAATGTCAAGTTTCTCTTTGTGGAAATCTTACATTGTGGCTTCTCAATCCATCCTACCTACCACTGCTTACAGTATCTAATACATTATCAGGGCACATTTCATCAGTGGGCTTTTCCTATACTACCTTTCCCCCAACCCTATGCTAAACTAGTGTTCTTCTTCTGTAATGTCCGACTCAGTATTAAGAGATAAGAAAAAATATTAGAAAATGAATTTTGTTTACAAAAGGTTTAGTCCCTAAGACAAACCAACGTACTCCTGTGTGGCAAGCCCTTTAGGAGGGCTCGCCTGAGTAATAACAGCTGTCTCTGTGGACCACATGTCCTTTCTTTTCCTGAGTGGAGTTTGTGAGCCAAAGGTCAGAATTAGACTGTTCACAACTACGGAAGGATTTTTTTTAAAAGGCTGTGAGAGTGGAAGAAAAAGCAACTGGCCGGTTAGACATTTAAAGAGGATTTTAACAAAACCTTTTAACCCACTGTAAACCAAAAATAAAATTCCAAGTTCCCCAAAGAACTGAATGGACTCCTCCTCTTGGCCAAGAGCATTCCAAAGTTAACCTGATAAACTAGTTCAGGCTATGATAGGAAGAGGGGGTCACACATACCTCATTATACCCTCCTCCCACTGGAATTCAGGGACAGCTGACAAGAATTAACATTAAAACAATGATTTTAAGACTGATGAACCAGACTTTTTGTAGCAATAAGACACCAAATTCCAGCCAGGTTTACAGGACGCACAGCAAGCCCTGAAAGAAACTGAAGTATTTCACTCCAAAATATATTTATTTGACATATTTTGAAATGGCCCTGCAAAACTGTCTCTTGTGGGGAAAATCTACATTGTGTGGAGAATCCCCCTCCCTTTCCAGGTGTTCTCCCTGATCCGGGAGAGAATTAACTAAGAGTCTGGTATCTTTTTAGGTCTGATAAGAGCTCTGAAGCCTGCCACCTGGAGGCTTCATCTGCATGATAAAACCTTCGTCTCCACAACCTTATCTTAACCCAGACACTCCTAGGTCTTTAGGTAACAACGCTTTTAACCAGCTGCCAAAAAAAATTTTTTTTGAATCCACCTATGACCAGAAACCCCCACCCTGTCACCCTCCTTTCAAGTTGTCGCACCTTTCCCAATGGAACAAACGTACATCTTACGTGTACTGATTTATGTTTTATGCCACCCTAAAATGTATAAAACCAAGCTATAGCCCGACCACCTTGGGCATATGTTCTCAGGATCTCCTGGAGCTATGTCAGGGGACATTGGTCACTCATATTTGGCTCAGAATACATCTTTTCAAATATTTTACAGAGTTTGACTCTTTTCGTTGACACCATATTAATATAAAATATTGAGTCACTTATCTATTTCCTATTAATGACTAGAACAGGATCTACTAGAGAGATGCACTGAAGATCTGGAGTTCAACGTGAATAGAATGGGAACAAATGCTACCTACACAGAATAGTTCAGCCCCATAAATGATTCACGTCTTTTTTTCCCCTCGGTCCAGTGTCTTTTTTTTTTTAACTAGAAAGGAAAATCAAAAGACAAAAGCCATTCTTCGTACATTATGTAATCAAATGAATGTCAGCAACAGATGTGTGTCCAAATGAAACATTTACAAGACAGTTCACAAAAGGAGCTCATTTGGATTTTACTTAAGCCAAGGGCACTATAAAACTCTAATTTTAAAAGAACTTTAAAATCCAATTGCATTGGGAAATTGTCTTTAAAGATATATTTCCTCGCTGTATGATTCTATAATTATTGCTGGGAAATCTTTTGGAAAATATTGATAAAGTCTAATAATGTTGGAGGTATCTTTGTGTATGGTAATGTGGAATACATCTGTTTCCCCAGATTTAACTTGAATTCTCAAACAGCAAGCAGAAGTCCTACTATACAGCTATGATTCAGGATCTGTGCAATGGGATCTGTGCTACCATACTTCAACAACAACAAAAATCAAAACAACAAACATTTTGTGAATGCTCAGTACTTTTTTATATGCATTCTGGCAAAGAAAAGTATGAATGTTCTTAATCTTTCTCAAAATAGACCTGCTCAAAATAAAACATATTTTTATTTTGGCATAAAATATAATGGCAGACAATTTTTAGATAATATATATTAAGTGTCAAGCTGTATAGTACAGAATACTGTGACATGGCATAATAAGTTTTCAGTAGAAAGAACTGGATAAAGATTGCAGTAATTAGAAAGGCATAAAAGGGCAAAGTCAGTTGTCAAGAACTACGAGGAAAGCAACTTCAGTTAAGGCACAAAATGTGAATGATTTTTGTGGTTGGTGTGGCCCAATAATCCTGGACACTGAGAGAATGAGTGCCATGGAATGTCAGTTAAAGTTAAAAACTTCCTAGTTATTAATTTGTCCCTGAAATTTAACTGGAAAAAGTGTCTTTATAGTAATTTTAAGATTTAGAATCTCTGTATATTTTTCTGTTTGTATGCCTACAATGGTACTAGGCAATGGTTCTAAGACAGATTTTTTTCTTTCACATTTGAACATTTCTTAAATCAGGGTTCATCTTACAGTCAATTAAATATCATAGTTTGACAGCAGGACAAAAGGATAGCAGTTGTGAGGGGTTTTTTTGTTGTTGTTGTTTGTTTTTAAGTTTTTTAAGAGACAGGGCTTCACTATGTTGCCCAGGCTGGGCCTTGAACTCCTGGGCTCAAGTGATCTATTGCCACAGCCTCCTGAGTAGCTGGGACTACAAGCATGTGCCACTACACCTGGCTTTGATAATAGTTCATTGGTTTATTCTGATAACATGCCTTCACTGTTTGCTATCTAACCAATACAAACACCATCAATATTCTTGAATGAGATGGCAACACCAAAACTGTGTTTTGCCCTTTGGAATAAAAAATGACAACATCCAATAACAAATAAAAAAGAAAAATTAATAATAAAATAACAGTCACATAGGTTAATTGTGGTAGTATAACTTAATTTAGAATACGTAAAAATAATATTTGCTAAGCATTGGCAAAGCCATTTCTTTTTGCGTTTTATACTACAGAAGACACTGATAAGTTTCAACCTTCAAAATTTTACTTTAGAAAATCAACAAGCAAGAAAATGAAGTCAAAAACTACCTTTTTCTCTTCTTGAAAAGCAGTCCAAAGCAAAAAAGAAAATAAGAAAAAGGTAAACTCTTATCTTGGATAAAGTTTTATCTACGAGGCATCTTTACCTGAATCTCAATATGTGAGGACAGAAAGCAAATGAGGAAATACGAAATAATTTGTCAGAATACAAGAAGGTAAAACCTTAGTGTTGAGAGAGAGAAAAATCACTAAGAAGAAATTTGACTTGTCCAGCACAGCCCTAGAAACACAAGAGGAGCAGGTGGGGAGCCGAGATAAGAGGCTGATAACAGGAGGTTGTTTTCTAGTTTGCAAAGGGCAGTTAAACCCCCAGCTGTCACCTGAATCAAGCAGACAGGACAGTAATCTCTCCTACACTAGTAAAAAAAATAAACAAACAAACAAATAGAGAAAATGAGCTAAAGAAACTGTAGGCTTGGGGATGCTGGACACAGAGTGTCAGAGGCAATTGAACCTGAGCAACTTCATCTTAAATAGGAGCTGAGTAAAATGAGGCTGAAACCTACTGGGCTGCATTCTCAGATTGCTAAGGCATTCTAAGTCACAGGATGAGATAGGAGGTCATGACAAAAGACAGGTCACAAAGACCTTGCTGATAAAACAGGTTGCAGTAAAGGAGTCAGCTAAAACCCACCAAAACCAAAATGGCCAGGAGAGTGACCTCTGGCTGTCCTCACTGCAACACTCCCACCAGCGCCATGACAGTTTATAAATGCCATGGCAACGTCAGGAAGTTACCCTATATGGTCTGAAAAGAGGAGGCATAAATAATCCATCCCTTGTTTAGCATATCATCAAGAAATAACCATAAAAATGGGCAACCAGCAGCCCTCAGGGCTGCTCTGTCTATGGAGTAGCCATTATTTTATTTCTTTACTTTCTTAATATACTTGTTTTCGCTTTGCACTACGGACCGGCCCTGAATTCTTTCTTGAGCGAGATCCAGGAACCCTCTCTTGGGGTCTGGATCGGGACCCCTTTCCTGTAACAAGAGGAGGTCAGGGATGAGTACAAAAAGCAGAGGGATTCAGTGAAAAAACTCACAAGCCACAGACTGGGAGAAAATATTTGCAAAAGATAAAGGACTTAACCAAAATGTACAAAGAACACTTACAACTCAACAATAAGAAAATGAGTAATCTGATTTTTAAATGGGCAAAATATCTCAATAAATACCTCACCAAAAAAGATACATACATGGCAAATAAGTATATGAAAATATGCTTAACATCAATAATGATTTGCATATTAAAATAGTAAGATGTCACGACACACATATTAGATCTAGGCCAAAACCCAACACACTGACAACAGCAAATGCTGATGAGAATATGGAGCAGCAAGAACTCTCATTTATTGCTTGTGAGAATATTGTAGACATTTTGGAAGATAGTTGAGCGGTTTCTTATAAAACTAAACACATTCTTATCATACAATCCAGGAATTGGTATTTACTCAAATGAGTTAAAAATATATGTCCATACAAAAACTGGCACACAGATGTTTATAGCAGCTTTATTCAAAAGTGCCAAATCTCAAAAGTAAGGCGTCCTTCAGTAGGTGAATGGATAAACTGATCCAGACGATGGAATATTATTCAGAGATAAAAAGAAATGAACGATCAAGCCATGGGAAAACATGAAGAAATCTTAAATGCATATTGTTAAGTAAAAGAAGCCAAATTGAAAAAGCTACATATTGTATGATCCCAATTACATGACATTCTAGAAAAGGCAGAAGTATGAAGATAGTAAATAGATCAGTAGTTGCCAGGGGTTGAGGAGAGGGAGGAAGGAATAGGCAGTGTTACAGGTATCATAGCTAGGCAAGACTGGGGCTGGACAGGGCTCTGCCCCACCCCCCACTAGAAATGTCAGGTGATGGTTTGGCAATTATCACACTGCCTCTCTAAAAATGATAATTCAGCAGCACCAGGGACAGGCCATTTCTTGATGGTCCACACCTGTTAACATCAAAACGTTAATTGGATGCAGGCCCCAGGGAGATGCAACTTCCTGGACATGCAGATTAAGAGACAAAAATGGCAAAGTATCTTCTGGGTACGCTACACTGGAAAAAGGAAGAAAGCCTCAGATGGGCATGTGTATAACTCCCTAAACACACTACGCGTGCTCTGCACATGCAGGCAGCCCACCCTTAGGGAAAAATCATGGGAAAAAGGTGAGCCTATAAAAGTCCTAGCATCAGGTTAAACGGGGACTCGACCTTCTCTCTTTAATCTTCATATGCCTGCGTGGGTCTCTTCCAAGTGCACCTTGTTCTAAGGCCTTTTAAATAAATTTCCATTCCTGCTCTGGAACTTGCCTCAGTCTGTTTTTCTGCTTTATGCCCCTCAGTTGAATTCTTTCTTCTGAGGAGGCAAAGACTGAAGTTGCTGTGGACCCGTATGGATTTGCCGCCGGTAACTCGGGGTACCTCAGATCTCTTCCACCACTAACATATTTGTTGCCGTGACTTGGATACCTTCCTAGTGGTAAGAGATTTCTATGCCTCACCTTCTTCAGCTGGAGGCATCTGACCCACATGCATGGCTTTTCCTCTCTTTCCTGCTTACTAACAAATTCCCCAGAGTAATTCCTCTTGGCCAGAGTGACTCTGCTCCGCCCAGCTGATTTCTCAGGTCACCTTGCCGGGTGGCTTGCAAGGGTGGCAGGGACTTTAGGGTCTGTACTGAGCATATCTAAGGCATTATATGGCCCTTCTTGACAGGAGCCTTGCACAAATGGTGGGGCTAAAGCCTAAACCATGTAATGTCTCGGGCTTCCTCTGCTTTTTCAACTAAAATCGGCTCTTTTCCGGGACAAATACGAATTGGAACTCTGGCTTTGCTGGCTTTTCATAACTCACCAAGTGCTTTTTGTTCCTGTTATATCCCGGGGCTAAGTTTTCTAATGGCTCTTAAAAGCTGCTTGTCCACCTGCACAGACCTTCAATCTGGCCCTTTTTAAGGACTCCACCCACTTGCTTTTTAAGTTAGCACCACTTTAGGAGGTGGAGAAATTCTTACCCCAAGCCGCAAGTCCTCAGGGGTTACTGATTTATGTTTGAACTTTTGTTCCAGAAGGTGAACAAATGTTGCACTCTTGAATCCAAGGGCTGCTGTTTTTGCAAGCATTTGAGGGGTTTCCATGCGTGTTCCTTCCACTTCCTCCTTTAGCTCCCATTTCTTGAACTACTTCCACACCCTTCTCAACAGGCAACAGGGCCTTCAAAGTCATATTCTAGGGGAGAGAATTCCAGCCCCTGTAGCAGTTAATGGAGAAATAAGCTTCTAAGAAAAGACATGATCATTTTATTACTAAAATACTCCAAGTGAGGGTTACTATAAGGTCGTGGCGACAAGGCCAGCCCAAGGCCGCAGACACAAGAGATCCACGGGACAGAGATGAAGGGTGGTCCCAAGCTAAAATTATGATGAGATGGGACTGAGAGACAAGACTAGCTGGATTTCCCAGGCTGACTAAGAATCCCTAAACCCAGCTGGGAAGGTGAGCGCATCCACCTTTAAACACGGGGCTTGCAACTTAGCTCACACTCGGCCAATCAGGTAGTAAAGAGCGCTCACTAAAATGCTAATTAGACAAAAACAGTAAGTAAAGAAATAGCCAATCATCTATCGCCTGAGAGCACAGCGGGAGGGACAATGATCAGGATATAAACCCAGACATTCCAGCTGGCAACCGCTACCCTCTTTGGGTCCCCTCCCTTTGTATGGGAGCTCTGTTTTCACTCTATTAAATCTTGCAGCTGCACTCTTCTGGTCCGTGTTTGTTACGGCTAGAGCTGAGCTTTCACTCCCAGTTCCCCACTGCTGTTTGTCACCTTCGCAGACCCGCCGCTGACTTCCACCCCTCCGGATCCGGCAGGGTGTCCACTGTGCTCCTGATCCAGTGAGGTGCCCACTGCCACTCTGGATCGGGCTAAAGGCTTGCCATTGGTCCTGCACGGCTAAGTGCCCGGGTTCGTCCTAATCGAGCTGAACACTAGTTGCTGGGTTCCACGGTTCTCTTCCATGACCCACGGCTTCTAATAGAGGTATAACACTCACCGCATGGCCCAAGATTCCATTCCTTGGAATCCGTGAGGCTAAGAACCCCAGGTCAGAGAACACGAGGCTTGCCACCATCTTGGAAGCGGCCCGCCACCATCTTGGGAGCTCTGGGAACAAGGACCCCCTGGTAACAGGACCAAGGGTACCCGTTAAGACTGGTTAAGCCCGGAACCCAGAACTGACGGTACATGGCAAGACCAGTTAAGCCTGGAACCCAGAACTAGGGGAATATGGTAAGACTGGTTAAGCCCAGAACCCAGAACCGGGGGTACATGGTAAGATCGGTAAAGCCTGGAACCCAGGACGATGGGGGATGCCTCATCCAGGATAATGGGAAGAAAGGGGGAATGCCTTCTTTTTCCTTTTTCTTCTCCTCTGTTCTCTCTTCACAAGTGGCAGATGGGTAATCATGTGTCCACACTGCAGGGCATGTTCCTCGGATGCATTCCCCAAAACTGGGAAGTTTAATTTCCCCAAACTTTAAACTACTTGGCTTCAAAATAAACTGGGAGGAAATTACTTCTAAACTTCCATTCTTAGTCTGGAACTTGCCTGGGTCTCTTTTTTTTGCTTTATGCCCCTCAGTTGAATTCTTTCTTTTGAGGAGGCAAAGACTGAAGTTGCCGTGGACCCATATGGATTCACCACCAATAATTTGGGGTAATTCAGATCTCTTCCACTGCTAACAAGAGCACAGAGGATTTTTAGGGCAGTGGAACTATTCTATATAATACCACAATGGTGAACACATGTCATTATACATTTGTCAAAATCCCTAGGATGTACAACATCAAGAACAAATCCTAATGTAAACCATGGACTTTAGGTAATAATGATGGACTTTGGGTGATAATGATGTGTCAATGTAGGTCTAATGATTCTAACATATCACTCTACTACACGATGCTGACAGTCAGGGAGGCCATGTGTGTTGGAGAAAAGGGGATGGGAACTCTGTACTTTCTGCTCAACTTTGCTGTGAAACTAAAAATTGCTCTAAAAGAGTAAAGTCTATTTTTCAAAAATCTGCATCCTGAACAATGTGTCCCGAGTTCTCCCCACACCTGCCCAAATTCTGAATGCCAAGAGTCAGGCAGCAGATTAAAGAATTCTCTGAAGAAAATTAAATATCTATTCACATTGACATTTGGGTGTGTTCAATTTATTAAAAATAAATCTGATGGGGTTCCAGTTTCCACCTAGAATGTAGAAATATAAATGGAGCAATGTTCTACCTAATGACTATGAAATAACCTATAAATTCATCAATTTTCATGAACCTATCAGAAAGCTGAGATCACAATGCAACCAACTGGCTTTCACTCTAAGAAAAGCCTCCAAGGACAGACAGGACACAGGCATTGGCTCACCTGTGGCAGAGCACAGAAGGAAAATGAGAAGGTCACATAAGTGGGTAAGAATTCAGCAAAAATTTACTAAAAATTGCTCAAGGTAAGAACATGGGCAAGTGTGAGAAAATGGAACCCAGGGAAGCCACAGACACAATCAAGTTTGCCTACTCATAGTCTCTTTTCTATGACCTCAGTGGGTAGTCACAAGAAAAACTGTTTACTGGGTAGGAGACAGAGAAAGCTTTGCTCAGAGAAACAGGCCTCCCACTGCAGGGAAAGCACAAAAACTACCCAGATCCTTCTCATCTAAGGAACAAAAGCCATAAGCTACTAGGGTAAGGGCAACAAACCCTCTTTTTCTACCCCTGCCCCACCTCGGCACCTTTAGCCCCAGGGCAAATGTGATAACCTAGTGAGGCTGGGGAAAGAGAAAAAAAGAAAAACTCTTTGGGAGAATGGGCAGGAAGCCATTGGATGTAAATGAAAACAAAATGTATCAAAACTTGTAGGATGCAGCTCAAACAGTGGTCTGCAACCTGTTTTGTAAATAAAGGAACACAGGTATGCCTTTTCATTTATGTATTGTCTATGGCTGCCTTCCCATTATACTGGCATAATTGAGTAGTTATAAACTACACTGAAAAAGAAAGAACTCAAATCAATAACCTAAATTCACACCTCAAAGAACCAGAAAAGGAAGAGTAAATGAAACCCAAAACAGAAGGAAGAAAACAATAAAGATTAGAGTAGGTATAAATGAAACAGAGAATAGAAAACAGTAGAGAGAACCAATGAAACCAAAAGTTGATTTTTTAAAATGATCAACAAAATTGACAAGCCTTAGACTGATTAAGACAAAGGAGAATCACACTTTTACCACTATTAACATTGCACTGGATGTCCTAGCTAGAGCAATTATGCAAGAAAAAGAAATATAAGGCATCCAAATTGGGGAAGTAAAACTATCATTATTTGCAGATGATACAATTTTTTTAATCTACAAAATCTCAAATGATCAACAAAAAACTATTCGAGCTAATAAACGAATTCAGCAAATTTGCAGAAGATTTAGAAGCCTTAGGTCTCTGAGGCACAAGAATCACTTGAGACCAGGAATTCAAGACTAGCCTAGGCAACAAAGCAAGAGTCTGTCTCTACGAAAAATTTAAAAGTTAGCTGGGTGTGGTGGTATGCACTTAGAGTCCTAGTTACTCGGCAGGCTGAGGTGGCCAGATTGCTTTAGCCTAGGAGTTCAAGGGCATAGTAAGCTATGATCTTGTCACTGCATTTCAGCCTGGGTAACAAAGCGAGAACTTGTCTCTCTTTAATTAAAAAAAAAAAAAGATCAACACACATCAATTATAAACTATCAATGAAGCAATGAACACTTTGAAAAAAAAAATTAAGAAAACAATTCCAATTACCTGGGTACTACTGATGCTGTGACTTACATGCCCCAAATAATTTAATGTTAATAGAGACTGAAGTTTGTAAACGTGAAGAAAAGGAAAGCCTTAATGGCCAATACACTGGGAACTGGGTATAACTCTTAGTTTATCTCATCTATGTTGGAGTCCTCTAGAGAGTGACAGCTACTGATATCATTAAGGTATGTGGTGATTAGGAATTAGAGTGCTTTATTTTCTTCCAAAATTTATGGAGTTGGTCTGTACCTGGCTCTGTACATTACACAGGTAAACATGCACCAAATATGTTGAGCAAGGAACACAATTCTAGCGATCTCTTCTAATTTGGAATGCTGTAAATACAACCTACGCTTGCTCTCAAAGCATTTCTTATGGGTTCTCCAACCTTTTGCCCCTTCATCCATTCAAGGATTGCTGATATTCTTAGGCAGAAGGGAAGTGAAGCCAAAAGTGACATTCCTTCCCTCATCTACTCATCTAGTTCACTGCTCTATGGTCATATCAAAGAAGCTGGGAAACCTCTGGTATATTGATAAAAATAAATGAGAAAAGGAAGGCTGTTTTCCTCTACCTGCTAAAACAGTATAACTATCAGTTTCTCAATTTTTTTTTTTTTTTTGCCATTCTATTCATCTACGTATATCAAGGAAAGAGACCCTAATAGGAGCTAGACTCTTCTTTTAAACACTTGTTTTCTAATTGTCCTTCTTAAACCTACCCGATGTGCAGATGACATAACCATCACCTAGGGCTGGCTCAAGGTCACATGCAGGCCTCTGAAAAATGCATTTTGGCATTACAACCTTGGAGAAAAAATCACCCACAAAGCAACCTTGGAGCAGTGACTTAACAGCAGATTTTTCTTCTTGGTGACTGAACTTTGGAATTGAAAGAGGCAGAAGAACAGTGGAGAGGGGATGTAGGGTAGGATACAAAAATGGCGAGACCAGACTGCCTGCCTGCCTCATATACAGATAGAAGATGCAAAATGCACCACAGTGAAATTACTAATAAGAGCAACAAATACTCAAAGCTGCAATAACAAAGATTTCCTATATTTTCATGCTCAATTCAGACAAAATTTCTTCTTAAATACAATAAAGCCAATTAAAAAAAATTTATATTGCAAAAATCTGGATTAGGGAAGTTAATAAATATTTAAGAACTAATTATGCTTCTTTTTCTCTACACCTTTGCCATTACTAGTGATCTCCCTGGAATGTCCTCCTTTTGTCATATCCCTATTGAAAATGATGCTTAGGAAAAGTATATGTACTATATATTCCCTGATTACTAAAGTAATCACTATTCATTGTAGAAAATTTGGATAATATATTAAAAACAAAAGGAATAAGGAAAAACATTCCATCCTTTATCTTATTACAACTGTTATCTTTTTTCCATATCTCACCTTGTAACAGAACCTAATAAGAGGTTGGATATAGGGAATGAAATACAAAGAAAAATTTAAAATCACACCAAGTATTTGGAATTGGTAAGTAAGATAAAAGTTGTGGTCATGATAGAAAATGTATACCTTTTTTTTTTTTTTTGAGACAGAGTCTAGCTTTGTTGCCCAGGCTGGAGTGCAGTGGCATGATCTAGGCTCACTGCAATCTCTGCCTCCTGGGTTCAAGCGATCCTCCTGACTCAGCCTCCCAAGTAGCTGACAAGTACAGACAAGCGCAACCACACCCAGCTAAGGTTTGTATTTTTAGTAGAGACAGGGTTTCACAATGTTGGCCAGGCTGGTCTCAAACTCCTAGCCTCAGGTGATCCACCTGCCTCGGCCTGAAAAGGTATGCTTTAAAAAGTTAACTACACCAAGTTGATCTTCAAACGACCAATTTTGTAGTGATTGTTATACCTACCAAATAAAAAAAAAAACTATGCAAAAATACACCATAATTTTTACTATGCCCATGCAATTTCCTGTCATCAAAAGCATGAATTCTTTGTGCTGTATATCAAGTAAAGTCAATTATGACTAACATTTCTTTAGTATTTGGAAAAGGCCATATGACACCACAGTCTTGCTAATACATACCCCTGAATGGCCAGGAATGCAGAGCAGATCTTAGGAGCAACTACCGCTATAACCATTATATGGTATATCATAGCATCCACAAGATCGTGGAATCTATTTTTAAGAATATCCTGCACCAAGGCAACCAAAGCAAAAATGAACAAATGGGATTACATCAAGGTAAAAAGCTTCTGCACAGCAAAGGATATAATCAACCAAGTGAAGAGACAACCCACAGAGTAGAAAATATTTGCAAACTACCCATCTGACAAGGGATTAATAACCAGAATACATAAAAGCTCAAAAAACGCTACAGGAAAAAAATCTAATAATCTGATAAAAAAATGGGCATAAGATTTAAATAGACATTTCTCAACAGAAGACATACAAATGGCAAACAGGCATATAAAAAAGTGCTCAACATTATTGATTATCAGAGAAATGCAAATCAAAACTACAATGAGATATCATCTCATTCCAGTTAAAATGGCTTATATCTAAAAGACAGGCAGTAACAAATGCTGGCAAGGATATGGAGAAAAGGGAACCCTTGTACACTATGGATGGGAATGTAAATGAGTACAATCACTATGAAGGGCAGTTTGGAGGTTCCTCAAAAAACTAGAAATTAAACTACTATATGATCCAGCAATCCCACTGCTGGGTATGTACCCAAAAGAGAGGAAATCAGTATATCAAAGAGATATCTATACCCTTATGTTTGTTGCAGCACCGGTTATAATAGTTAAGATTTGGAAGTAACCTACGTGTCCATCAACAGATGAATGGATAAAGAAAATGTCGTACACAATTGCAAAGATGAAGGGGACGTTACCACTGATCCCACAGAAATAAAAACAGCCATCAGAAACTACTACGAACACCTCTGTGCACACAAACTAGAAAACCTAGAAGAGATGGACAAATTCCTGGACACATACACTCTCCCAAGACTGAACCAGGAAGAAATTGATTCCCTGAACAGATCAATAATGAGCTCCAAAATTAAATCAGTAATAAATAGCCTAAAAACCAAAAAAAGCCCAGGATCATATGGATTCACGGCCAAATTCTACCAGATATAAAACAAAGAGCTGGTACCATTCCTACTGAAACTATTCCATAAAATTGAGGAGGAAGGACTCCTCCCCAACACATTCTATAAGGCCAGCATTAGTCTGATACCAAAACCTAGCAGAGACACACACAGAAAAAAAGAAAACTTCAGGCCAATATCCTTGATGAACACCAGTGCAAAAATCCTTAACAAAATACTTGCAAACCAAATCCAGCAGCATATCAAAAAGCTAATCCATCATGATCAAGTAGTCTTCATCTCCGGGATGGAAGGTTAGTTCAACATACCCAAGTGAACAAATGTGATTCATCACATAAACAGAACTAAAGACAAAAGCCACATGATTGTCTCAATAGATGCAGAAAGGCTTTTGATAAAATTCAACATCCCTTCATGTGAAAAAAACTCAGTAAACAAGATATTGAAGGAACATACCTCAAAATAATAATAACCATCTATGACAAACCCACAGCCAACATCATACTGAATGGGCAAAAGCTGGAAGCATTTCCCTTGAAAACCAGCACAAGACAAGGATGCCCTCTCTCACCACTCTTATTCAACACAGAATTGGAAGTCTTAGCCAGAGCAATCACACAAGAGAAAGAAATAAAGGGCATCCAAATAGAAAGAGAAGAAGTCAAACTATCCCTGTTTGCAGATGACATGATTCTATATATAGAAAACCCCATAGTCTCGGGCCAAAAGCTCCTTCAGCTGATAAACAACTTCAGCAAAGTTTCAGGATACAAAATCGATGTACAAAAATCACTAGCATTCCTATACACCAACAACAGCCAAGCTAAGAGACAAACCAGGAAGGCAATTCCGTTCACAATTGCCACAAAAAGAATAAAATACCTAAGAATACCTGTACACAAAACATCCCGTTCTCACTTATTTGTAGATCTAAAAATCAATACAATTGAACTCATGGACACAGAGAGTAGAATGATGGTTACCAGAGGCTGGGAAGGGTAATGGGATAATGGGGGATGGTAGTGGGGGACTGGTTGAAAGATCTCCACAACAAGAATTACAAAACACTGCTCAAAGAAATCAGAGATGACACAAACAAATGAGAACACATCCCATGCTCATGGATACAAAGAATCAATATCATTAAAATGGCCATACTGACCAAAGCAATTTACAGATTCAATGCTATTCCAATCCAACTACCAATGATATTCTTCACAGAACTACAAAAAACTATTTTAAAATTCATATGGAACCAAAAAAGAGCCCATATAGCCAAGGCAATCCTAAGCAAAAAGGACAAAGCTGGATCCATCACATTACTTGACTTCAAACTATACTACAGGGCTACAGTAACCAAAACAGCATGATCCTGGTACAAAAACAGACACATACGCCAGGCGCGGTGGCTCACGCCTGTAATCCCAGCCCTTTGGGAGGCCAAGACAGGCGGATCACCTGAGGTCAGGAGTTCGAGACCAGCCTGGCCAACATGGTAAAACCCCATCTCTACTAAAAATACAAAAATTACCCGGGCGTGGTGGCGGGCACCTATAGTCCCAGCTACTTGGGAGGCTGAGGCAGGAGAATCACTTGAACCTGGGAGGCAGAGATTGCAGTGAGCCAAGATGGTGCCATTGCACCCCAGCCTGGGGGATAAGAGCGACACTTTGTCTCAAAAAATAAAATAAAAACAAAACAAAACAAAACAGGCACATAGACCAATGGAACAGAATAGAGAGTCCAGAAACAAGACCACATACCTATGACCATCTAATCTTTGACAAAGCTGACAAAAACAAGCAATGGGGAAAACATTCCCTACTCAATAAATGGTGCTGGGATAACTGGCTAGCCATATGTAGAAGATTGGAATTGGACCCCTTCCTTACACCATATACAAAAATCAACTCAAGATGGATTAAAGTCTTAAATGTAAAACCCAAAACTATAAAAACTCTGGAAGATAACCTAGGCAATACCATTCAGGACACAGGAATGGGCAAAGGTTCCATGACAAGGACACCAAAAACAATCACGACAAAAGCCAAAATTGACAAGTGGGATCTAATTAAGCTAAAGAGCTTCTGCACAGCAAAAGAAACTATCATTAGAGTGAACAAGCAACCTACAGAATGGGAGAAAATTCTTGCAAACTATGCATCTGACAAAGATCTAATATCCAGCATCTATAAGGAACTTAAATGTACAGGACAAAAACAACCCCATTAAAAAGTGGACAAAGGACATGAACAGACACTTTTCCAAAGAAGACATACATGCAGTGAACCAGCATACGAAAGAAAGGTCAATATCACTGATCATGAGAGAAATGCAAGTCAAAACCACAATGAGATACCATCTCACACCAGTCAGAATGGCAATTATTAAAAAGTCAAAAAACAACAAATGCTAGTGAGGTTACAGAGAAAAGGGAACACTTATACATTGCTGGTGGGAGTGTTAATTAGTTCAACCATTGTGGAAAGCAGTGTGGCAATTCCTCAAAGAGCTAAAAACAGAACTACCATTTGACCCAGCAATCCCATTACTGGGTATATACCCAGAGGAATATAAATCATTCCACCATAAAGACACATGCAGACGAATGTTCACTGCGGCACTATTCACAATAGCAAAGACATGGAATCAGCTTAAGTGCCCATTAATGACAGATTGGGTTTTTTTTTTAAAAAAAGGGTACATATACACCACAGAACACTATGCAGCCATAAAAAAAAAATGAGATCATAGGCCGGGCGCGGTGGCTCACGCCTGTAATCCCAGCACTTTGGGAGGCTGAGGCGGGTGGATCATGAGGTCAGGAGATCGAGACCATCCTGGCTAACAAGGTGAAACCCCGTCTCTACTAAAAATACAAAAAATTAGCCGGGCGCGGTGGCGGGCGCTGTAGTCCCAGCTACTCGGGAGGTTGAGGCAGGAGAATGGCGTGAACCCGGGAAGCGGAGCTTGCAGTGAGCCGAGATTGCGCCACTGCAGTCCGCAGTCCGGCCTGGGCGACAGAGCGAGACTCCGTCTCAAAAAAAAAAAAAAAAGAGATCATGTCTTTTGCAAGAATATGGATAGAGCTGGAGGCTATTACTATCCTTGCAAACTAACTCAGGAAAAGAAAACCAAATATCGCAGGTTTTCACTTATAAATGGGAGCTAAATGATGAGAACTCATGAACACAAAGAAGGGAACGCTGGGGCCTACCTGAGAGTGGAGGGTGGGAGGAGGGAAAGGAGCAGAAAAAATAACTGTTGGGTACTAGGCTTAACACCTGGGTGATGAAGTAAGTTGTACAACAAACACCTGTGACATGAGATTACCTACATAACAAACTCACACATGTACACCTGAACCTAAAATAAAAGTTTAAAAAAAGAAAATGTGGTACATGTACACAATGGAATACAATTCAGCCATAAAAAAGAATGAGACTCAGTCATCTACAACAACATGGATGGAACTGGAGATCATTAGGTTAAGTGAAATAAACCAGGCACACAAAGACAAAACACTACGTGTTCTCACTTATTTGTGGGATCTAAAAATCAAAACAATTGAACTCATGGACATAGAGGGTAGAATGATGGTTACTAGAGGCTGGAGAGGGTAGTGGGGTGTTAGGAAGAAGGAGGGATGGTTAATGGGTACCAAAAGAAAAAAATGAATAAGACTTACTATTTGATAGCACAGTAGGATAACTATAGTCAATAACTTAATTGTATATTTTAAAATAAAGACTATAATTGGATTGTTTGTAACTCAAAGGATAAATGCTTGAGAGAATAGATACTCCATTTTCATTGACATGCTTATTTCATATTGCATCAAAACATCTCATATACCCCATAAATATATACGAGTACTATGTACCCACAAAATTTTTTTTTAAAAAGAGAGTATCTTGCCAAAAAAGAAAAAAAAGAATATCCTGCTATTGGTTTGAGAGGTAAAGTAAGAGGTAAAATAAGAGGGCTATAATGTGTTATCTTGTCTGATCGCAGGACTCAAATACAGGTTTTTGAATAAGAACTTGGAAATTAATAAAAGTTAATGAGGTGAGTCAGGTAAGACTGGAAGATTATTTTATGCAACAGAAAATAAGCACTGTAGACTCTGGTTGTATTTGGTGAGAAATCCTCTTTGAAAAGCCAGAGCCTTCAGAGTCAGCAGCCATTGGAGGCCCAGGTTCCCAGACAGCAGTATCTATGTATGAGACTCAGGTCCTGAGCTGGGGTGCAGACTCCCTGAACATCTCCTGAGGTACGACTGCAGTCTCTCACATAGTGATCTCTATTATGTCAGTCCTTGAATGGACCTAATGTTCTGCCAATCACACATTCTCCTGTAATTCCTAAATTAGTTACCTAACTCAAGCATAATTCAAAGACTGAAAATAATTTCAATTAGCTATTTTGGATATAGACACCTACATTCTATTTTTTTCTTCATTTCTTCCTTTCACACCTAAATGTACTGTGAAAGAATGAAAAGATACAAATATGTTACCTAAGAGTTCCTCCATTATGTACTCTTCCCCTCCTCCTACCACAAAGTCATTATTAGATCCTAACAGTTCTACTTCCAAAATACATCATGATGTCTGCACTTACCTCTATTTCCATCACAACCACCCTAATGCAAGCCACCACCATCTGGCATTAGGCCTAGGACCATTGTAGTAGTCTCCTAACTGATCTTTCGGCTTCCCCTCATGCTGTGCCACAATTCATTCCTGAATCAGTAGCCAAAGTGGTCATCTCAAAACATAAATCATAACAGAACCCTTGCTTGCAGCCTGCCGATGGTTTCCCACCACACATGTACAGGAGGAAAAAAGTCAAACTCTTCTCTGTGGCCTTCAGAGTTGTATCTGATCTGATTCCCACTCCTGATTTAAGCTGGCAGCCACTTTCACCAAATGAATCAACAACCAACCACCAGAGGCAGGAGAGGAAGCAGCACTAGCTGAAAGAGGCCAGTATCACACAAGCTGTATAGGTAGAGGCTTTGTGCAAAACACATAAGGAATTTGAATTTCTAAATACACTGAGTTGTCTTAAAGGAAGGTACCCCAATATAATGAATCATCTAACAGTCAAGTTATAACATTGTGCCAAATTCAGTAAACACTCCTTTCTTTGTAGGTAATGTAGAACCAGTGAAGGGATTTAAGTAGAGGAATAACTTGATCTGACTTGCATTTTAGAAATTAAAATTCTGGTTGCACTGTGGAGGATGTATTAGATGAGATTTGATTAAAGAACAGCCAAAGGCATCGAAATACCTCAGGAAAAGAGCCCTGTGCTTCCTAACACAAACCTTGGGCTGGAGAACTGATACCTGACTGAAGAGCTATTTGGGTCATACATACACTCAGCAAGGGAAGCTGGTGGTTGCTTGAAAGTTAGGGGAGAGGTGCCCTCTCTCAGTTGTTGAGTCTGTTAATGAGGTCATGCACCTCTACAAACTTCATTCTATCTTCAATCAAGGTTTATACTTTACAAGTTATAGAGGACTTGTACAGCACCTGCTAACTGAAATTACTCACATACCCCCCAGACAGTGACCTGCTATTTCAGATAAACCTGAGCTGGAATGGGCTATTATAACTCAGGCACCTCTGACTCCTGTGTTTATAGCTCTGTTCTTAGGTCCTATCTTCCCAGCAAAGCAGGCACATCTAAAAACACATCACCCCAAATTTCTCTATGTAACAGCCTAACGCCAATTGTGCTTAACCACTTTTCTGCCCAATGACCAAGGGGATATTACACTTCCATTAATACCTTTTGATCACTATGGCAATATTTTCAATTTAGGGTAGAGGTAGGATGTAGTATAAGAATCACTAAGTGGCCCTTTAAAAAGACTACACATTCATTCCCATTCTCCATCCTATGGCCACCCACACACCCACAAAGGGAGGTAACTGAGTGGAAAAATGATTGACAACCACCTGCTTTACTAAATACAAAGATAAGGGCCAATAAAATTAATTCAGTTATTAGAATATTATGCCAACCTGTTTTTAAGAATTCTGAAACAGAGTAGTATTATCCCAAACAGAATTCTTAGAGAAGCGTCTGTGTTTTAAAATACTTTTCTGTTGTTTCCTATGGTGATAAACATTTTCAAGTCCCAATCTACTTCTCAGCAGGCACTACACATAGTTTAATGAGACGAATATTACGATGTGCTCCCTACTGAGAAAATCTCAGTGCCATAATAAAAGGATATGAAGTTAATGTAATGAAGTTTTAAGAAAAAACCTTAAAGTTCTCAACATTCAAATCCTTTAGAGAAAAAAAAAAATCATATATAATTTAATGACAACCTTCCCAATACATTTATCTTTCTACTATCCCATCTCCACTATTTTTTACAGAAAACGAAAACACTGTATGTAACCCTAAAAGGGAAGCTGAAATAAATGACTGAATTACAATCAAAATGAATCACGCTAGCTTAGCAATTATATACAATAATTCAGAATTGTTTTAGTCTGTTTGGGCTGCTATAACAAAAATACCATAAACTAGGTAGCTTATAAACAACAGAAATTTATCTCTTACAGTTCCAGAGGCTGGAAAGTCCAAGATCATCAGCAGACTGGGTGGCAAGGGCCTGTTCCGTAGTGATGGTGCCTTCTATGTGTTCTCACATGGCAGAAGTGGCAAATAAGCTCCCTTGGACCTCTTTTATAAGGGAAGTAATCCATTCATGAGGGCTCTTTCCTCATGACCTTAGCACCTCCTCAAGGCCTCACCTCTTAATTCTATTACACTGGGGATTAGATTTCAACATATGAAGTTTGGGGGACATAAACATTTAGACAAGAGCAAGAATTTCCTAAAGTGTGACATAAGAAGGGACTTTAGGTAATCAATATTTTTATTTGATATGTATGCATTTATCTTAACCGTCACTAAACCTAAGTGGCCCACCAAATCTGTGAAGTTATATGTTACTGCTTAGGATAAAATTAAAGTAGGCAGAGAAATTCACATAGACTTCTTGCCTTATAGGTCCTATACTCAGGAATATTCACGCTTTGAGTCTTGAGTAACTGAGCCTTGTGACAATTTTTTTTTAATAACAGCTTTGAGATATAATTTATGTAACATAAAATTCACCCCCTTTAAAGTGTACAATTCAGTGGGTTCTAAGCACATTGACAAAGTTGTACAACCATCACCACTACCAAATTCCATAATATTTTCATTGCCCTAAAAGGAAACACCACAGCCATCAGCATTTCTTCCCACTCCCCCTTCTCCTCACAACCCCTCTCAACTACTACTCTACTTTCTGTCTCTATGGATTTGCCTATTCTGGACACTTCAGAGAAATGAAATCATACAATATTTAGCCTTTTGTGTCTGGCCTCTTTCACTTAGCATAATGTTTTCAAGATTAATCTACATTGTAGCATATATCAGTATTTCATTCCTTTTTATGGGCAAATAATATTCTATTGTATGGATATACCATATTTTATTCATTCATCAGTTGATGTAACAGTTGGGTTGTTTCCATTCTTAGCTATTACAAATATGTAATGCTGCTGTGATCGTTTGTATATAAGTTTTTGTGTGGATGTATGTTTTTAATTTCCTTGGATATATACCTAGAATTGCTGGGTCATGTGGTAACTGTTTAACCTTTTGAGAAATTGCCAAACTGTTTACCAAAGTGACTGACTGCACCATTTTATAAACCCACCAACAATGTATAGGGGTTTTAATTTCTCCACATCCGTGGCAACACTTCATTGTCAATTTTTTTATTACAGCCATCCTAGTGTGTGTGAAGTGGTATCGCACTGTGTTTTTTATTTGCATATCCCTAATGACTACTGATGGTGACCTAATTCTTTGAAAGTATGCACAGTAAACATGCTATATATCTCTGGTGTAAAATCTCATATACTGCATTTCTTTGGGTATCACAACATACTTTTTTAGCCCTCTGATACTGTCTGTAATGGGTATGACTTATTATGGGCTTCATCTACCCTTTTCAGCTCCTGTCTTGGCTACCTTCCCAAAGGCATGCCCCTTGCCTAATAAATCTACCCTCTTCTTCCTCCTCCTACAAAATCCACAATCTCCACTTTTCTGGGGCCTGGCCTTTATTATATCTCTGCTCCCCATCTTGATAACAGATATGATAAACACATGCAGAAGAGTTTAGATTTGATGTGGTAAATAACAAAGAGAATA
This sequence comes from Homo sapiens, assembly GCF_000001405.40. Lineage (NCBI taxonomy): Eukaryota > Metazoa > Chordata > Mammalia > Primates > Hominidae > Homo > Homo sapiens. Next base: position 119,056,007 of record NC_000006.12, read on the forward strand.
TGAGTATTTATACAGGGTATATTTATTAGTACTACCATATCACTAAGCAGGATAAACTGAAATAGAAGAGCCTGAAAGGAAACTTTGCAAAAATAAGGTCTACATTGATTCCTACTTGGGGAAATGGAAAAGGAAAATCTAAAAGATATTTCAAAGAAAGAAGTGTAAATACTTAAAAGAAAAAAGAGGAAATTTTAATTCAAATGTTCTATTCTAAAAGATTTCATTTAAGATAGGGTCAGACAGAAATGCTAGATTGAGACAAGAAACTAGGTTTTTGGTTTATTTGTTATTTGGGATATGGGGGATGTCTGATGAAGAAGAAGATTAATTAGATTTTGGACACGTAGTACTGAGGTCATAGCAGACATCCAGGTAGAGATGACAGTCATAAAAGATGAAATAGACAGAAATTTCCCAAAACAAACCTAGGGTTCTATCGTCCCACAGTAACATTTTATGCTTACTAGAATACATTTCTTGTCTTATCCATGGACATTACTTGGCATTGGGCATCAAATTTACTGGCTACTAAATCATGGTTCTAATGGTTCTAGCACAGTTCATCAACTCACTGAAATCCTCAAGTAGCTCCAAAGACTAATGCTATTCATGTAACCTACTAGGAACTTCCTTTCCAAAGTGATGTAAATTGGGATGTTCACAACATGCCAAGCATTTATACATGATAGAATGAAGCCAAGAGACAAGAGAAGAAAAGCCCAACCATCACAAACATTCTGTAATGGAACCACTAGACCGCTAACCTCCTTAGAACCTCCCTGCCAAGGAACTATATCCCATATAAGCCTGGTCTGGTGGGCACTCACCACTGTGTACTAAAGATGTGACTTTCTTCCTTTCTGACACAACTACTACTCATGTCACCATCTGCCCGTTTCTCAAACAAGCTAACAGGATAGAAATAAGAACTTAATCATATTGAGAAATTTATTCCACAGTATGTTTAAGAATTAACCCATTTATGCCGAAGGTTGCAATTTTTTGAATTTTTGGAATCAGACCTTGAGCAGTAGGATATAAATAATTCACATGCTTAGCATTTCAATAATGGAACAAAAGGCATAAATGAGTTAATTAATGTAGTCTATCTTGAAACCAATAAATGCTGCTGCCCAAATACACACATACACACTATTACTAATGAAGTAAAGATCCAAATCTTGGAAGTAATAATCCAATGGCCTTGAAATTATGGTCCTCTTTCTTACTGTTCCAATAGGTAAAAGACTGGGAAGTGTCTAAGCAGTGACAATATCCAAAGTGCACATGATTATATAGTGTAAATTCTAAATTTCTGCTATGCTTACAATATAAAAGTCTTTCTTACTACCATATATCTAAGAATTCCTTTGTTTGACTACAGGACTGAGGAAAAGCAACCCTGTTAATTTAGAGATTCTACATTTGTGTTTAAAATGGCAAAGAAGGCTGGGCGCAGTGGCTCATGCTTGTAATCCCAACACTTTGGGAGGCCAAGACAAGAGGATTGCCTGAGGTCAGGAGTTCAAGACCAGAATGCTCAGGGTAGTGAGACCCCCAACTGTACAAAAAAATTTTTTTAATTATTCAGGTGTGGTGGTGCACACCTGTAGTTCCAGCTACTCGGGGGAGCTGAAGCAGGAGGATCACTTAGACCCAGGAAGTGGAGGCTGCAGTAAGCCGTGATTGAGCCTGTGCACTCCACCCCAGGTGACAGAGGGCAACCTTGTCTCTAAATATAAATAAATAAATAAATTTAAAATAAGAGAAAATGGCAAAGGAGAGGTCTTTCTTAATGACGCATATCACATTACATTACCAACTCTCTTCTGTGTTTTTTTTTTTTTTTACTCTCTTAAAAGTTTGTGGTGGCTGCTCTGATAGTAGTGGGTTATCAGAACACATTAACATTAGTGTTACTGAAGTTAGTATAAAACTCCCCCGCTCCTAAATGACTGGCTTTAAAAAAAAAAAAAAAAAACTTTGTGGCTAACCACTGAAAGAACTGTAAATATGGGTTAATGTTTTTCCCTATTCCCTGAAAGTGTACATTGTGGCAGACTATATTTCCCAAAGATGGCCACAATATTTCCCATCCCACATGCTCTTCTACAATGTGACCTGCCACTCTCTCATCAAGAAGTAGAGTCCAATTCTCCTTCTCTCTTTTTTTTTTTTTTTTTTTTTTTTTTGAGATAGAGTCTTGCTCTGTCGCCCAGGCTGGAGAGCAGTGGCGTGATCTTGGCTCACTGCAACCTGTACCTCCAGGGTTCAAGCAATTCTCCTGCCTCAGCCTCCCTACTGAGCCTCTTGCCTCAGTAGCTGGGATTACAGGTGTGCGCCACCACATCTAGCTAATTTTTTTGTGTTTTTAGTAGAGATGGGGTTTTGCCATGTGGGCCAGGCTGGTCTCAAACTCCTGACTTCAGGTGATCTGCCCACCTTAGTCTCCCAAAATGATGGGATTACAGGTGTGAGCCACCGTGCCCAGCCCAATTCTCCTTCTCTTAAATCTAGGCTGGCCTCAATGATTCACTTGTAACCAATAAAATGTGGCAAAAATGATAGTGAATGACTTCTGAGTCTAGGTCAGTAGGAGCCTGGCAGCTTCTTTCTCAGTTTCCGGAACACTTAGTCTCCAGGTGCTGCCATGCTATGAAAAGCCTAAGCTACAAGGAGAGACCTACACTGTCCTCCAGGTCCTCTGGTCTAGCATCCCAGCTGAGCCCAGCTTTCGAGTTATCCTGGTCTAGGTATCAGATGAGTAAAAAAGTCAACATGGAAGAGGATTCTCCAATTCCAGCTGTTTCCATCCCAGCAGGTCCAATTATACCCAGCCATTTGAGTCTTCCATTCTGAGGCTCCAAATAAAGCACACAGCTGTCTCTTCTCTGAATTCCTACCTCAATAATTTGTAACCATAATATAATGGTTATTTTATTTTTATTTTATATTTATTATTTTATTTTATATTTTATCTTATTTTGAGACAAGGTCTTGTTCTGCTAACAGGGCCTTGCTCTGTTGCCCAGGCTGGAGTGCACTGGCACAATCTCAGCTCACTGCAACCTCCACCTCCCGGGTTCAAGCAATCCTCCCACCTCAGCCTCCCAATAAGCCACCACACTCAGATAATTTTTTAATTTTTTGTAGAGATGAGGTCTCACACTATATTGTCCAGGCTGGTCTTGAACTCCTGGACTCAAGCAATCCTCCCACCTCGGCCTCCCAAAATGTGGGGATTATAGGTGTGAAACACCACACCTGGCCAGTTGTTGTTTTATACAAATTTTGGGTGGTGTAAAAGCAGTAGATTACCACAGCAGCGACAGGTAACTGGAATGAAGGTTGATAACCTGTCTGTCTCTTCACTTTAATAAACATTCCACATTTTTCTTCCAATGTATTTTACTGAGATTTTATTTCCAATTAATTTTTTTGCCAATAATAAACATCCACTATTAAGTTCTCCATTTATTTTGACAGTTCAACTTTACAAACCATTACACATCTAACAAAACCATTTCCCAGGGCTTGGTTTCCAACTTATTTGTTTTAAAAGCTTCTTTCTTAACATCCTCTCCACTTACTGGAATTATTTCAGTTTTTCACCCTTTCTTCCAATCTATGTCTAAATTAGGTCATGACTAAAGACATAATTACTTGAAGCAAAATGCTGTGCACCCAACTATAAACATCATAAGTAAACATTCTGTCAGGTATAATAATTATTCAGCACTTATTATAAACAAAGTATCATACCAGTACTTCAGATGTTTATAATTATACATGCTTTATTAATGAAAATGGCTATATTGAGTTTTATATATCTACGCTCACAAGTATTATTTTGCCAGAAAAGCACATTTTAATATTTTCAACAAAAAGACTATTGTTTGGTATAATTTTAATATAAACTTCAAACCATTGCATTTTTATAAATAAAGGCTATCTTATAACTTGCCACTCCATTTAATAGGTATAAATTGGTCACTAACAAATCACAGTGTATATGACTCTTTGTAACTACCTGGCAGAAAAAAACTTAATCCTGCTGCCTCTAAGTGTTTAGTCACTTCGAGATTAAAGTTTAGATTTTGGTAGATATTTAGTTAAAACCAGGTACTGTTTTTAGGTACTGTTTGAGGCCAGCCTAGATGACCGTGTCATCTCAGTTACAATTCAAAGCTCCTTCCTGTAATTCTTTCCCTCCTAGTATCATGTCTATTTTCACCCTGCTCAGCCTTACAGGAGTGGCTACAGGGATACTGTTTTCTTGCTGGCATATATGAAAAGGGAACGAGCTGTATATCTGGTCAATAATATCTTTTTGCCAGTTCTAGAAAGTGTAGTGGAAAAACATGGGCAAGGCAGCTAATGGTACTGGCAAGACAGTGGCTAAAGCAACAGCCCACAGTCTAGTACAGATAAAGAATGAAATGAAAACAGACATGATGAACAGGGAGAAAATGAAGAGGCTAAAACACTAAAGAAACTGAAGAATTGGTAGAATTTGAAAAAGGGAGAAGTGAAAGTTTAAGACATTCATTCATTTAATCAACAAGTATTAATACCTTCTAACATGGTTTAGATCTGTGGCCCCACCCAAATCTCTTGTCAGATGGTAATCCCCAGTGTTGGAGGTGGGGCCTGGTGGGAGGTGACTGGATCATGAGGGTGGTTTCTAATGGTTTAGCACCATCCCCCTCTTGGTACTGAATAGTGAGTTAGTTCTCAGGAGCTCCGGTTGTTTAAAACTGTGTAGCACCTCCCCCTTCTCTTTCTTCCTCCTGGCCATGTGAAGCTCCTCACTCTCACTTTGTGTTCCATCGTGAGTAAAAGCTCCCTGAGGCCTCCCCAGAAGCAGAAGCCGATGTGCTTCTTGTACAACCTGCAGAACCATGAACGAATTAAACCTCTTTTCTTTATAAATTACCCAGTCTCAGGCATTTCTTTATAGCAGTGCAAGAATGGACTAATACATCTTCCATGTGGCTGGAAGTTCTGGAGTTTAAGATTCAGAGGAAATGTGTATGAGTAGCTTGATTAAAGATAAAGATGACACAATTTGAAAATGTCAAGAAATGCAAAGCCAGGATGTTAGTGAACCCATGGACTGTGTCTCTTCAATATTAAGAAGCAACAGGGGAAGGTATAGGTAAAAGAGCTAGTTGGCCTAAACCTCAAGGAGGAATAGTTTACAAGTTGCGGTATCGGAAAGCTAGAAGAAAGATTACCATCTTTAGGACCTTTGGTTGATGAACTGTGTGAAAATGAGCTGTGTTCACCTGCAAAGGCCACAGGAAAAGCAATATCCTGAGGAGAGAGCCAGGATTACTTTTCTTTCTTTCTTTTTTTTTAATAGAGACAAGGTCACACTGTGTCATCCAGGCTGAAGTGCAGTGATGCAATCACAGCTCACTGTAGCTTCAAATTCCTGGACTCAAGCAATCCTCCTGCCTCAGCCTCCTAAGTATCTGGGACTACAGGTGTGTGCTACCATGCCTGGCTAATTATTTTTCTTTTTTTTTTTTTTTTTTTTTTTTTTTGTAGAGATGAGCTCTCACTACGTTGCCCAGACTGGTGTTGAACTCCTGGCCTCAAGCAATCCTCTCTCAACCTATGGGCCACCACACCTAAACTACTTTTCAACTAAAGTGAGGAGACTGAGTAATTTATGAAGAAGTGTGGCTGCAGAGAAGTTTGTTCAGCATGAAATAAGAGCTCTACAAAGGACTTATAAAAACGTGATGAGAGAGGATGGGAAGGGCTTGAGGAAGGGAGGGATAGGGAAAGATTTGTTAAAGGATACAAAAGTACCCTGATCTGATCACTAAACACTATATGTATCAAAACATCATACGTACCCCATCAATATCTACAATTATTTGTCAATTGAAACAAAAGAAAAAAATAGGGGCAAGGCATAGTGGCTCACACCTGTAATCTCAACACTTTGGGAGCCTGCATTTGGACCTGGGATCCAGGCAGACAGAGGTATGAGGCAAGATGGACTGAACTGCTTGAGGCTTCCAAGACACACTCTAGTCTTACCATTTTGAACACAGCCAACTAGATTTTACACAGGATTACAAATATGCTTGAGAGGTGATCAGGGTTAGCCTTCTTACTTACAAATGTATAACTTTGAAAAAGTTATTTTAAACATCTCTAAGCCTCAGAGTTTTTTGGTAAAACAAAGAGAAAAATAACTACTTCAAGAAGTACCATGATTAAACAGCATAATGTATGTATAGTGCTTAACACAATAACGCACAATACACTTTTCAGTTTAATTGTTTTTGTTGTTACTGATGTGGCCCTCCAAAGAAATTGTAACCAGGTACACAGGGCATAAGATTGGTTAGTTTTGTCCTGGCATGGTGGCTCACATCTGTAATCTCAGCACGTTGGGAGTCCAAGGCAGGCAGATTGCTTGAGCCCTGGAATAACAGCCTGGGCAACATGGCAAAATCCTGTCTCTATAAAAAATACAAAAATTAGCCGGGTGTGGTGGTGTGAGCCAATAGTCCCAGCTACTCGGGAGGCTGAGGTGGGAGGATCACCTGCGCCTGGAAAGGTTGAGGCTGCAGTGAGCTGTGATCGCACCACTGCATTCCAGCCTGGGTGACAGAGAGAGACCCTATCTCAAAAATAAAAAATAAAAAAAAGATTGGTTAGTTCCACTGATCCCACCTCATGGTAAAAGCAGTTGCACTTGGTAGGAGAAACAAAAGGACTCAGAATGCTCTGAGTTGGTCAGTTTCACTCAGATAAAGCTAAACATTAAGAGGTTTACCAAAGACTGCTTTGTCTCAGGTATTTTCTGTCTTATACATCTGTTAGATTGCAAGCTCCTGAAGCTTGACTTGTGTCCCCAAGAGTACATATAGGAATAAAATAAAACAACATTCTATACCTCAGGGATGGTAATTCTAGAGGGTACATTTAACACAGTATCTCTCCTTCTGTTAAATAACTTCATTGTTAATTTTCTAAAAGACATTTAGATTGAAGAGTCATTCAGATTTAAGATTAAACATCAACAAAAAGGTGAAACCCAAAAAGGTGAAACCCCCCCACCAAAAATCCATATACCTAGTAAATAGGAGAATATTGGTATATTTATTCATGCTATTCATTATTTTTCAGATGATAAAATATGCAAAAATTTTGTATAAATGAATAATCAGTTAGAAAAGACAGTACAATCAAATAACTCACTTAAATACATCACATGTTGCTGTAAAATTTGTGTTGTTTAACATTTGTTAAATATCTGTGTTTTTCTAGTTGCTGTTTAAAAAAACTTAAGCACAATAAGACTTTACATTCTAAGACGATATATTCCATATTATTAGCCACATGACTGCAGAACATACTGCATGTTAAATTCCAATATCCAAATATAGAATGTCTTAGGCAGTTAGTCTTACTGGTTTCTATCTTGATATATGCCTTCCTTAAATGACCTAGAAGAATGTGCATGTTCAGTGTTTTTACTGGTAGTGTATATTCATAACATGTAACTGCGAACATGTTTGCAGTTCAACCCCAGCTCTTCTGGCACGTGGCCTCGAGCAAGTCACTTAACCTCTCTAACATTCAGTTTCATGGTGAAATCTAGTATCAACCTCTTGGGATTATGGCAAGGATGAAATTAAACAGCATAAGAAAATAGCAGGTAATAGTTGCTCCAAAGTGGTATTTACTGTTATTAATTAGACTCAGTATTCCTCCCTCATAATAAAAAAAATGCGTCTTATTTTATAACTGTTCCTATAATTCAGCTTTATCAGTTGACTTGCTTTGTCATACTAATAAACCAGCCTCCGGGTCACTGCCCTCATCAGTGTAGATTTAGCCATGAGACTCATAAAGCTCTCTTCCATCTCAACCCTACTATCTTTGGAGAGTTCAAAAATGCCTGTGGAACCCAAAATATCAGACTTATAGTTCTTTGGGATTCTAAATTCTAATAATTTTCACCCCCCCATAAACAATCTCAAGACTGTACCCCGGATCTTGTTATAACTTATCCACCTCTGAAGTCTTCATATAGCCTCCTCTCAGGCTACCACTCCTTGCCTTTATCCCTCAACTTCTAGGCATTATCTTCATACATACCAATTGTCCTCTCAATCCCTAAGTTTTCTCTTAATCTATTAGCTCCATCCTACCTCACTTCCTTCCTTACACAGTAACTAATGGTAGATTAACTAAATTACTACCTACAAAAGCTCTTTAATTCTCTTAAAATGCAGTTCTTCAGTTCTTCAGCTACACCTACCAGGCAAAACTCAGGCTCTGGATTTGTAACCTGACTGCTTCTCTCCTCATATGCTCAACCATGGTCCTCTCCAAAGGACTGCATAGGACTTTCAGAAAACTGCAAAGCATTCAAACTGAGGCTGGGCATGGTGGCTTATACCTGTAATTCCAGCACTTTGGGAGGCCAAGGCAGAAAGACAGCTTGAAGCCAGAAGTTTGAGATCAGCCTGGCAAACATAGTAAGATCTCATCTCCACACAAACACACACACAAAAATTAGCTGGGCATAGTGGCGCATACCTGTAATACCAGCTGTTCAAGAGGCTGAGGTGGGAAGATCCCTTGAGTCCAGGAGTTTGGAGCTGCAGTAAGCTATTACTATGTCACTGGACTCCAGCCTGGGAGAAAGAGTGAGACTCCATCTCTTAAAAACAACAACAAAAAACTGATACCAAATACCATGTTTCAATTCCTCTTGGGACAACCAGATGTCTTATGGATGCTTTCCTCTGTCTCTGGTCAGCTCTTTCCTTCTCTTTTCCTCAGCAACTATTCCAAATGTTTTCTACTCTGCTTAAGGCCCCAACCAACTACACATGATTTTAATTACCATCTACATGCTAATGACTTTAACAATTTTATTTCTACTATTGATCTCTCCCTTTAGCATAGACACATATCCAAGTGCTTACTAAATGTTTCTACCTAGATGTACATGGCCAACTAAAACTCTCAGAACTCTCCCATCAATTTTGCTTCTCTTGGGGTAACCATCCTCCAAAATAACCCCTAGTGATCTCTATCTCCTAGTATCAGAATCTTTCTGTAGTTATTTCCTACACTGTACCATGGTTGGTCCATGTAACCAATAGAATACAGCAAAGATGATGACATGTCACCATTCTGTGATCATGTTATGAAAAGACTATGGCTTCCATCTTGGTCTCTCTCCCTTCCCACCCCTCAGATCACTTACTATAAGAAGACCCATATGGTAAATAAAGTCTCCTAACAGCCACATGAGTGAACTCAAAAGTAAAATTTCTAGCCCTAGTCAACTCTTTACAGAGACTATCGCCCTGGCCAGCAGCTTGAATGCAACCTCATGAGAAGCCGAGCCAGAACCACTCAGTTAAGTGACTCCTCGATTTCTGAATCTCAAAGTGTCAGATAATAAACACTTGCTGTTTTAAGCTGCCAAATTTGGGGATAATTTTTTACCCAGCAATAGGTAACTAACACGTGTCCTTCCTTTATTCTTATCTCAGTCAACGTTAATAGTTATCTAGTCCATCTAGTCACTCATTCACTCTCTCATTCATTCAGGAAACACCTGAGTACACAGTATATGACAGACCCGTTATCCTCAATCTTCTCCTACAACAAACTGTCACAAAGTGCTGCCAAATTTATCTCCAAAATGTTTCTCAAATCTCCTCCTCAGATCTGAGATTTCTCAAATCTCCTCCTCAGATTTGATATTTCTCAAATCTCCTATCTCTCTACCACTATTGTCCTAATCCATGGCCCTCATAATTTCTCACCAATACTATTACAATAGCTTCCCATTTAATTTCCTTGATTCCCATCTGTCTCTGCCAAGGGTGATCTATTTAAGACACAGAAAAGCAGTAGTACATGAGAGCTAAGGCAGCTAAGAATCAGGAGAAAGTTCTTTTCACGAATAAATGACCCCAGTATCTTTGCAGACAAGTAAGTTAAGCTTGATAGTTTCAGTAAAATAGCAGCTTATCCATCCCATGTGTACAGGGAAGGAAGAGAGGACACACGGTCCACAGCTGTGAACAATTCAGAGAACAACATCATATAGTGCAGCAATACTGAGTGATCAGACAAAATTGGCCTACATGACTTTGTAGAGAGCCATGTTGTGGTAACAATTTAACACCAAGTGTCTTAAAGCAACACAAATGTACTAACCTTAGAATTCCTGAGGTTAGAAGTCTGAAAATAGTTTTACTGGGCCAAAATCTGAAGGCTCTTGGGGAGAACTTGTTTCCCTGCCTTTTCCAGCTTCCAGAGGCCACCTGTGTTCCTTGGCTCCCTCTTTCACTTAGAAGGATCCTTGTGATTACAGTTGCCCATCCAAATAGTCAAGGATAATCTCCCCATCTCAAGATCCCTAACCTAACCACATCTGCTAATGCTAATGTCAGATAACATCTTCACAGGTTCTAGGTATTAGAACGTGAACATCTTTGAGGGTGCCATTGTGCTGCTACAGTCCAGTTCCATAATTTTCTCTAGCAATGCTCCACAATCCAGAAGTAAGAATAGAGAGAGCAAATAGCAACAGTGACTCAGGATTGAAGGTTAAAGATATACATGGTCCTAAATAGAGCAATATTATAGTAATGAGCTTGGCTCCAGATCAAATTGTTATTTATTCCAGGACAGTTATCTTTGCCAACTCCCTCATGATCACAGTAGTACTCTTAACTGGGTTCCTTTTTCTGATAATTACTAGGGGGTTGAAACAAGAAAGTGTGGACAGATATGAATTGAATTGCAGAAGTTTTCTGTATGTTGCATAAGGTTAATTCAGAAACATCCAACCAAATGTGCTATAGCCTCGAACTGTATAAGATTTCAAGTTATCTTTAGGTACATAGACAAAGACTTTTAACAAAACCAACTCCCACAGTGACAATTTATGCTAGAAAAGAAGTAACTGCAAACATGTTTTAGGCAAATGATGACTATGAAAGATTTTATTTAAACTAAAATAAATTATTTTTTAAAGGTTTTGCTCCATGCCCTGGAATCATTTACATATTTTTTTTCCTTTTTCTGATGTAGGGCAATGTGATAGATTCAAGTTTAGATCTTGAAGATTACAATTAACATACAAGGAAAGAATTTATCCCATGCTTATGATTGTAGGGTGGCCTGTAGGTGACTGGCAAGTCACACAAAAGATTAGTATTTCAGCCTCCATTATCCTTTCCACCCCTTTCATCTGAGGGTGTTTACTGAGATAATGAGAGTCAAAGTCACACTCATGTGAGGGTGTTTAGGGTGGTAATAAGAGTCATAGTCACTTAGGCCCCTAACAATAGCTGATAAACAGCAGGAGCTAAGAAAACAGCAGATGCAAAGTTGTGCTTCCATTTTTAGATACAGTTGATCTTCTTTACTCATGGACTCCCTATTTGTAAATTATCTTACTTGCTAAAATTTACATGTAACCCCAAAATCTAACACTCAAGGTGTGCTAAATAACCTTTGTTCAGGCATGAGTTATAGTGATATTTGGCTGTGGCTTCACTGTTAATGGATCAATATATATTTTAAAAGGTGTTTTAAACAGAAACACACATAAAACAAGGTTATACATTGATCAGTTGGTGAAAATGTTGTGACCAGAGGGTGTCAGGAACCTAGCTCTGTATTCTCCCTAGACCATGCAATACAACGACCACGAATAATGAGAACTGACTATATTTTATTTGCTGCTCAACCTTTACTTGACAGCTATGGTCCCCAACAATGTAGACTATATATCCATCAGAAAAGAAAATATAGCTGGGCACAGTGGCTTGCACCTATAATCCCAGCTACTCAGAAAACTGAGGTGGAAGGATCACTTGACCCCAGGAGTGTAAGGTTGCAGCAAGCTATGATGGCACCCCTGCACTCCAGCCTGGGCAACATAGCCAGACTCTATCTCTAAAAAATAAATAAATAAACAAACAAACAAAATAAAGACATATAAAAACCTACTTTATTGTTTTTTTGTGTGTGGGTTTTTTTTTTTTTTTTTTGAGATGGAGTTTCACTGTGCACCCAGGCTGGAGTGCAGTGGCGCAATCTCAGCTCACCACAACCTCCGCCTCCTGGGTTCAAGCAATTCTCCTGCCTCAGCCTCCCGAGTAGCTGGGATTACAGGCATGCACCACCACACTCGGCTAATTTTTGTATTTTTAGTAGAGACAGGGTTTCACCATGTTGGCCAGGCTGGTCTCGAACTCCTGACTTCAAGTGTGATCCACCCACCTCGGCCTCCCAAAGTGCTGGGATTACAGGTGTGAGCCACTGCGCCTGGCCTAAAAACCTACTTTATTGTTAAAGAGTATGTCAGCAGAGGCTTAACCAAGTGGGGAGGGGATAGTGGGTACAAACTGACTTCTCTCTCCTGCATCAATTATCTCCTTTAATCTTTATAATAATTCTATGAAGTACGCTTTGTCATTCTCATTTTACAGATGAGGACAAGACAGCCCTGAGTGGTTAAAATATGTATTAAAAGTCAAACACTAGGAAGTGGTGAAGGTGAACTTCAAATAAGGGAATGCCTAACTTACTGAACCACACCTCTGACCCATATGATGGGCACTGCTGCCTCACTGGGCCGTTTGGCTCTGGGAACAATGTGGCTCTCCGGCTGCCCATGAGAAACCTAAACCTAACACAAACACATTAACTCCGGGGTTTCCAAGACTGAAATTTCCTTTTACCCGCTCTACCCCCCAGCCAAATATATTAGAGATTTGTAACCAGAATATGTCAACTGAGTCATCAAAACCTTATTAGAGAATTTAGAAGGTATCAGTATAGTTTCTTTATCCAAGAAAAGCACGTACATAAGTTCTACCCAAAAAGAACGAAACCAAATAGAAAAATTTGCCCATGATTACACATCTAAAATTTGTCAGAATTAATGTACTGATAAATATGTTGTAATTAAAATATATGATTAATATATTCCAGTTACATTTTCTCAAGTCTGTTGGAAAATATATGTGAAGTATTAGGTTGGCACAAAAGCAACTGAGGTTCTTGCCATTGAAAATAAAGGCCAAAACCACAATTACTTTTGCGCCAACCTAAATATATAGTCTGAAATGGAATAATAAATAGTATTAAATAATTAATAGTACCAAGCACAATGTCTTTCATAAAGTAGGCATTCGACAAGTTTACCAAACACATAGACCTATATATTCTACTTCGGTCATATCTAAGTATATTTTATTACTCTGAGTAGACCATTAAACACACACACACACACACCTTCCTCCCAAAATTCACTAGGCGAAACATCTAAAGGTAGGCAAAGAATACTATTTAGTATTTTGGTCATAAAATGTTTTCTGAAAGAAATGAGAATCTTTAAAACTGTGCTTAAGGAGCTACAGGATGAAAAATGCAAATACCTGTGAACACATAGACACACATTCGCCAGAATAAACAAAATCTGCTCAACCACCAAGGCCAATGTCTAGAATTTGTAAATATCCAAATGCGACACTTCATTTTATAAGTAAAAAAGACATGACAAGTAAAAGGGCAAGTAACAATTTATTCAGAAATTAAATATCAGCATTCATGGATTTGGCCTAATAGGACTAGCATAAGTTTGGTCCAATTTCCTATATATGCACTGATGATCCTAACAATGATCTGGAGTTGATGAAGAACTCCAGTGTGATATATGAATGGTATGATGTAAATGTAAGTATACTATATGAGAAAGTGAAAACTTATTAACCCCTATGGAAACTTCTAGTTAACTAAAATAATTCATTCTCTAATAATTTCGCATAAATAGGAATTTACCCTGTTATTTTACTAAAATTATCAATTTTATTGATAATTTAAATATTAGTAATGCACTTTATAGATGAAATGTTTTACTTTCCAACTTCCTCAAACTTTGGTATAGAGATGGTACATGTAAATAAGGAAATACAGAATTAGCAATTAAAAAAATCAAAGTACTATCTCCTTTACAATTAAATGAGGTAGCACATGGTAGCCAAGTCTAAAATATCCAAATCCCACATATGATTGTTAATCACTAAGTCTTGTTTTTCCATGTACTATAGATCCTTTGATAGTTTCAGCTTCCATTTGCATCTCAAGATAATAGTGTAAGATACAGGATAAAAAATTCATATATTCAACTTCACTACTTTTTATACATTCTCGTTGAAGTTTTGGTAGAAAAGAAAGATGTAATCCTTGGTGAAATAAGGTTACAAATGACAGTTGTTCACTGATGTAATTTAGTTAAAAGTTAAGAATCAGAGATTTTCTAAAATTTTTGCTTGGTCTTAAAGGTTAAGCATACCAAAATACAACTGGCAATCTCCAACTTGCAAATATCATTGTTTCAAAAATTCATTTTTATATATTAATTGATTGGCAGCCAAAGAATATTTTCCAATATTTTGAAGGACCATTAACTCTCTAGGTCAATCTAAAAAGCCCCCTATGGTTTAGACCACACTTGACATATAAAATATAAACCTAATAGTTTGATATGATTCCCCCATATCAAACTACCATTTATAACATTGTTTTTCTTTATTTTTATTTTTTAAAAAGTAGAGATGGGATCTCAATGTTGCTGTTTTTATTTATCTATTTATCTAATCCTGAAATCAGTTAGTGATTGTCTCCCATAGGTGTCTATCTCCAAAAAAGGGACATGGGGCACCAATTCTGACATTTACTTAATGTCCTTTACATTCTGAAGTGGGCTGCAGGATAGAAACTTCCTGTGGTGAATAAAAAGAATGGCGTTACGAACTCCCGTCATTCACATCCTTTCCATTTCATGGCATAATATTCAAATTTATTTGAATGCTTATGAAGATTTTCTTTAAAAAAAAAAACTCACAAGATCAATTGAAAGGGCAAAATAACAGTATTTTATCAATACTCCCCTGGCCCCCATTACCTCCTATTTTCTTCCACAAACTAATTAGCTTTATAGACCCAGGTTATTCTTCATTCCCATCTCACATTTAAGAGATACAAAATTTTCAAAAATATCACAATTTTAAAAGTTAAAGTATAGGGAACTTATTAATTAAAATGAAGAAATTACTCCAGTCACATATTCCTGCTGAATCTTTATCTTTCATAACACTTTTTAAGACTGGTGATTAGAGGCTAGCAAAGGATTTTCATAAACTAAACAGATAGTGAATCAATAAAAACTGGAAAACTTGCAATTTACTGTGTTTAGGAATGGGGTCTAAGCAACAATCTAATCAAGAATGAAAGCAGTCAAAAGAAAGACATTTAAAATAACCACAGTAGTAATTTTCACACCAAGTATGGCAGTCTCTAAGTTAATGTTATTTTAAATACGTTTCAGTTTGGAATGACTAAACCTGTTAATAAAAACATGAAAATATTATGACATTTAGCTGACAGCACACACAATAAACCTCTGTTACAAAGTGACCAAGTCATAGTATACAAAATATACAACCTATAAACCCAGAAAGTTCCACAGTAAGTATACAGAGGAGACACAGGTTGGTTTCACCCTTATCAAAAATTTGATTCAGATGGTAAGTAAAACATGGTTCCAACATGGAAAAACAATAACTCTGTGGTCTCTTATTGAATAAGTAATATTAGAAAGAAGGTAGACACAGGGAAAAGAGGCCTGTTAGTGTGGCCACCCCCACCTAGACCAATCTAGAGAGCTGAATGTGAGTCCAGGTTGAGTAATCTTCAAATGGCACCGAGCCCTCACACCTTCTATACTTATAAAATGAGAGGGTCAGCCTGGTCACAGTCTAAAGTCTAAACCTTTAATCTTTTTTTTTTTTTTTTTTTTTTTGAGATAGAGTCTTGCTCTGTCACTCAGGCTGGAGTGCAGTGGCATGATCTCAACTGCAACCTCCGCCTCCTGGGTTCAAGCAATTCTTGTGCCTCAGCCTCCCAAGTAGCTGGGATTACAAGCACCCACCACCACACCAGCTAATTTTTTGTATTTTTTGTAAAGACGGGATTTCACCATGTTGGCCAGGCTGGTCTCGAACTCATGGCCTCAAGTGATCTGCCTGCCTTGGCCTCCCAAAGTGCTGGGACTGTAGGCATGAGCCAGGGCACCCAACCTAAACCTTTAACCTTTAACTCTAAATCTTTAACTCTAAAGGAAGTCCCTTTATAAGTTTGTGACCAGTTAATTAACAGGATACTATGCTTTTGTGTCCATTAGTAAAATGCAACAAATTAATCCAAACCACTCCACTATGACTAAAAGATTACATCCAAGCCACTGCATAACAGCATGGCAAAGCTACAATGTAACAAAGAAAAAGAGATGCTGCATTTGGCATGTACTAGTGCTAAGGTGAAACACAGCCAATTGCTATGTTTTATGAGGCCACTTACCATTCTTGTTCAAAGACTCAAGTCATAAGCAATATAGAATTATTATGAAAGAGTATCTAGATAATTCAAACAAACCAATTAGTGAAAAATCATTTATTTCATGTACAGAAAATAGTATTATTTGAAAAATTCACTGGTTTTGGTGTTATATAAACACATTCTGGTTTTGGATATAGTAAAAGCAGAGTTAGTATAAAATGACTGATCACAAGGCTTTTTTATATTTGCTAAGAAACTAGTATATTAATTACCTACATTCTGAAGTGTCAAATACTTATAATGTAGACAAAGAACATTATATTTGTATTTTTTACATCAAAAATACATTAAGAAATAAAATAGCTTTTTGAAGCAGTTTAAAGGGCAGTCAATAAACATTTACATATTTAGGAATAATTTAACTCAGCTGAAATGATCTATCATTAACCCAGAAGAGTAGCAGATACAATTCCTAAAAAGTACTGTCTTTCTCTGCTGTATAACAAAATTACTTGCTGTATCATTATGACCACCATCTTCTTCAGTAAATACTTATTAAGCTTTGGTACTATGTGCAAACCATTCATATTAAGGTTACATGTAATAAAAGATACAGTCCCTAGAGCTGAGAACCTTACAGTCAAATTATGAAAACAAAGTATATTTATAAACACAATAAACAGTATTTGCAAGTTTGCATTATTAAGTATCAAGTAAGAGGTACCAACAATCAATGCTAACGCACAGCAAGGAAAGCCCAACAAGGGTAGCTGGTCAGGACAGTTTTAGTAGAAGAGCCATAAGCTGGGTATTAAATAAGAGGACTTGATGCTAAGCACAGAAAACACAAAATAAACTACTTCCTGCTGTTTGGGAACTTACACTGTACCATATATTACTTATGTCTATACTAGTTAAGTGATAAACAGACTCTGTATCAAAAGTGCAATCAACTAAAGAGGGATTTGATAAGCAGCTAACATAACAAGGTATTAAAAGGGAAGTTTCTGCTGAGAACCAGAGACGATAGAAATGACATTCCAAAGCAGCTGCCAGAACATTCTCGAAAATGTCAAGAGGCAGTCTAAAGAAGAGTGCTGAGATGTGTTACTTTCCACCCCCACCACTAGTGAGGTGGTGCTTCAAGAAGATTACAGAGTAGGTTTCAGAGATTTCCCTGGGGAGAGCTGTGGTAACAGGGGCCTGTGTCTTCAAGGGGGAAGGGTGGAAGATGCTTGTCCCACACCTAAAGCCTAGGGAAAAAGGCTTTGAGGGAATGACTTGAAGAACTTGACATGTGCCTCAAGCACTTTGAAGAACATGCTAACCTGGTACCTGATTAATCCCCAGAAAATCTAAATGATGAGAAGCTGCATGAAGAGGCATGTGAGAACAAGAGAGAGGGCTGAACTGGGACCACTAGCAGAGTTTGTGCAAAGAATGAGTGCTCCCTATGTGGCCTCTACGGAAGAGTGAACAACCTGGGGTGGGATCACACAAGTCCATGCAAGAGGGGTATCTAGAGTTTGCACAGACCTCAGCAAAGTGGAGGTGAAGGTACTGCTAGCTCCAAGAGGCTGAGGAAGGAGTAAGCAACCAATCAGCGCATAAGGGAATTCTCACTGTCAAGGAATTGAGGTGAAAATCTAGAGCCACTGAGGTGGGAGGTAGAAGATTCACCAGTGAAAGAATAAGCTTTAAACATCTGCAACGGCTACAAAAGCACTGAAACTAGATCACCAGCTAGCTTCTTCACTAATCAAGTAAAAGTTTGCTGCTCCTCTTTACTCTTTTCACTTCTTCCTTGACCAACTTTGGAAGGGTGAGAAACCAGAACTGGCAAGACAAAGCAGGAAGAGTAGAAAAACCAGGTAAGAAGTAAAAAGGCAATAATACCCCCTTCCCTAGTTACTGGTTTCCCCCTTGCAAGAGACAGAGCAAGAGACCAGTTAAGGGAGAAGCTTCATCTTTATTTCAGGCTTGGTCTGCAGTTTTTACTTGTTGGTACTGGGCATTTTAATTTTAATAATCAAATTGAGACTTTTGTGACTTTGTTACTGAAGGATGATTTGTATTATCTAAAAGCAACCAGAAAAATTAAGTTAACCCATGAAAGAGGATGAACCAGTCTCAAAGAGTAAATTGAAAGAGACAAAAAGGGAAAAAAAGTAATTTGAAAGTGACAAAAAAAAAGCTTTTATAATTACATCCCACAAGGCCTGCTTTTCAACCTGATATCCTGAAAAGTCAACACAGTGGAGAGCACAGAAGTATACAAATGTGGTCTTATAAAACATAATTGAATCCATCCAGCTTCACTGCCTATCTTGAGATAGTTCAGCCATTAACATTTGCAGAAACTTGCCATAATGTAGCTCAAGAATCTAATATTAATTCTTAAAACTTGACACGAGTGACCCAAATATGCTAGACTTCCTTTAAAAGGCAGGGACTGTGTCTTGCTCCCTGCTGTATCTGTAACATTTTCCAAAGTCTCCCTTACATAAAAGGTGCTTAAAGAACTGGTGTTCTCCTTACCATGAGAAGGCAGCTATGTTAGGCTCTTAGGAAATAGGATATGAACAAATATGCATACAGCAAAGACTGCTTTTTAATTAAAAATATATTGAGCTTTGCTATGGGCAAAATTATAATCTTTATTACTTTTCATGCTTATCCTTTCATAGCCAGCCAAACCTTTGAAACATGCACAATGTATTTTCAGAACATTCTACCACAATGCAGAATAAATGTGAAACCTTTAAACTTTGATATTCGAAGGAGAAAAAAAACTACTATATATACATTTTTAAAGAGTTTAGCAGAAAACCCTCAAAATAAGTACACTATCACACAACGCTGTTAAATGCAGAATGGTTTAAAAGGAGAGAAGCATTTTTAAAATATCCATATTTTATTAATACTCATATTGGTATATGTCTTTTCAGTGAGTGACAGCCTGAATGAAGAGCCTACTATGTGCCGCTACAACTCTGTAAAATAGGTACTATCATCCCTATTTTAAAGATGAGGAAACTGAGGCTCAGTGTTTCATGGCTTGCTCAAGGTCACAATAGTAGTAAGTGGTGGAGTGAGAATTTTAACTCAGTGTGTCAGGTTCCCACACTGCTCTTAAGTGTGCTGCTGCTATAATGCTGAAGAGTTGAGTTCTACTGACTTCTTTCCAAAAGAAATAAAATCCAATTTTAATTGTTACATTTACAGTGTACAATTATGAAATATTAGCCATTGTCAAGTTCCAACCATAGTTGGAACACACCTCTGCTAATATGAATAAACTCTTCATGAGTAAAAATTCTATATGGCAGGCAGTAGTAAAGTTCATAACAGTCCCTCTCTCTCTATGTTTATATACACTCATGATGTCATGCTTATGGTATAGTATTTACAATAAGTGTATATGACTATAAAATTTGACAACTTTCAAAATGGTGTATAAAGAAAGCAAGTCTTATATGTTTGTAGAAACAGAAAGATGTTGGCTCCAACAGAGTCCTATTATCAAACTGTTTCATTCTCAGGCCTCATCTTAGTAAATAAAAGCAGGATAATCCCTTGATATTTCAGTATATGTCAATGGTTCTTAATTGGAATGATTCTGTTTCAACTACCCTGCCCGCTCCTGGGAAATTTTGGTAATACCTGGAGGCATGTTTATTGTCATGACTGGGGGTGGGGGGTGAGGGCAGCTACTAGTAGTACCCACTGAGTAGTGCCAGGGATGCTGCCAAACATCCTATAATGCACAGGATATCCCACAATCAACAAGGAATTATCCAGTCCAAAATGTCAATAGCGTGACACTGAGAAACCTAGTATGAAGGATTAAATATCTTAAGTACTTAGCAGAGGGGGTGGAGAGTGTTTAGAGACTGTAACTACAAACACAAAACCAGAGAGTCCACGTAACACTCAGTAAAGATCAGATGAGGCATTCAAGCGGTGTTGAGAGCACTGGCCTGAGAGCACCCTCTTGTCTCATTAGATATGAGGTGGGTAATGTCATGGGAGAAAACACCAGCTTCCGATCAATACACCTACGTTTACCAGTGGTGCTGACTTATTTTTTTCTGATAAAAGAACAGGAAACTGAAAAAGTGTTAAGTAGAAAGAAAAAAAATGTACTGAAGAGCAACAGCATTTGTTAAACAGAACACAGTCCCACTACCAGTTTACTGAGTTTTCCTATTACTTACAGTAGGGCTCTAGAGGGTTACATCTAAAATGAGAACAGTGGATGTTATGGACACATCATAAGAGAAAATCAGAATAAATATTCACGTGCTTCATTCAGGACATCAATATTCGGAAGATCAAACACTACTGCAGGAAGCCTGGCTTTTAGACTCCAAATGTGTAAATGTTCTGATGATACACTACTATCATTCC
Organism: Homo sapiens; assembly: GCF_000001405.40. NCBI lineage: Eukaryota > Metazoa > Chordata > Mammalia > Primates > Hominidae > Homo > Homo sapiens. The sequence goes on from NC_000006.12 coordinate 119,076,830, forward strand.
TTCTTAGATTTTCCTTTCTCTGAATGCAATACTCTGACAAAAAAGGAAACAAAACACCGCACACCTAACAATTTCTGAGACAGTGCTGAGATCAAACAAAAGACAAAAAAGAAAACTTCACAAGACGTTGGTTGAGTTTTACTGTTATGTACCTGTAACTTTTCTTTTGCTCTTCCATTTGTGCTCTCATTTTGTAGTCCTTTTATGTTATCTTTTCTATCCTCAATCACATTTCTTCACTAAAATCTTTTTATTCTCTTTTCAACCTTTTTTCACTCCTATTTCCTCCTTTCCTCTCTTCCGAATCTCATGTCTTACTTCACTCTCTCAAAAGTGCCAACCAGCAATGGGATTATGTGAGAACTTTACAGTTGAGTCAGACTCAGAGGCTATCTAGCAGTAACCCCCACGATGCCCATCTCTCTTCAGCATACCAACTCTCCTAACAAGCTGTTAGGAGACAGCTTAAACACATTAAGGTATATCATCTTTCTTAACTTTCAGACACCACAAATCACTTCTTACCGATAGGTATTGCTAGATTGCTGGTGAGTTCTAAGCAGAGCAATATAACAGATATGAATTGCTCTTGCTTCACAGATACCAATTCCTTCTCATTATCAACATTAAATTAGAAAAAAAGTTCACTAATTTAGGTACAGTCCTAAACTACACGTGGCCGAATGTGAAAGCTAACTGCTCTTTGAAAATTATCCTTCGACAGACAAACATTGAACTAGATGCAGGCACAGTGTGAGATTCATCTAATAAGCCTTGTTTGACATTTTGTCAGGATAAGGAATGACTCATTAAATGCCCCAAATTGGCACTCAAGGTATGTTTTACCCTCCTACATTCCTCTGAAAGTTGATTCTTCCCTTAACTGAGTAACCAGTAAGATACTGTTTAATTCCGAGTCATATTAGGTAAATACGGTACTGTACTTCAAATGGTACTGTAGTGTGATGCCTCGTGGAGCCCTGGCAGATGCATGGAAGCAACAGTAAAGTGATTTAGTATTGTGAAATAAAGGAACTAAATCCTAATTTGTTCTGTGCTGGTTTAGCCCCAAAGGGCAAGGAGGTGCAAGTCCCTTACGCGCACCGTGCCGCTGTGCTGTCTAGCTTAAATTCATGTTGCCAGCGTTCCACCAAAGTTTGCAGGGTTTTGGAGGTGTCTCCGGCTGTTGCTTCGGCGGAGGAGTAGAGTTCCCCTCGCTGCGGGCGCAGGGCGCACTGCCTCCCGGGGAGACAGGTGAGTCCGGCGCGGCCCGCACGGGGTCGCCACCTGCCCCGTCGCTGCCCCCCTTACCTTGGTGAGCTGGGCGATTTTCTTGCTCATTTTCAGGTGCATCTCCTGGCTGTAGTCCATGCTGTGCCCAGCCAGCTGTGCGGTGGCCGGCGAGGGCGCGAATTTGGCCGCCGAGCCGCCGTAATAGTGCTGCTGCCAGCTCATGCCCGGGGTCGCCATCTTCCCAACAGACCCCAGCCGGGGCACCTGTCCCCGCGGGTGGAGGCAGGCCCGTGGAGCAACGACGCCCGGGAGGCAAGAGTCGCGGCGGCCGCTTCCCGACCCGACACCCGGCGCCCCCCAGACTCGGCCGCAGGCGCCGTCCCACCCGCGACCCCCGGGTCACCCCTGGAAGGGACGGGGCGGTCCCGCCGGCCCGAAGCCGCGGGGACAACGGCGCGGGGCAGATGCCCGGGGTTGGGCGGCGGCGGCCGGGGGCCGGGCCAGCTCTTGGAGGCTCCTCGGCCCGCGCCTGGCGGAGGCGTCGAGGACAGCGCAGCTCCGCGGGTCCCGCTCGCAGCCCGCACCGAGGACTCGGCGAGGCTGCGGAGGGAGGAGGAGACGGGGCGGGCTGCGGCGGGGATAGGCGGGGACATGGAGGAGGACGCGGGAGCCGCCGTTACCAGGGCGCGCGCGGGGACGGCGACGTCATTTCCCCGCAGCCAAGCCCCGCCCAGCCCCGCGCAGCCGCCGCCGCCGCCGCCAGTCCCGCAGCCCCGCGGCCAGTGCGGGCGCCTCGCGAGGTCGATCCGGGATCGTGCCGCCAGTGCTTCCCCCGTGTGGCGGGGATCCAGCAGCCCAGCCCTGGCGGCGATCCCCGTGCAGCGAGCGTGAGGCCTGACGTAAAAAAAAAAAGTATCCCCAAGAAGACGGTGCTGTAATCACCTTCGGTTAGCAGAACGGGTGTCGATTTACAGACCCTTTCCACATGCGTCCTCGTGTGTGCAGGGCCCCAAGAAGTGGCTCTTCCCCAAGAAGAGAGGCAAGCCCAATCCAGAGACATGAGTAGTGAAGTAGCGAGGATTCCCTGCCCTGACCTTCCTTCCAATGGCACACAAGTGACCGTGACACTGTCTTAGCCGCCCCCTCCCACCCCGAGTGCCCGGCCACTGCCCCCAGTTCAGTGCTGAGTGTATGTGTGGAGGGAACGCTCCTTTTCAGTCAGCTGGTGGAGCACCGCATAGCTACTTTCCCGCGGTGGAGCCCAAGACAAATAGATATGAAACTACTTGGCTGGAAATAAGTAAGAATAGGATCGGAGTGAAAGTAATGGTAAAAAAAACAGAAGATGGAACAAGACATCAGTGCTTTAAGGATTTGGAGCTGGGCCAAAATGTGTCATAACTTGTGCATTTTCGCCTTCATAAATGTGTTATTCCCTACTGATTTTCTCTTAACATCTCTACCCCTGCAAGTCAAATGATTTTTTAAAAAAGTTTTTGTATCCTGCATTGAAGCATGTGAGTCATTTTAGGGCATGGATAATACTTTAAAAACGTAGAATTGTACCTGTTTTTTTAAAAATCGTATCTCCACGCAGTTTTGCAGAACCAAATTCCCCAACTCCATGTGATTTCTTTTTAGCATGCAAGTAGCCAAAATATAAATCTGAGAATATTAACAAACTAGAGAGCCGAATTTAACAAAGATTGTCTGGATGTGACAACATCTAAACAAGGTGAAGGTTTAATCGGACCCTGAAATACTTTAAGATCTGTTGGAATTCCTGAAAGGAAACTTGAAATTGGCTCTTTTCCCAGATGCTAGGTACTCAGTCCCCCTTAAATAGACCTTCCAGGAAAAATGTTGTCTAGTTCCGAGGTTCTGAATGGAGCATATGGCCAGAAACAAATATCCTACAAATGTTGCTCCTTAAGCACTAATGATCAAATAAAATTAAAGAGAATTAGAAACTAGTGCTATTTCATCAAATTCTAGGCATGGAAGATTCACAGTCATTTTAGAACTCATGTTCTTTACGTTCTAAGCAGAAATGTATGCTCAAAAGACTCTCTGTTTCACTAAATTTGTATAGCCAAGTCTTGCTAGGACAAAGATATTTTTGTTTTTGTCACTATGATAAAGTGGAAAGAGAATAAGACTGGAAATAAGGAAATGAATGTGTAGCATTAGTTGAGTCACCCAACCTGTTCACTCCTCAAGTGCTTCCACTGAAAAGAGATGGTGTTACCAGCTGCTTCCAGCTCGGACTTGGTAATGAGAAGTTAGGACCCTGGTCCACTGGTAATTCACTCTGAACTCCATCACATGAGTTTCCATCATCACTATGTAGCATAGCCCAAAAGGACCCTTTTCTTAAATACTATGCTCAAAAGACATCCACTGTCACTTCATGAATTTAATATTTTTCCCCACGACAATGGGATAAAACAAGACACAATTAAAGTTATATTTAATTATAAATAATGAATAGAAACATAATATACAGGTCGAGTATCCTTTATCCAAAATGCTTGGGACCCAAACTGTTCTGGGTTTCAGACTTTTTAGGATTTTGGAATATTTGCATTATACTTACTGGTTGAGCTTCCCAAATCCAAAAATCTGAAATCCAAAATGTTCCAATGAGCAGTTCCTCTGAGTGTTGTGTTGGCACTCAACATTTCTGGTTTTGGAGCATTTTAGATTTTGAGTTTTCAGATTTGGGATGCTCGGTTGGTAAGACACCCTGTATTAGTCTGTTCTCACATTGCTATAAAAAAAAACCTGAGTCTTCATAAAGAAAAGAGGTTGAATTGGCTCACAGTTCTGAAGGCCGTACAGGAATCATAGAAGCTTCTGCTTCTGGAGAGGCCTCGGGAAACTTACAATCATGGCAGAAGGTGAAGGGGAGGCAGGCAAAATTTACATGGCTGGAGCAGGAGGGGGAAAGAGAGCGGGGAGGTGCTACACGCTTTTAAACAACCAGATCTCATGGTAACTCACTGTCATGAGAACACCACCAAGTGAATGGTGCTAACCCATTCATGAGAACTTTGCCCCTCAGAAAACTTACAACATGGAGGAAGGTGAAGGAGAAGCAAGACACATCCTACATGGTATCAGGTGAGAAAGAGAGAAAGAGAGACAGGAACTACCAAACACTTATAAAACTATCAGATCTTGTGACAGCTCACTCACCATGACAAGAACAGCATGGGGGAAGCCACCCCCATGATCCAATTGAAACAGGAAAAGTTCCCTTGTCCCCTTCGCAGGGCGTGCAATGGGAGTGTGACTCACTTCTTTAGTGCCCCGCTGCTCAAACCTCTAGGGGAGCACAGAGATGGGCAAGCTGTGAGGCTCAGACCCCAAAGCAGTGTCTAGGGGTGAATGTTTATAGCCGAAGCCACAGTGGGCATGTGTTACAGGGTGCTCTTTTAGCTTAGCTGTCTGTAGGTGGCTTGTGTTAGCCAGTTCAATTAGACCCCTGCCTTATCACAAGGACAGAGGGCTTTCTATATCCTGGGGTTCTTGCCTTGGTGTACTGGAAGAATTGGATCACACGTGGGCTTGGAGAATGAGTGCAAGGTTTTATTGAGGGGAAGTAGATCTCAGCAGATGGGGTAGCCAGAAGGGAGATGGTTTTCCCCTGGAGTTGGGCCACTCGACAGCCCAGGCTCTTCTCCAACTGCCCCAGTCAAACTCCTTGTTGTTCTGCCAGTCGACGGCCTGCTGGCATGCTGGTGCCTATCAGTGCATTGCTCTCAACGTCCAGCTGCCTGTGTGACCCTCCACTGATGTGCTCCTCTTGGCATCCAGCCACCTGTGTGTTACTCTGCTGATGTGCTCCTCTCAACATCCAGCTGCCTGTGTGTTCCTCCACTGATGTGCTCCTCTTGACATCCGGCCACCTGTGTCTGCCTGCTAGGGTCCCCAGGTTTTTATAGGCACAGGATGGTGGGGGTGGCAGGCCAGGGTAGTCTTGGGAAATGCAACATTTGGGCAGGAAAACAAAAATGCCTGTGCTCACCTAGGTCCATGGGCATAGGCCTGGGGGTGTAGCCCTAGCCAAGGACCACACCCTTCCCCCGTTCTGTATTATTTGAAGGGACTATGCCCTTCCCTTCCCAGCACTTTCCTTCTGTATCACAGTCACCTCCCAGCAGGTCCCTCCCCTAACACATGGGGATTTCAATTCAATATGAGATTTGAGTGGAGACACAGAGCCAAATCATATCATTCCACCCCTGTTCCCTCCCAAATCTCATATCCTTCTAACATTTCAAAACACAGTCATGCCTTCCCAACAGTCTCCCAAAGTCATAACTCATTCCAGCATTAACCCAAAAGTCCAAGCCCAAAGTCTCATCTGAGACAAGGGAAGTCCCTTCCACCTATGAGCCTATAAAATCAAAAGCAAGTTAGTTACTTCCAAGATACAATGGGGGTTCAGGCATTGGGTAAATGTTCCCATTCCAACTGGGAGAAATTGGCCAAAACAAAGGGGCCACAGGCCCCATGCAAGTGTGAAAACTGACAAGGCACTCATTAAATCTTAGGACTCCAAAATAATCTCTTTTGACTCCATGTCTCACATCCAGGACATGCTGATGCAAGAAGTGGGCTCCCAAGGCCTTGGGCAGCTCTGCTTCTGTGGCTCTGCAGGATGCAGCCCCCATGGCTGCTTTCATGGGCCAGTGTTGAGCGCCTGTGGCTTTTCCAGAACATGGTGCAGGCTGTCAGTAGACCTAATATTATGGGATCTGTAGGATGGTGGCCCTCTTCTCACAGCACCACTAGGCAGTACCCCAGTGGGGACTCTGTGTAGGGGCTTTGACCCCACATTTCCCTTCTGCACTGACCTAGCAGAGGTTCTCCATGAGGACTCAACCCCTGCAGCAAATTTCTGCCTGCACATCCAGATGTTTCTATACATCCTCTGAAATCTAGGCAGAGGTTCTCAAACGTCAATTCTTAACTTCTGTGCACCTGCAGGCCCAACACCATGTGTAAGCCACCAAGGTTTGGGGATTACACCCTCTGAAGCAACAGCCTGAGCTGTACGTTGGTCCCTTTTAGCCACGGCTGGGATAAAAGGCACCAAGTCCCAAGACCGTACAAAGTGGCAAGGCCTTGGGCCCAGCCCACGAAACCATTTTTTCCTCCTAGGCCTCTGGGCCTGTGATGGGAGGGGCCACCAGGAAGATCTCTGAAATGCTCTGTAGATATTTTCCCCATTGTCTTGGCAACTGATATTCCTCTTCTTGTTACTTATGCAAGTTTCTGCAACTGGCCTGAATTTCTCCCCAGAAAGTAAGTTTTTCTTTTCTACCACAGGATCAGGCTGCAAATTTTCTAAACTTTTATGCTCTGCTTCCCTTTTAAATAGAAGTTCCAGTTTCAGATAATCTTTTTGTGAATGCATATGACTGTATGCTTTCAGAAAAAGCCAGGTCACCTCTTGAATGCTTTGCTGCTTGGAAATTTCTTCTGCCAGATACCCTAAATCATCTAAGTTCAAAGTTCCACAGATCTCTAGGGCAGGGGCAAAATGCTGCCAGTTTCTTTGCTAAACCATAGCAAGAGCGACCTTTACTCCAGTTCCCAATAAGTTCCTCATCTTCATCTGAAACCACCTCAGCCTGGACTTCATTGTCTATATCACTATCAGCATTTTGGTCAAATTCATTCAACAAGTCTCTAGGAAGTTCCAAACTTTCCCACATCTTCTTATCTTCCTCTGAGCCCTCCAAACTGTTCCAGTTCTGCCTGTTACCCAGTTCCAAAGTTGCTTCCACATTTTTAGGTATCTTTACAGCAATACCCCACTATCCCAGTACCAATTTTTTGTATTAGTCTGTTTTCACACTGCTATAAAGAATACCTGAGACTGGGTATTTATAAAGGAAAGAGGTTTAATTGACTCACAGTTCCACATTCTGGGGAGACCTCAGGAAACTTACAATCATGGTGGAAGGCAAAGGGGAAGCAAGGCACATCTTACATTGTGGCAGGAGAGAGAGAGAGAGAAAGAGAGAGAGAAAGCAAAGGGGGAGGTCCCACTTTAAACCATCAGATCTCATGAGAACTCACTCGCTATCATGAGAATAGCATGGGAGAAATTGTCCCCATGATTCAATCACCTCCCAGCAGGTCTCTCCCTCAACACATAGGGATTACAATTCAAGATGAGATTTGAGTGGGGACCCAGAGCCAAACCATATCAGGGTTATAGGCACTGGGTAAACATTGTCATTCCAAAAGGGAGACATTGGCCAAAAGAAACCCAGTTTCTTTTGAGTTTGAAACCCAGCAAGGCAGTCATTAAATCTTAAAGCTCCCAAATAATCTCTTTTGACTCCATGTCTTACATCCAGGGCACACTGATGCAAGAGGTGGGCTCCCAAGGCCTTGGGCAGTTCCACCCCTGTGGCCTTCCAGGGTTCAGGCCCCACAGTTGCTCTCATGGGCTGGCATCAAGTGCCTGTGGCATTTCCAGGCACAGGGTGCAAGCTGCCAGTGGCTCTAACATTCTAAGGGCTGGAGGATGGCAGCCCTCTTCTCACAGCTCCACTAGGCAATGTCCCAGTGAGGACTCTGTGTGGGGTTTCCAACCCCGAATTTCTCCTTGGCACTGCCCTAGTAGAGGTTCTCCATGAGGGCTCTGCCTCTGCAGCAGGCTTCTGCTTACACATACAGGTTTTTCCATACACCCTCTGAAATCTAGGCAGTGGCTCCCAAACCTCAACTCTTGCACTCTGCACATCCGCAGGCTTCATACCACCAAGGTTTATGGCTTGCACCCTCTGAAGCAACAGCCCAAGCTGTGTCTGGAGCCCTTTGAGCCAAAACTGGAGACAGAGCAGGGAGCAGGGTCCTGAGGCTGCACAGGGCAGCAGGGTCCTGGGTGTGGCTCATGAAACCATTTTTCCCTCCTGGGGCTCCAGGCCTGTGATGGGAGAGGTTACCTTCAATGGCTTGGAGGCCTTCTGCCCATTGTCTTGGCTATCAGCATTTGCTTTTCTTTTCATTATGCACATTTCTGTGGCCTGCTTGAATTCCTTTGCTGAAAATAGGCTTTTCCTTTCTACCACATGACCAGGCTGCAAATTTTCCAAAGTTTTATGCTCTGTTTCCCTTTTAAATGTAAGTTCCAGTTTCAGATAATTTTTTTTCTCACACATATGAGCATACATTGAGAAGCAGCCAGGGCACATCTTGAACGCTTTGCTGTTTAGAAATTTCTTCTGCGAGATACCCTAAATCATCACTCTCAAGTTCAAAGTTCCACAGATCCCTAGGGCAGGGGCACAATCCAACCAAATTATTTGCTAAGGCATAACAAAAGTGACATTTGCTCCAGTTTCCAATAATTCCTCATCGCCTTCTGAGACCTTCTCAGCCTGGACTTCATTGTCCATATCACTAACAACATTTTGGTCACAAAAATTTAACCAGTTTCTAGGAAGTTCCAAACTTTCCTTCATTTTCCTGTCTTCTTCTGAGCACTTCACACTCTTCCAATCTCTGACAGTTACCTAGTTCCAAAGTCACTTCCACATTTTCAGGTATATTTACAGCAACGCCCCACTCTTTGGTACCAATTTTCTGCATTAGTCTATTCTTACTATGCAGAAATATTTGAGACTGGGTAATTTATAAAGAAAAAAGGTTTAATCGGCTCACAGTTCTGCAGGATGCAGAGGACGCATAGAAGCTTTTGCTTCTAGGGAGGCCTCAGGAAACTTGCAATCATGGAGGAGGGTGAAGGGGAAGCAAACACGTCTTACATGGCCAGAGCAGGAGAAAGAGAGAGTGGGGGGAGGTGCTACACACTTTTAAACAGCCAGATCTCATAATAAGTCACCCATTCATTATCATGAGAACAGCACCAAGGGGATGGTGCTAACCCATTCATGAGAACTTTGCCCTCATGATCCAATCACCTCCTACCAGGCTGCACCTCCAACAGGACATTACAATTCCACATGAGATTTGGTAGAGACACAGATCCAAACCATATCACACCCATAATCCCATCACCCAAACCTCACTTTTAAAAAAATCTAGCAAAGTTAGCATGTGAAAGAGAGAAAATGAGAGAAACTAGTTAGGCAAGAAATCTATACTTAGTGCCTGTTTCTTTCATGAGATTGTTTATGCAGAAATATTTGTTGACTGCCTATTGTGTTCCAGGTACTGAGGCTGCAGTGATGACTAAAAAGTAGTCTCTTCAGGGCAGTAGTCTCTATCCTGAGGAAGTTAAAAGTCTAGTGAAGACAGACAAATGAAGAATTAGATGCTACAAAGTGGGTGAGTGTGAAAGGAACTCCAAAAGAGTCGCTTAACCTAGACTTGGGGTGTCAGAGAAAGCTTCACACATACAAACATAGTGCTTGAATGGACCCTGAAGGCTGAGTTTTTCAGGTAAAATGGGTAGGAAGGTAGATTACAAGCTCTAAGGACGGTAAGGGCAAAGCCATGGAGATTAGATGAGAGCATGACCTATTTAGGGAAAAGCAAGTAGTGTAATATGGCTAGAGCACAGTTTGAGAGGGATGTCAGAATGTGAGGTGGAACAGGTATCAAGATTACTTATGGAAGGGGACTTACATGCCTTGACAAGAGGATTGGGTCTCTGTCCCGAAGACAATCACGAGCCATTGGAGGGCTTTAAGCAGGAACATGAAATAATCGTATTTTCATTTTAGTTACATCATTTTTTGACTGTGGAAAATCGATTATGGGACAACTCTATAAACAAGGAGACTAGTTAGCAGGCTATTGCACTTATTCTGGTGAGAGATGATGAACCACTGACCTAAAATAAGGCAGTGAGAGTAGGAACAAAAAAGGATGGATGTGAAATATCCATAAGGTAAAACAGACAGGACATTGAGGCTGAGGAACAGAGAGCTGTCAAGTTTGCCTGATTTTTTCCAAGGAGGGGAGGCTCCTAGCACACGATACATGGTTATAAAATTAAGTAAAATTTACAAAAATAACATTCTTTGTATTTTTTAGGCCTTCCCAAATTGTGTATGTTTCAGGCCCCAGAAAACCTAGATTAACCCCAGGCAGTAGCAGTTAAGGTTAAGAATTAAAATTAGGATTGAGATGTGAGCTCAACAGTTAATGGACCAAAAGCATAGGCAGCAAAAGAAAAAACAGATAATTTGAACTTCATCAAGATAAAAACTTTTATGCGTCAAAAGATACTAACAAGAGAGTGAAAAGGTAGCCCATGAAATATGAGAAAACATTTGCAGACCATGCTTCTGATAAAGGATTAATATCCAGAGCATATAAAGAATTTCTAAAACTCAACACAAAAAGCAAATAACCCAATTAAAATATGGACAAAGGACTTGAATTGTTATTTTTCTAAAGAAGATATACAGATGGCTAATAAACACATAAAAAGATGGTCAAAACATCACTAATTATAAATGCAAATCAAAGCCACAATGAGATACCACTTCACACCCATTAGAATGGCTGCTATCAAAAAAACAAAACAAACCCAAACAGAAAAATAACAAGTGGTACATGGAGAAATTGGGATCCCTGTGGTTGAAATTGCTGGTTGAAATGTGAAATGGTACAGCCACTGTGGAAAACAGTATGCTGGTTCCTCAGAAAATTGACAGAATTACTGTATGATTCAGAAATTTCACCTCTAAGTATATACCCAAAATAATTGAAAGCAAAGACTTGAAAAGATAATTTGTACACCGATTGTCACAGCAGCATTATTCACAGAAGCCAAAAGATGGAAGCAGCCCAAATGTGTATTGATGGATAAATATGGATATACAGAATGTGGTATATACAACAGAATGTTATTCAATCTTAAAAAGAATGACACATGGTCCATAAATGAAACTTAAAGATATTACATTAAGTGAAATAAGCCAGTTACAAAAGGACAAATACCATATGATGTTTTACTTATATGAAGTAGCTAGAACACTCAAATTCATAGAGACAGAAAGTAGAATGGTGGTTTCCAGGGGCTAGAAGGAGAAGGGAATGGAGAATTATTGTTTAATGGGTATAGGGTTTCAACTGGGGAAGATGAAAAAGGTCCAGAAATGAATGGTGGTGATGGTTGTACAACAGTGTGCATCTACTTAATGCACTAAATATACACTTAAAAATGGTTAAAATGCTAAATTTTATGTTATTTATATTTTGCCACAATTAAGAAAAGATTCATCGATGAAAAGTACTCTTGCTACTTATGGGAAGTGCATTCCAGTGAACAGACAATCAGAGAATGCTGTTCTATCAATCAATAAACATTTATTCACTGCTTTCCTCATGGAGATGAAATAGACATTTCCTATCCAAGGTCATGGTTAGCTAAAGAGGACGTCTAAATATAAGATTTGAAAGAAAGAGGTAGAGGAAATGTTCTTCTTTCTTCTTTTTTCTATTCTTTCTTCCCATTTTGGCCAGAAGAATCATAGAGACCAAGTTAGGCAGTCAATGGAAAATGATACTAAATATCTACAAAAGCACCTGTACTAAAGATCTACAAAAACTTCTTCGGGGTTGGCCAGGTGATCTCAAAGGTACTTTTCAGGTCTTTTATTTGCATCTCAATGTTATGCCTCTTAGGAACATTCAGTATTTGAATGGGACTCAATCTAAGGCCATAGAGCAAGGTATAAGGGACTCAGAATCACTATAGACTGTGTACAAGCAACTGAACTCCAATGGAATCAATAATCATACTAGCTTTTTGTAAGACTTCACACAAATAAGGAAAACATTTTGAGTTAAACATTTTCTAAATGACAACTCTTCTCTTGGTGCAAGTTTCCATGTATAATGAAAAGAGAATCAGAATCTTGGTTGGTATTCTGGGTCTCATGTTGCCACTAAGCCACCTCTTTTCTTCATTTGTAAAATGAGGAGATTGGACTAAATGATCTTGAGTATTTCTTATATCTCTCTCATGTTACATGTTGAATTATTTAATATTTTCTATTATTTATTTATTTTAGACAGGATCTTTCTCTGTCACCCAGGCAGGAACTCTTGGGCTCAAGCAATCTTCCCACCCTCGGCCTCCCAAATAGCTAACACCTATTTTTTTTTTTTAATTATCTCTCTCTCTTTATTTATTTATTTATTTATTTTTTTATTTTTTTGAGACAGAGTCTCACTCTGTCACCGAGGCTGGAGTGCAGTGGCTTGATCTTGGCTCACTGCAACCTCCACCTCCCAGGTTCAAGCGATTCTCCTGTCATAGCCTCCCAAGTAGCTGGGATTACAGGCATCTGCCACCACACCTGGCTATTTTTTTTTGTATTTTCGTAGAGACGGGTTTCAACTGGTCTCAAACTCCTGACGTCAAATGATCTGCCTGACTTGGCCTCCCAAAATGCTGGGAATATATACTTTTTAATTCTTGTAGAGATGGGATCTTGCTACATTGCCCAGGCTGGTCCTGAACTCCTGGTCTCGAGTAATCCTCTTGCCTCAACCTCCCAAAGCACTGGGATTACAGGTGTGAGCCACCATGCCCAGCCATTATTTCATATTTTTAGAACAGAATTTTGTTGTATTTGTATGGATATACCACATATCAATCATGCTCCAACTCTCACTTCCACCTCCTAACACACCCAAAGCATGGTACACAAAATAAGCCTAAATAAGGTGGTTCTTGTTTCTTTAGATAAGTGGTTAATCTAGATGGCTGCATATTGGTAAACATCGTTATAAAAGAGTTTGACTATGATTTGTTGGTTTCTTGCTATGTGCTTCTTTCTCTTTTTTCCTTATTTTTGTTTCTTCCCCATGAATTCAGAAAACTCATCTCTATCATCAACTGATAATGATATTGAAAACCTTCTAAAATGTTTGATACATAATACATGCACAATAAATGTTTATTTCCAATTTTTAGTTAACTTCATTTTCTCAACCAACACTATCATTAGCTTTTTCTCTAACAACACAGCCAACCCTTTCTATGAATATCACAATCAACCAGAAGCCAACTGGTTTATCCATCTACTTGGCTTCCTTTGCAAGCAGGGACTGAATAAGTTTACTTGATAGGTGATCTTGAAAAGCAAGAATATGAGAGAGATAAGGAAAAGCCATTGAAGGACACATTGTTGAGTTGGTTACCACTTTGGTCAATTGGGACTCAATCTCTGAAGAATCTTGTAAAATGAATCTCAGAATTTTCTCTAGCAAAGACGAAAGGCTAACACATTTATCTGCTGTCTCCTTTCACTCACTGATCGAGGATGGCTGCCAGGGGAATTAACATCTCTGTGTGTCTGGTTATTCAATGTGAGCTTAGTGAACTCCTGTGGCTTTGGAGAGAGTGGGAGTCAGGAAGGCAGAGAGATCCAGCAGGTGCTTGAGGGAAAACTGTGGCATGCATAGGAACTGTCCAACACCTTTGCAGCTGAAATCAAAAGAAGTGGCACAAGACATCAAAAGTATCTCCTACAATCTATCCCTTACCTTTCAGATCCATTTTTGCTCTATATGAAATTCATTCTGTCACCAACTCTTTAAGGTCATAGCTAGCTTCTGATTGTTAAAAGGACTCCAGATGAGACTTAGTGTAGCAAGCAAATGTCCCTTGCTGCAACTGCTCAAAGGGCCATAACTGATATTCATCAGGTCCCACTCAGATTTCCACCCATTCCAGATTTTTTTTACCCTTGGTGAGCACTTCAGCTAATCTAAGTTATTTGGTTGGTGGGGAGATCCAAATGTCTTCATCCTTGAGGAATCCAAGCTCTTGGTTGGCTTACCCATGTCAGGCTGAGGCTGCTATAATTTTTCATTCAGTGCTTTTGCCAGGTATGAAAGAGCTAGATGAATCCCAGTTAATCTTTCGAGATCTAGAAATACTCCTTACTGCCTTCATTATTTAGCAATAATCCTAGATGCTTATGATAATCAGGATCAATTACCTTGCCAGTATGAAAAATGCCTTTCTTTGTCTACTAGTCCTTTGGCATAAAGAGCCAAAGTGAGCAGGGGGTAGTCATAGCTACAGGTCCTGTGAGATTCTTGCTGTGTATTAATGCTGTGTACTAATGCTACGTATTGATACAAGTCATTTTTCTCCCTCCTACCACCAGTAAAAATTTATAAAAATAATTCTTTGCATTTTTTAAGAATGTTAGCAGAGCCTAAGGATGTGAACATAGGAAGCACAAATTCTGCAAGTGGGTCGCTGGGTATGACGGTGAGAGAAGCCAATTCAACTTCTCCACCTTGGTTTCTAGACTTATGTATCCTAGCTATTAGATACACGGCATTGGCTCAATGCGTATATCACATCCTATAGGCCAAATCCTAATCATGCAGAGTATTGTCTCCAAACTAGCCGATCTCTAAATTGTTCATTCCAACATTTTATCAGTTCAGCAACTTGTGGATACTGTGGTATATGGTAGGAACAGTGGATCCCATAGTCTTGTGCCCATGTTGTCTTGTTGTGCCTCCTTCACTATGGGTCCTTTAGTGCAAACTGATGTTATACAGGTAACAACGTTAGTAAATGAAGCATTCTGTAAGCTGTCAGATAATAATCCTAGAAGCTACACTATGAGCAAGAAGGACAAACTCATATTCAGAACAGGAAACAATTCCAGTAAGGATGAATCACTGTCCTCTCTGGAGGGAGGATGAGGGATCGGATGCAATCAATTTGCCCCTAAGTTCTTGGCTAGTGTCCTTGAAGGTTGGTACTCTGCTGAATGTGTGTTATTGGTTTTTGTTGCTGACAAGTCAGAACTTTGTAGATACAGTAGCTATGCCAGCTTGGTGAGAATGAGCCAATACAGTTGGGGCCTTGCATGGCCTCCATACCTGCTGACAAAGCTACTATGTTGATGGGTCCATTGCACTAGCATTGGAGTGCCAAGAATAGAGGCTGGCTGACATCTACCCAAGGGGTAGCCTCTTTTCCTCATTGCTAAGAGCCTCTCAGTGATGGATGTTCTCCAGAGAACATTAGTGTGAGGCATGAAGATGTGCATGTTCATTTCTACTCTTATTCGTATATCCACATGACTTTTATTTGCCTGCTTATTTACTTATTTACTTGGGGGACAGGATCTCACTTTGTCACCCAGGCTGGAGTGCAGTGGCATAACCATGGCTTACTGAAGCCTCGACCTTCCAGGCTAAAGCAATCCTCACCCCTCAGCCTTCCAAGTTGCTGGGACTACAGGTACACACCACCACACCTGGCTAATTTCTTATTGTTTCTAGAGACAGGGTCTTGCCATGTTGCCCAGCCTGGTTTTGAACTCTTGGGCTCAAGCAATCCTCCCACCTTGGCTTCACAACATGTTGGGATTACAGGCATGAGCCACTGTGCCCAGCCAATTATTATTTTTAATTGACATATAATTGTACACATTGATGGAGTACAGTATAATATTTCAATATGTATATACAATGTGTAAGGATCAAATCAGGGTAATTACCATATTATCCATCACCTTTATCAATGGGGCCATGATAGCATTTGGGTCCCCTGTTATTAGTGTCACCTCAGATCCTGTATCTAACAGCCCTTGAAAGGTCTGAATAAATAGCCATAGGTCTCTTTGGGGGAAGAATTGGAGAGTTAATATATATATATGTTTATGATGTGATTGCAGGGCCTTTCCTTGAGCAGATCATGCTTCCCCTTCAATTATTGGGTTCTGGGTCTGATAACTCACTCTGGTCTAAAAACTCAACAGAGTATTATACTTTTCTACTGTGGCACTGATCCTAGCCTACTGCTCACCTGTTTTTACTTTTTTTCTGGTTATGAAAGTCAAGTAATATTTTTGTAGGCTGCCTATCCATCTCACTCCTGGGAACATGAAGATCTATTATCACAAATCTCTAGGGGCCTGGCAAAACCCTGGTTACCCCTATAGTCTTGCATATTACATGAATTATGTCCATCTGGCCTTCGATGTTTAAGTGCAGCTACCTGGACTCTCAAATAATTGAATTCTTTTTATTCCCATTGACCCTAGAAGGCTCAATTCTGTGGCAGAATTTTATTCTGTGAACCCCAATTCATAGAGGCCACTGCCACTAACCTTTCATAAAATGCTGGTATGTTCCTTCTTACCTTTGTGGAGGGAGTACAGTAGGAAACAGTCAGGCGATTGGTCTCACATAAAAATCTCATTCTCTTATGCCCACTTCCTTGAGCCTTCTGACCTTTTTTTAAATAGACAACTGTGGCATCTCTACATTGTTATCATGTCCAAGTTTCAAGGCACCGTCTTAGCAGTGTGTTGGGACAAACTCCAGGAGTCCTTGATGGGATGTTACCGTGAGTCACGGGAGAATTACACTCTCCTGTATTCAGCCTTATATCTCACTTACCTATCCTATTCAATTTAACACTTTCAGATTTATTCCCATAGATCTTTTCCTCTTTCCTGTCAGAATTTTTCTGTAATTCTTTCAGCAAGTTATTTCTTCCCATAGAAGAAACAGTACCTTCCCTCTTACGGTATGCTAGAACTTGACACATTTTCAAGCTACAGGCAGTTAGAGGAGTCACTGGAGGGATCCCAAGGAGGACGAGTAACATCTTCCAAGACACTCAACTCAGGAAGGTTTTCATCCTCTTCAGGCAAGGGAAGACTGCTGTCCTCCAGCAAGAGGCAGGAGACTGGTTTCTGTAACCTCCCTGATTCAAGAGCACCCAGGATTTAAGGTCCTCATCCATATCCTCACAGAGGCCTTCATCCCAAGTCTGAGTCCCACTGTTTCCCTATCAAAGCTGTGACTTTAGCATAGATCTTTAGCGTAGAAGACCTGTATATTCAGTCTCCTTTGCCATTCTGCCACCCCTAAGATTGAATTTGGAGCTTGAATTTTAGCACAGACTGCCCTTTCATCTTTTTTTCCTTCCTTCCTTCCTCCCTCCCTCCCTCCCCTCCCCTCCCTCCCTCTCTCCCTTCTTTCCTTTCTTCCTTCCTTCCTTCCTTCTTTCCTTTCTTTTTCTTTCTCTCTCTCTTTTCTTTTCTTTCTGTTTCAGAGATGGGATCTCACTCTGCTGCCCAGGCACAATCATAGCTCACTGCAGCCTTAAACTCCTGAGCTCAAGCGATCCTTCTGCCACAGCCTCTCGAGTAGCTGGGATTACAGGAGCAAGCCACTGTGCCTGGCCCGACTGCCGTTTTGCTACACAGTCCCTTTACTTGCTGTCATGGAAGACTTCTGACTTTCACAGAATGTCTTGACCTGATAGTTGGCTGACCTGAACTCGTCTTTTTCTTTGAGGCAGTCTTCAAAACTCTTATGGCATTTCACAAAAGCCAGTCAATTCCACTACTGTTATAATTACCATTGCCCCCTTTCATCCCAGTATTAGATACTATATAAGTGAAGCTTTCCCTTCCACAACATCCTGTCCACCACGGGTGAGAGTTTGATTGTTATGCCAGAGGTTATCAACACCACAATTACTACCAGCAATGGAGCTTTTGTTTTCATCTGACTGG
This sequence comes from Homo sapiens, assembly GCF_000001405.40. Classification (NCBI taxonomy): domain Eukaryota; kingdom Metazoa; phylum Chordata; class Mammalia; order Primates; family Hominidae; genus Homo; species Homo sapiens. Next base: position 119,094,571 of record NC_000006.12, read on the forward strand.
TGAGTAAACCTGTTCCAGAATACCATCCCGAGGGGATGCTTTCTCCAACTACACCAGATATTACTGTCTTAGTTTGGGTCCACCCAAAAGTAGAGCATGAGGTAAGGAATTGAGTTCAGGTAATTTATTTGCAAAATGACTCCAGAAAGTAGGAATGAAGGAGTAAGCTTACTGAGAGAAGGAAGATGGAAAAGTAAAAAAAAAAAAGGAGGGGATGTTATTGAACTAATTACCGCAGTGGGCAATTGGGCTCAAGCCTTCCGAGGATCCTTTGAGGAACCATGTGGAATACACTTGAGAATGGCCCTGCAAAAGAGGGGAGGCTGAACAATTTATCCCCTGGCACCACTGGCTGGGGTTCTAATGGGGGAATATTTCTCCTTTGGGCTTGCCCTGTACACTTATAAGCTCCTAGCATATAAGCTCCCACTGCTTCCTTGGTAAAGGATGTCAGAGAGATGAAGAGGAACTTGTGGTGGGACTCTGTCAGCATGCATAGGAAAGTGCATTACAGCTGCAGCAAAAAAAATCAAAGGTGGGCTGAGTGGATGTAGAGCATCTACTTTATCACAAAAGCCAGTCCCGTACACCCAGCAAATGGTCTCCTTTAATTAAATATTCCCATCTCTTCCTTGCTAAGAACCCTACTTATAAGCCCTATTCATTCTTACCAGGATAACCTTTGTCTCCTCAAAGGCACTGAGAGAAGAAACAATCCATGTGTGTTTTATAAAACGTGCTGAAGTCAGGAAAGATCCTAGTGAGAGGCATTGGTGAGTTCCTGTTAGGTGTTCTTTTTTTACACTTTTTATTAAGTTCCTGGGGGAAGAACTATAAGCAAGTTGTAGTTATCCAATCCCTTGCTCCTGGCTTGAAAATCCAGTGGCCAGAGACAGAATTTAGCTCTACCTTTCATGGCACTCTTTGGGTGGTCTCTCAGAGAGGATATTATAATATCTAGATGAGAAATAATATAGGCTTTTATTTTCTTTCATTATTTATTTATTTTAGAGGTAGGTACTCTGTTGCCCAGGCTACAGTGCAATGGTGTGATCATAGCTCACTGCAGCCTCGAACACTTGGGCTCAAGTGATCCTCCCACCTCAGCCTCCTGTGTAGCTAGGACTACAAGTGCACACCACCACACCTGGCTAATTATTTTTATTTTTATAGAGACAGGGTCTTGCTATGTTGCCCAGGCTGGACTTGAACTCCTGGCTTCAAGTGATCCTTCTGGCTCAACTTCCCAAAGCACTGAGATTAAAGGTGAGAGCCACCATGCCCAGACAGGTTTTTCTATTTTTTTGTGTGTGTGAACTTCCAGTCCATCTTCCATTGCCTTCCAATGGGCGCAATTAGTTGAAGTAGCAAGATGTTGACTCTTGTGGGTTCCTCTTTCACAGTGGGTTCTTTTCTGACTTTGGACTTTGGCAAGATTCTTCTTTGTATTTGAGCCTATCTCATTCCACCTCTCCTCAAAGCAACTCATGTCATTTGAAAAGAATTCTTTAGGCCATCGATTAAAAAAATCACCCCTTTGAGGTGGTGACATTGGGTACCAGGGGAAAAAGGGTACCTACTGTGTATTCTGATAAGTGGCTTGAAAACAGCCTCCTCCTCAGCTTGCTGTCTTTATTGCCTCATCTCTCATGACACTTGTTTTCTTCACTGCTCCTGGCATGTCTTCAGGTTATTGACTTCTGGGATTTGCAGATTTTGTAACGTGGTACTGCTTTGAAAGGAGTACTTTACACTGCTTTGGAAGAACAGAAAGAAAGAAAAGGGGCCGGGCGCGGTGGCTCACGCCTGTAATCCCAGCACTTTGGGAGGCCGAGGCGGGTGGATCATGAGGTCAGGAGATCGAGACCATCCTGGCTAACAAGGTGAAACCCCGTCTCTACTAAAAATACAAAAAATTAGCCGGGCGCGGTGGCGGGCGCCTGTAGTCCCAGCTACTCGGGAGGCTGAGGCAGGAGAATGGCGTGAACCCGGGAGGCGGAGCTTGCAGTGAGCCGAGATTGCGCCACTGCAGTCCGCAGTCCGGCCTGGGCGACAGAGCGAGACTCCATCTCAAAAAAAAAAAAAAAAAAAAAAAAAGAAAGAAAGAAAAGGTTAATGCTAAGGACTGTTATTAGTATTGGTATTGGTCTAGGCTGAGATTCAGTATGGGAGTGATAGCACTCTGGATAAATGCTTGAACACACTTTTGTCTCTCCTACCTCCTGACACCAATTACTTCCCCACCCCCACTCCTCCCGACTTGCTTCTCTCAGGTCCAGGCCTGTCCTTGACGTCAGAAGGCATGGGCTGGTCTCCAGGAAGCCCGTCCAAGCTCAGAACTTAGAGACAAAGCAAAGCATTCTGCACAGTCCTGCTTGACATTTCCTCTCTTTTCTCATTTGAAGATTTTATTGTGTTACCCTGGTGATGAGAAATGTAGTTAAGAAAGAGGAATTCCCAGAGTAGAAAGTATGGGGGCCAGAAGAGGCAATAAGAGTCCAGATTTAGAAAAATCCTATCAGAAGGAATACTGGGGTCAGAACAACGATGACATTCCCTTCCACCCTTCCCATCTCGCAGTTCATGCAGTTCTCTCTCACCTCTGCCTCATGACTGGTTGTATTCACACTTAAAAAGGAATACTTCCTTTTTCAAAACATGTTTTTTCACTTAAGAAAAAGAGCTCAGCTTTCAGTTCTCCACCTCTTTTCCTCTTCCTCCTTCCTGTCCTACTCTCCAATTTCTTGTGTTCTTTTATAAAAAGAACAATTAAAAGCAAAGACAAACAAAATGTGAACCATCACAAACACATGCTTGTAAAGCAAGTTTTATGCAACAGAATGAATATTCAAAAATGAAAAACAAATGTCTTACTTCAGATTTCACCCAAAAGTGGATTCTGAGACAAGGATTTGGGTACAAGCAGTTTATTTGGGAGGTTGTGATACTATTTTACATATACATTTATATATATATAAGTCTTTTCTACCACGGTCCCTGGCTCATAACTCCCATAGCCCTGGTTACTTGCTAAGTGGCCGAAACAATAATCATATCTTTCGCTCAAGGTTTTGTCCTTTTGTCTTTGGTTCCTGAAGCAGCTTCAGGGTGAAAAAGGTAAAAGGTAGTCTTTTGGTGTAATGTTGCAATACTTTAGGCCTCAGAACTAGACCTTAGGAAACAGAATCTGTCTCTCTCTTTCTCTCTCTCTGACCTGCCTTCCTTTCACCTGCTCCTTTTTCTCCTCGAGGCAGGCCATAGAAACTAAAAATATACTCTAATCTTTCCTCACCTTTCTGTCTTGGAGCTGGCCATAAAGAAATTATCTGACTACATTGTCTGATTGTAGGTCATAATGTTGCTGAACCAAACTGGGGCCCTCTCACCGGATGCAGTAAGGCCGAACAACCACACCGAGGTTTTGCATCAGGAGGAGGGAGGGTGATATGGTTTGGCTGTGTCCACACCCCAGTCTCATCTTGAATTGTAGCTCCCATAATTCCCATGTGTTGTGGGAGGGACCCGGTGAGAGATAATTGAATCATGGGAGTGGTTTCCCCCATACTGTACTCGTGGTAGTGAGTAAGTCTCATGAGATCTGATGGTTTTATAAGGGGAAACCCCTTTTGCTTGGCTCTCATTCTCTCTTGGCTGCCACCAGGTAAGACATGCCTTTCGCCTTCCACCATGATTGTGAGGCCTTCCCAGCCACGTGGAACTGTGAGTCCATTAAACCTCTTTTTCTTTATAAATTAGTCTCGAGTATGTCTTTATCAGTGGTGTGAAACAGACTAATACAGAGGGGATTTATTTGCAGAATGCCAAGTAAAGAAAATCAGGCAGCTCACGCTTAAGACCCAACCTCCCTGTGTCTTACAAGCAAGACTTTTTAAAGGCAGGAGTAAATTTCAGCAAAGCAGAAATTACAGGCAAAATCATAAATGTATGAAGGCTATACGTTGGTTTGGCTTAAAATGGTGAGATATCTTGAAGTAGCGTGTTATGGGTCATAGGTAGATTCAAAATTTTTTTATTTGGAATTGGTTGAGGAAGGGAAGCTTTCTTTAAAATTTTGAGTTCAGCAGACAGAAATGATAGGTCTGGCCCATGGGCATGACTTCCTCCAGGTCCCTCAGGAAGAAATTTAGAACAAAGAACCGTGGTCAGAGTTCAGTCCTCAATTCTTATGTGAGGTCTACGTGCCGGTGGACCCATTTAGTAGGGGTCTGAGTTTCTGAAAAACAACTCAGGTACATGTGTTAAGATGTTATCTTTAGGCTGGGCGTGGCGGCACTTTGGGAGGCCGATGCGGGTGGATCACCTGAAGTCAAGAGTGGGAGACCGGCCTGACCAATATGATGAAACCCCATCTCTACTAAAAATACAAAATTAGTTGGGATGTGGTGGCGCATGCCTATAATCCCAGCTACTTGGGAGGCCGAGGCAGGAGAATCGCTTGAACCTGGGAGGTGGAGGTTGCAGTGAGCCGAGATCATGCCATTGCACTCCAGCCTAGGCAACAAGAGCAAAACTCCGTATCAAGAAAACAAAACAAAATAAAACAAAACAAAAAAGCTTCCCGGAGGGGCGCACACCTGAAGAGGGCATGGAAGCTCCACACCCCTTCCCATACCTCACCCTATGCATCTCTTCATCGTATCCTTCGCAATCTCCTTTGTAACAAGCCAGTGTTTCCCTGAATCCTCATCTTTAGCTTCTGCAGGGAACCAAACTTCTCATGACTGTAACTTTCTTGCCAATTGTTTTAAGCTACTATTACTGTCCTGCTTGTTAAGTTGCTCATTTACTTCTCAGGGCTAGCTAGGTGCCTGGAATTTCCCCTGAAGAAACTAAAGATTTTCCTTTATTTCATGCTTGGGGGAAGAGCTTCCAGTAGACCCCTAAGAGGAGTCCCTGCTCCATCTCAATAAGACCCCCATTTCAAAAGGGGTCCTGCTCCGTATCCTGGAAGAAGGAAAATTGCACCGACAGGCCAAGAAGAATCTGGACAGACAGGCCTTGCTGGGTTTCTCCACCCAATCTATTAGTATGGGATCATACACTTTTTGCCCAATCACATTTCTCACAGTTGCTAACATTCCTATCTATCGAAGTCTCCGTAAAAGGCGCAAGAGGACAGGTTATGGGGAGCTTTCAGATAGCTTAATACATGGAGCTTCCTGGAGGGGGGCGCACCTGAAGAGGGCATGGAAACTCCACACCCCTTCCCATACCTCACCCTATGCATCTCTTCATCGTATCCTTTGCAGTCTCCTTTGTAACAAGCCAGTGTTTCCTTGAATCCTGTGAGCGACTCTAGCAAATTAATGGAACCCAGAACCAGGATTTGGGATCTCCAGTTTATAGCTAGTCAGTCAGAAGCACTGGTGAAAGAACCTGGGCTTGAGATGGGCATCAAAAGGTGAGAAGTCTTGGGGACTGAGCCCTCAACCTGTGGGATCTGATACTATCTCCAGGTAGGTGGTGTCAGAATTATATTGGAGGACACCCAGCTGGTATTCACTGCAGAAGTGATTGCTTGCTGGCTGGTGGGGAGAAATTCCCACACGTCTGGTGTGAGAGTATGGTGGGAGAAACTGAGTTTATTTTTTTTCTACACAGAGGTGATCCCAGGAACTATGGTGAGGGAGAAATGAAATGGTACAGGAAATGGAAGGAGACAGGGAAAAGATCAATGCATTATCTTTGCATTGTACAATGCAATGTACAGGTTACTGCCATGAGTAATTGGGGCTCACTATCACTATGGACACTCTGAGACACATTGTAAAGCACATCTGAAATTGTTCCAAGAGACAAGGAAGCAAGGGTTTTTATCCATCAATGTCTGCCCATTACTGGTTGAAGTTTGCTCCCCAGGAAATTAACTCCCTGAGAGCTCTCAGGCAGAGGGATGCTTAAGGTGAAAAGTCATTGTCTACCTAAATACAGTTGACCTCCAGCGTGGGCCGGAGGGATATGGGCTGGACACTGACATTAGCTAGTCAAACATTTTTGTCTGAATAAAGCCAATAGCTAGTTTAGTTTTTACCTCTCTGTACTGACCCATTGGTTTAGTTTTCTTGAACATTAAAAATACTCTAGGCTGGATGCAGTGGCTCATGCTTGTAATCCCAGCACTTTGGGAGGCCGAGGTGGGCAGATGACTTGAGGTCAGGAGTTCAAGACCAGCCTGGCCAATATGTCGAAACCTCGTCTCTACTAAAAAAATACAAAAATTAGCCAGGTGTGGCAGCGGGCGCCTATAGTCCCAGCTACTTGGGAGGCTGAGGCAGGAGAATCGCTTAAACGCGGAAGGGGGCAGTTGCAGTGAGCTGAGATCACGCCACTGCACTCCAGCCTGGGCAACAGAGCAAGACTGTCTCAGAAAAACCCCAAAAAACAAAACAAAAAAACTTCTCTATATCCTCATGTTTTTATAGGCTCTATGAAAATAGTAATCCCCCATAATGTCTCACATTTCTCACAATGCACTTTCTTTTTTTTTTTTTGTAGATGGAGTTTCACTCTTGTTGCCCAGGCTGGAGTTTAATGGCATGATCTCGGCTCACTGCACCCTCCACCTCCTGGGTTCAAGCAATTCTCCTGCCTCAGCCTCCCGAGTAGCTGGGATTACAGGCATGCACCACCACGCCTGGCTAATTTTTTTTGTATTTTTTTAGTAGAGACGGGGTTTCTCCACGTTGGTCAGAATGGTCTTGAACTCCCAACCTCCGGTGATCCGCCCGCCTCGGCCTCCCAAAGTGCTGGGATTACAGGCGTGAACCACTGCGCCCAGCCACAATGCACTTTCATATCAATTATCTCATTTAATCTCAAAACAGTCCTTGAGATAAATATTATGAGCCTTACTTTACTATAGGATAACAGTGACCAAGATAAGTTAAATATTCCCCTGTAAGGCCATAAATCAAGCAAGTTGCTAATGTTCAAACTTCACTCTTTTGATTCTAATTTTGGTACTTTTCCCACCATACCCACATTTGTCTTCTATAATCGCGCAAATTTCTTGAGTGTGGGCATGGGATGTAACATACTAATAATGCTTAAATTATATGTACAAATCATGTTAACATTCTTCATATGAATCTTTTGTATTCATATCCCTTGCTGGTACAAGTGGGATACATAGTAGGAGACAACCACCATAAAGACACACAAAAAATTAAAGAATAAAGGATAGGCTGGGTGCGGTGACTCACGCCTGTAATCCCAGCACTTTGGGAGGCTGAGGTGGGCACATCACCCGAGGTCAGGAGTTCAAGACCAGCCTGGACAACATGATGAAACCCTGTCTGTACTAAAAATACAAAAATTAGCTGGGCTTGGTGGCGTGTGCCTGTAATCCCAGCTACTCAGGAGGCTGAGGTAGGAGAATCGCTTGAACCTGGGAGGCAGAGGTTGCAGTGAGCCGAGATCATACCACTGCACTCCAGCCTGGGCAACACAGTGAGACTTCATCTCAAAAAAATAAAAATAAAAATAAATAAAGTATATAAATGCATCATAAATAGAGTAATGCTAGGAAGAAACTGAATAATATTCTATCATGGAAAAGGAGTAGTTAGGGCAGGGCACAGGAAACAGCAGATTGTTTTCCATCCCTCATCAGAAGATTGGGAGTATAATTTTCAATGAAAAGAGTGAAGCTGATTATAAATGTAAGATATTGGCCCTTTAGGATTTGCTGTAGGCCAGCAGTTAGTGGAATTCTTAATTCCCCCCAATTATTACTAAAATTGTTATACCCTAAAGACCAATAAGGCATGAGAAGGAGGCCTGTGCTTAAAATAATCTCTACTTAGAATCAGGTGTATTAGGCAATAGGAATCATAGTAAATAAGCTTCAGTATGTATCAGGAAAGCAGAGAGCTATTACCAGCAGAAAATCTTGAGTTTGAAAATATCACTATAGGCTGGGCACAGTGGCTCACACCTGTAATCACAGCACTTTGGAAGGCCGAGGTAGGTAGATCACCTGAGGTCAGGAGTTTGAGACCAGCCTGGCCAATATGGTGAAGCCCCGTCTCTACTAAAAAATACATAATATTAGCTGGGCATGCTGGCATGCACCTGTAGCCCCAGCTACTCAGGAGGCTGAGGCAGGAGAATCGTTTGAATCCAGGAGGAGGAGGTTGCAGTGAGCTGAGATCGAGCCATTGCACTCCAGCCTGATGACAGAGACTCCATCTCAAAAAAAAAAAAAAAAAAAAAAAGAAAAGAAAAAAGAAAAGAAAATATCACTAAAAAAGGGCAGAGAAGAACAATATGAGCTCTAAAGTAGGACAGACCTGCCAGGAAATGCTACAAAGAGCATATAGTAGGCCTTGGTTTTCTATACAATGTCTACTCCCTTCTTATTCTTTCTTAACAGGACCCTAGTTTTGCTCAGATATTCATCTGTTCTTCATGCAATTCTGGAGTAACCTCCAGCTCGGGAGTCAACCCTAATTGGTCTGAATCAATTATGATATTCTTATTCTCCTGCCAGGAATTGGTTTATGATCATGTGGTTCAGGGACCTGGTTCTTGTCCATGACAAGGATAGAGAAGGGCCTGCTTTCTACCTGTGGACACTGCTGTGTCTGTATGTGATGCCTGAAACTACTACATCCATCTTGTTACCAGTCAGAGTATGAAGCCAGGACACTGATGAGTGTAGAGTGGAAAGACGAAATGAAGCTGGATCCAAGATGACATTGATGAGTAGCTACATCAACCCCCCCAAATCTATTTACTGACTACTTCAGGATTTTCTGATACATGAGTTAACAAATTTCTATTATTTAAGCCAATCTGGCTGAGTGATTTTTTTGTAATTTATAGACAAAGACACTTTAGCTGATGCAAGAATTAGGATGGTGGTAGACCTTCCATCCCAGCATGCGTTCTTTGCTCTTTCAATAATAAAAGATGAGCAAGACAAAACTAGAAGATTGTGCATAATTGGATGTCCAATTCATTTGTTGGAAAAAATTCAGGGAAATTCTAAGGAACCACATCTATGTTTTTCTGAGGCAGGAAAACAAAATATTTTTAAAAAGAGAGAGAGGAGGCCAGGCACGGTGGCTCAAGCCTGTAATCCTAGCACTTTGGGAGGCTGTGACAGGCGGATCACGAGGTCAAGAGATTGAGACCATCCTGGGCCAACATGGTGAAACCCCATCTCTACTAAAAATACAAAAATTAGCCAGGCATGGTGGCACGCACCTGTAGTCCCAGCTACTTGGGAGGCTGAGGCAGGAGAATTGCTTGAACCCAGGAGGTGGAGGTTGCAGTGAGCAGAGATCGAGCCACTGTACTCCAGCCTGGTGTCAGAGTGAGACTCCGTGTAGAGAAAAAAAAAAAAAAAAAAAAAGAGGAATGTTCATTCTTTACTCTGGTAATAATGTATTGTGCCATATTTTGGAAAATGATGATATTTTTATTTAATTTATGTAAGTTTATTTTTATTTTTATTTTTGAGATAGGGTCTTGCCCTATTGCCCAGGCTGGAGTGCAGTGGTGTGATCAGGGCTCACTGCAGCCTCAACCTCCCAGGCTCAAACGATCCTCCCAAGTATCTGGGACCACAGGTGCCTGCCACCAAGCCCAGCTAATTTTTGTATTTTTGCCATGTTGGCCAGGCTGGCCTCAAACCCCTGGGCTCAAGCAATCTGCCCACCTCTGCCTCCCAAAGTACTGGAATTACAGGCTTGAGCCACCATGCCTGGCCAACCATAGTTCTAAAAAGATGTTTGAAAATATTCCAAATGCCACCGCAAGAAAAACGAGGAAAGTATTGGCTTTTAGAATGTGGAATCTCTAAAATGAGAACTTAAACCTCTTGAGGGCAAGGATAATGTCTCAGGTTTGCATTCCCAGGGTCCACCATAGTGCCTGATAATAAAAGCTTGTCAGAGAAATAATCTGAGAACCTGGGAAAATGTGTCCAAAGTGGTATCACGCAAATAGTATCACACAGAAGATGTCCCTACAAAGATTCTAAGAATATGATCTTAAGTGTGTAAAGTGTCAAGATGCCACAACTTACCAAGACTTTGATGATTACATTTTTTTAAATGGTGCATGCTTTCAAAATTATAAATTACATTTTATTTACATATAAAATTAAATGGCTCTTCACTCCTTAAGTGTGGACTGCAAATAGAGACTTCTTTCCAAAAAGCCCTATAAAACGCGCGAAAAACTGTAACTTTAGAGTGCAGAAAGCTACTACCCAATACTACCTCAACTAGGTGATCAAGGTCAACGTCAATAGTGATAAGTCATTTTGATAGCATGTGCCCTTGATCTGATGTGATGAAAATAGCAGTTGATTTCTGTGATCTTCACTATCAAAACCCCTAAGTCCAGTCTAATTATGAGAAAAACATAAGGTAAATTTCAGTAGAGGAACATTCTATAAAACACTGGCCAGTACTACTCAAAACTGTTGAGGCCATCAAAGCCAAGGAGAGCCTAAGAGATACGATGACTAAATGTAATATGGTATCCTATATGGGATCCTGGAACAGAAAAAGGATAGTAGGTAAAAATTTAGGAAAATGGGATAAAATGTGGACTTTAGTTAATAATAGTGTGTCATACTAATATAAAATGTTAACAACAGGGGAATCTGGGTGTGGAATATATAGGAACTTTCTGTACTATTGATATGGTTTGGCTCTGTGTCCTCACCCAAATTTCATCTTGAATTGTAATCCCCACGTGTTGGAGGAGGGGCCTGGTTGGAGGTGATTGAAACATGGGGGTGGATTTCCCCTCTGCTGTTCTCGGGATAGTGAGTGAGTTCTCCTGAGATCTGATGGTTTAAAAGTGTGTGGCATTTCCCCCCTCACTCGCTGTCTCTCCTGCTCCACCATGGTAAGACCTGCTTGCTTCCCCTTTGCCTTCCACCATGATTCAGTTTCCTGAGGCTTCCCAGTCATGTTTCCTATTAAGCCTGCAGAACTGTGAGTCAATTAAACCTCTTTTCTTCATAAATTACTCAGTCTCACGTGGTTCTTTACAGCAGTGTGAAAACGGACTAATACAACTACCCTCACAATTTTTCTGTAAATCTAAAATTGTTCTAAAAAAAGTTTATTTAAAGAATATATGGGCTGCAAACAGGTACCTTCAGTTTTGAGCTATGTCTCCCATTTTCCCAATAATTTTCATCTAATACAAAGCTGGTCTTGCCCTTTCAATAATAGAAATACATTTAGAAAACCATACGCATTGCAGAAATTTATTATAATCTGTACTTTGACAGCAAATATCAAGCACATTTATTGCCCAGATGCATAGTTAGTTGGCAAACATTAATTTTAATTAATTAAGTATGTATAACTAACGTGAAGATATCAGTCATGAACAGCTGAATCTCAGTAAATTACCAGCTCCATATTTAAACAAACCACATCACTGTTTAAGGTCACATAATTGTCTCAGATTTTTGGCATGCTTTTTAAAAATTGTCATTCGTGAATTGGATACTGCTAGGAAAAGAAATGCTATTAAAAAAACCAAACTGATGCCGGGCGCAGTGGCTCATGCCTGTAATCCCAGCATTTTGGGAGGCCGAGGCGGGCGGATCACAAGGTCAGGAGATCGAGACCATCCTGGCTAACACGGTGAAATCCCGTCTCTACTAAAAATACAAAAAATTAGCCGGGCGTGGTGGTGCGCGCCTGTAGCCCCAGCTACTCAGGAGGCTGAGACGGGAGAATGGCTTGAACCCAGGAAGGCGGAGCTTGCAGTGAGATGAGATTGTGCCACTGCACTCCAGGGTGGGCGACAGAGCGAGACTCCGTCTCAAAACAAACAAACAAACAAAAAACCAAACTGACATATTTAAAAAGAGAATGTATTAAATGATCATTTGTATGGCTATTACTCAGAGTGGGACCTTTCGTCTTCTCATCTGCTTTCACAGTCTTATGATTTTGAAAAGTAAGCCAACTACTGGCTATGCCATCAGGCTATTAGTTTAACTTTTATAACTAGAGGTCATATGAATTATTCAGAGTAAACTCAGTATAACTACTTAATTGGTTGGCTCTAACTTTAGTTTTGAAACTAATTAACTGGAAGGGCTTCGGTAAATTACTTAATCTTTTTGTGCCTCAGTTTTCTCATCTCTAAAAAGGACTAATTGTAATTATCTTATGTGGCACAAAGATGTTGTAACAAAGTAAAGTAATAAGGCATGAAAACTGTTTGGGAGGTAAGGTTTATTTCACACTACAAAAAGTTCTTTGTAAATACAGATATTCACTGAAAAAAATCTGGTAAGTTACGGTGAATGGGAAAGGTTCTGGAAGAAGACAGAGATTGGTAATTAGGAGTAACTTTTTCCAAAAATGAGAAAAAGCCATAAACATTTGTTGCACTAATTTATCCAAGTTACTCATTTCCTGAAATGTTTTTGTAGGCCATATATTACTTTCACAGCTCTCAAGGGAATATCAAAATTTGGGATAAATCTATTATCCTGAAATTGTAATATGGAATTGTTAGTGAGAAATACCACTTAATGTGTAGTAAACATTAAATGTATAAGCTGCATATGAAAATAGTTTCTACATGATTTCAGTCTGCCAAAGCCAATCATCTGTCTCATGGAAACTTATGTTCATACACCTTTCTTAGGTTGTCATGGGATTCTTAAGTTTTAAAATACTTATGTTTACTAATATTATCAATGTTATTCTGAAAAAAAAGACACTAGAAAAAATTATCTCTAAATATGATGGATTTACTCAGGAATAGAAGTAAAGATTATAATTTGGAGTGCATGGAATGGCAAGCTACCAGTGCATTTATTTGGTGAGGGAAGGGTAAGAGGAGCTTTTATTAGCAAAAAAGAGTCTTACATAAACTGCTTAGAAGCAGAGTTCATTCGGCTGGGCACAGTGGCTCATGCCTGCAATCCCAGCACTTTGGGAGGCCAAGGTGGGCGGATCACCTGAAGTCAGGAGTTCGAGACCAGCCTGGCCAATGTAGTGAAAATAATTTGTCTCTAATAAAAAACCTAAACAAAACAAAATAAATTAGCTGGGCATGGTGGCATGCACCTGTAATTCCAGCTACTCGGGAGGCTGAGGCAGGAGAATTGCTTGAACCTGGGAGGAGGAAGTTGCAGTGAACCGAGATCTCGCCACTGCACTCCAGCCTGGGTGACAGAGTGAGACTTTGTCTCAAAAAAAAAAAAAAAAAAGAAAGAAAAGAACAGAGTTCAGAGTTCATTGGTCCTCAAGTTTCAAAGCCAGAGTTATTGTCAGTTCATTGTTGGAGATGCTGTTGCTGGGCAAGTGTTCCTTGGAGAACTGCTCTTAGTATTCTAAAGAAATTTAAGACATATTTATTAGGTGACAACATTCTTTACAAATATGAACTGAATTGGAATAAAAGGTTAATCAGGTATTGTTCTATGCGTGACTAGGGTTCTCCAGAGAGCAGAATCAGGAATTCTGGTAGTGAGGTTAGAATCTGTGTTTTAATGAGCTCTTCACATAATTCCCAAATTTGAAAGTTTGAGAAGCACTTGTTAGTGTGTGTGTGTGTGTGTGTGTGGTGTGTAGGGTTCTTGTATGGTTGCCATGACATTCATTTTCTTCCTTGTTTGTAGTAAATATGAGTCACTCATCGAGACCTTTTGATGCCTTGATATATGATGGGCAAATTCCCCTTGACACTCTCACCGAATAATTTTTGTTGAATGAGATTGGAGCACCTGTCTGGAGCAGAGTGGAACCATCACCAAGAACTCGAGTCTCTTCTCTCTTCTGAAATGCTGTTAAATAGCCTCTACCCCATCCAGGCTCTATTGAGGTCCTCTGCACTTTAGTTTGCTTCCTCCAAGTCAGCAGCTCTAGAAGGTGGCCAGCACTGGTGGCAATTTTTTTTTTCTTTGCCTCTGCCGAAATTCCATGATGGTGTACTGGGGTTGTCACTCTTAAAAACTTTTTCTTGACTTTTTAAAAGACTGTCTACCTTTTCAAATCATAATCTTCTCTTCAAATTGCAGGGAGTGCCTGCAATCCTCTTCATGGATTGAAAATGACAGTACCCTCTGGAGGTTGGGTTGGTTCCCTCTTTGGAAGGAGTCACCCAGGGATTGATGGATGGAGTTTGATGGAGAGTGAAGAGAGCTGCTGGCTCAGGAGCTGACACTCAGTACAAGCTTGGGTACCTGGGATGCTCCTGGGTTTCCCAACCATTAAAGCTTTGAGTGGAGTTGGGAATGCCTGAGCCAATAATCTCCACGCTCCAGGAAACAGAAGTGACTTCTACTCAACTTCCAAATGTTTTCTTCCTAGCTTTTGAGGGCATCTATGAGTTGACTCAATACTACAAACCTAAATCTACTCCCCACTATTTTCCAAAACAAGTCTTCCTTTCATGCCACAAACAAGCCAAACATCTGCATCCTTTCTTGTCTTTTTTCCTTTCTACTTAGAAAGTTATTTCTTCAATATTCTCTCTTTGTAAATTATCCCTATTCCTATCTCCTCCATGAAACCCTTTCCCAACTATTCTTGGTCTTATTGTTTTCTCAATTTCTGTAGCACTTGTCCTTGAACCATATAATTTAGCCATTAATTACACACTGTGCCACACTATTTGCTCTTATGCTAATGTGTCTTTAGTTTTTTATTCTCCAACTAAATTATAAGTGTCATGAGACATTTCCCATCTCTTACTTTACAAATGTAGAAACCTGTTTAAAGTACACAGAAGAAATTAGAGTCACAGATTTAGACCTGATTTTAGCACTTAAACCTCAGCCTCTCTCACAGTCACTCTCCTGTTTGGTTCCATCCCTTTGGGTGCTCTGATTCTAGAATATTTTCTCCAAGTCTTTCATTTCACTTTTTCTGTGAATCCTTCTCTCTCTCTCTGTCTGTCTCTCTGTCTCTCTCTCAGATGTTGGTAAATGTTCATGTCACTGGATGAATACTTTAGCTATGTATACAGAGCACCAAATGTTCTCACTAAAAAGATATGGATGAGGACAGGATTATCTTGACCTTGTGGCATTTCACAAATGAGTTATTATAACATTGTGGCAAAATCTGACGAATTGAAGCTGTTAATGAACAGAGACTCCCACATTCATGAGGACTTTCATCTTAGAAACTCAGCTCTGCTTTTATTATTTAAAATAGCTCTGCTATTTATTATTTATTATCCTCTTCTCCTACTTCTACTCCTAAATGCCATTCCTTTATTTATGGAAAAGCCTACTAACTCATTACTTTAAATGTTGCGTAATATCTGCCTTAGTATTTTTAGACCTATGTCTGATAAAAATGTAGTTCTGCCCTGCATTTTAGGCACCTTTTCTCAATTAAAAAAGAAGCTAGTATATTTATTGTCTTTATCTTTAAACACACATTTAACTCATCGATGCATCCCAGGGACTATCTATCCATCTCACCTGGGGGTTGGGCGCTGCTTCACCTAACATAAGTCTAAGTATCGTGCTTTAACTCAATAAGGAAATATTTTTCTCGCATAACAGGAAGTGAGAAGTCCTGCTTGAAAGTAAGCAGTCCACCTACAGATGGGTAGCCCAGGGATCCTGGGGCACCTCACCTGGGCCATCATCACCCCAGGCTCCTTTTTCTACTCTGCAGTGCTTAACATGTGCGTTTATTTTCCTGGTGGTCTCATCGTTACAGTATGGCTGTCCCACCTTTAGTTTCCCACCCAGGTTTTTGGTAGGAAGCAACCAAAACAACAATCGAAACACAACAAACACAAGGAAGAACGGGAGGAGCCTGTATCAGGAAAGCAAAACTTTTGATTTCCAGCAGACTTGAGCTTCTATCTCCAGGAAAGAACTGTGGCATACCCTCATCTCGGCTGCAAGAGAGGTGAGGCAATGGAGATTTTTTTTTTAGTTGGGTACACGGTGGCCTAATCAAAATTGGGGTTTTTATTTGTAGGCAAAAAAGTGAAAAGGATATTGGATAGACAACTAGCAGGGTCTATCCCATGGACAAGCCAGAGGCCGTTCCTCATGAATGATGAAGACCTATTTTCAGAGCTTGAAGATGTGGCAAGATTATGAATGTGTGGTTGGCTGAGACATTTCAGGCAAGACTGTGAAAGCTGTGAGCAGAATTTCAAGCACTCAGATACTGATCCACCATTCTTTTATATTTCACAATTAAAGTACTCCTTGTTAGTTAAACCCACACAAATGCTTCCAGCATTTCTTATGTTGAACATAGGCGACCTGGGGAAAAATGTGAATTCCATTCTAAAGAGGCAAAATTTAACGCAGTAAAAAACAGCTATGGTTTTGCCAGACATTGGGTCTAGTTCATGAATATTTGCTGCCACCTGCAGTTTAAACTTGATATTCACTCTGGTCACCACCTGTAACTGAAGTGTGGCCCAGCAAATGAAAAGGAAGGTTGCGATGAGTATCCTCGTCATTGCTGCAGCCTTATGCTTACTTAAAATTGAAGTTTCTATTTGTACATCCCCATTCATAGCAACATTATTTATAAAAGTCAAAGCATGGAAGCAACCCAAGTGTCCCTTGATGGTGAATGGATAAACAAAATATGTTATATACAAACAATATAATATTATTCAGCCTCAAAAAGGAAGTTTTGACACGTTATCACATAGATGAGCCTTGAAGACTTAACTGCAATAAGCCAATTACAAAAAGATAACTAATATATTATTTCACTTATATGAGATTCTCAGAGCACTTAAATTCCCAGAAACAGCAAGTAGAATGGTGATTGACAGGGGCTAGGGAGGAAGAGGGAACGGAGAGTCAGAGTTTAATGGATACAGAGTTTCAGTTGGGGAAGATGAAAAACGGCTGGACGTGGATGGTGGTGATGGTTGCACAAAAATGTGAATGTTCTCAGTGCCCAGAACTGTACATTCAAAAATGGCTAAAATGGCAAAAGATAATTTTTTAAAATGTTGAATTTCCAGGGAAGTGAGGAAGCTGATTCCGTAGACCACAGAAACCCGGCGTATTCCAGTTTATGTTACCATGTAATAATAAGTTGACACTAAGTCTGTTGGGTTTCCCCATTCCTGAAAGAGGTGTCTTGTCTGTTGATGAACAGATTGTCATGTTCTAGTCACAATGCAAATTATTTTGGCGGTGTCGAGAATGCAGCAGTTTAATGTACTACGAAAAATGCATGTAGTAGATTCAGCTGCAGGGAAGGAGGCAAGTTAGGGTAATTTGGGCAACTCATGTTTCTCTATAAAATCCATTTCCTGGCATATAGACTGAATATTTTCATTAAAGAAACAGTTTTCATTAAAGAAACAGAAAAGAGACTGTTTAGTGGCCCTAGAGAAATTGAAAAATTGTTTTCATGGTCTTCTGGTAGTTTTAAAACATAGCAAAGTAACAAGGCCATGTACTGCATATTATTCTATTAAAAACTATGTAATCCCTGATTGTACTTATTCTGGAAAGAAAGCAGGTGGGGACCTCCTATGTCCATGAAATGTGTTATTATTATACATAGAGTGTGGGAATGATCATATTTCTTTTTTCTTTTCTTTCTTTCTTTTTTTTTTTCAGGTGTAGTTTCACTCTTGTTGCCCAGGCTGGAGTGCAATGGCGCAATCTCGGCTCATCACAACCTCCGCCTCCCGGGTTCAAGCAATTCTCCTGCCTCAGCCTCCTCAGTAGCTGGGATTACAGGCACGTTACATGCCCGGCTAATTTTGTATTTTTAGTAGAGACGGGGTTTCTCCATGTTGGTCAAGCTGGTCTCGAACTCCCAACCTCAGGTGATCCGCCTGCCTGGGCCTCCCAAAGTGCTGGGATTACAGGCGAGAGCCACCACGCCTAGCCTTGAATGATCATACTTCAAATTGAACGTGCCATGACTTCCATCCGGGTTAGGTTTAAACCGTTTAGAAAACTCTTGAGATAACATTTTTAGTTTTCTGGCCATTGAAAGTTGAATGGGTTTTAGAGTAGAGCAGTCTCCTTTATCCTTTTCACTTTCAGCTTAATTGATTTCCACCCCCACACTTGCAATTCAGATCGTCAGTGGCTATTACCTGTTATACCCTGAAGAGTGGCCACAGGACAGACATCACTCTACAGAGAAATTGAATTTTATTCTTTTGGAAAATGGACTGCAATCCTGTCTCATAGCTTGAGATAGTCACACTATTTTTTAAAGGAAATGTGTGGAAAAGATAAAAATGAAATTGAGAAAGATAGTTAAAATATGAGGAAAGTTGAAAAAGGATAGATGTGGAATCCAAGGCATCTTTGGAAAACTTCTTTGTGTGGGATAAAGGATGCCTTCTGCGAAGAAAATCAGCAAAATGACCAACTGCCATAAAAGGGCACTTACAGTACATTTTTCCTTGCCTAAATGCTAAGTGGAGCTGCAGAAGGGAGGGGAAGGTTTTACTTCCTGTCTCTCTGGCAGAGGGGAGTGTAGTTGGCTGCCAGTCCCCTTGCTGTTCTCTGGGTCCACACCGCCCCAGTATGGCTGCAGCCACTGACTGAGCATGACAGGGTACTACTGCCAGCCCATTTCTGTGGCATGGCCATTGTGCTCATGGGGCAAGTTTCCTGATCACCATTATCAGATTATTTGACTCAACCCTTTAAAAAAAAATGCTCTCATTATGTTCCTGAAACATTACAACTGTGGCCAGGAAACTCTCTCGCTTGCTCAACCTGCCTCCTAATTTCCCCAGATCTCCCTGGCTCTCAAGGTCCTTCCCCTTCACTGTTTAAATGAGGCCTGGCTGTGTCCTGAGTTACGGGTTGTCATGCAGCTTTCTTAAGTCCCCATTATGACTTGGTGCCTGGATGTGGAGACTTGCTTCCCAGTGATGCTTCTGAAACCAGTTTTCTTCCTTTTTTTTCAACCTCACCACCCCTAATCATGCTTCTTTGAAGCTCATACCATACAACTATAGTTCTCAGTCCCCCCTTATCTGTGGTTTTGCTTTCCAAGGTTTCAGTTACCTGAAGTCAACTGTGGTCTGAAAATAGGTGAGTACAGTACAATAAGATATTGAGAGAGAGAGAGAGAAAGAGAGAGAGAGAGAGACCACATTCACATAACATGTATTATATGCCTGTAATCTCAGCACTTTGGGAGGCCGAGGTGAGTGGATCACTTGAGTTCAGGAGTTCGAGCCAGCCTGGCCAACATGGTGAGACCCCCTGTCTCTACTAAAAATACAAAAATTAGCTGAGCATGGTGGCTCATGACTGTAATCCCAGATACTTGGAAGGCTGAGGCATGAGAACTGCTTGAACCCGGGAGGCAGAGGTTGCGGTGAGCCGAGATCATGCCACTGCACTTCAGCCTGAGTGACAGAGAAACTATGTCTCAAAATAAATAAATAAATAAATCACATTTATTACAGTATATTGTTATAATTTTTCTATTTTATTGTTATTGTTGTTCATCTCTTACGGTGCCTAGTTTATAAATTAAACTTTATCATAGGTATGTATGTATAGGAAAAAGCATAGCATATATAAGGTTCAGCATGATCTGTGGTCTCAGGCAACCACTGGGGGTTTTGGAACTTATCTGCCATGAATAAGGGGTGCCTACACTATCCCATATTGCTATTATCTCTCATTCACAGAACACCTTCCAGGGCAGTGTTTCTCTCCACCTAAAGTTGTCAGATTTGGCAAATAAAAATACAGAATGCCCAGTTAAATTTGATTTTCAGACAAACAGCAAATAGTGTTTTATTTGGCAACCCTCTATTGTCCCTGATTCCTCCCATGAATTTCAGTGCTTCAGTATCCACAGGGATGACCCCACTAACACAGCCTCTGTCACTAGCCTCCTAACCTTCCATGGCTGTATAAAGGAATGGACTTTCCTGCCCTCTGATGTCACCACTTCATAGATTCTTCTCTCTTGTCAATGCTCCTCCAGATATTGCCCCATTTATCTGTTATTTATTTTTTATTTTATCTCATTTATTTATTTTGAGACAGGATCTCACTTTGTCGCCCAGGCTGCAGTGCAGTGGCATGATAACTACTCACTGCAACCGCCACCTCCTGGGCTTAAGTGATCCTCCTGCCTCAGCCTCTAGAGTAGCTGGGACTGCAGGTATATGCCACCATGCCTGGCTAATTGTTGTATTTTATGTAGATATGGGGTTTCACCATGTTGGCCAGGCTGGTCTTGAATGCCTGGGATCAAGCATTGGCCTCCCAAAATGCTAGGATGGCCTTGGCCTCCCAAAATGCTAGGATGACATGAGTGAGCTACTGTGCCTAGCGTTTATTTTGTATATTGAGACAAGGTCTCACTCTGTCTCCCAGGCTGGAGTGCAGTGGCACAATCATAGCTCACTGCAGCCTCAACCTCTTGGACTCAAGCAATCCTCCCACTGCAGCCTTCCGAGTAGCTGGGAGCATTTTTTCAGGTGCTTATTGATCATTTGTATATATTCTTTGGAGAAATATCTATTCAAATCCTTTGCCAATTTTTCAATTTTTAGATAAATATTCACTTAATGTTCCAAATGATTTATAAATTTGTCTTCTTCCAAAATATTTCTGATGGTCTTCATTTTTCCATCAACCATATTTAAACTGGTCACAAAGAAACTGTTTATTCCACAGCTCAAATAAAATTGAATTTTCATATTCCAACAATATTTAAATATAGTTCATTCAATAACCATTTATTAATTATTTTATTTTAGGCACAGAGGAAAGGGAAATAAATAAGATACGGCTCATATGCCTAATAATTCTGTTCTGATCACCCTGCAGAAGTAGGATAGACCCCCATCCGGAACTTGATTCAGATGTCAAGACTGATGATGTGACTGGGCGAGGTGGCTCATGCCCGTAAACCTGGCACTTTGGGAGGCCAAGGCAGGAGGATAGCTTGAGACCAGGAGCTCGAGACCACCATGGGCAAAATAGTGAGATCCTGTCTCTAATTAAAAAATAAAAAATAATTTTAAAAGACTGATGATGCCACACATACATCAAGAAGTTATGAAAGGTTTGTTACTTACATAATGAGGCTTTCTGAGTACAGCAGGTCAAGTTTCCCAAGCTGGTTCAAATGGCTTAAGAGAGCAGGGTATATGGCAGGGTGTGGTGGCTCATGCCTGTAGTCTCAGTACTTTGGGAGGCTGAGGCAGGTGGATCACCTGAGGTCAGGAGTTTGAGACCAGCCTGACCAACATGGTGAAACCCCATCTCTACTAAAAATACAAAAAAAAAAAATAGCCTGGTATGGTGGCACACGCTTGTAGTCCCAGCTACTCGGGAGGCTGAGGCAGGAGAATCACTTGAACCCAGGAGGTGGAGGTTGCAGTGAGCTGAGATGGCGCCACTGCACTCCAGCCTGGGTGACAGAGAAAGACTCCGTCTCAAACACACACACACACACACACACACACACACACACACATACACACACACAACGAGAGAGAGAGAGAGCAGGGACTAGAGACTGTCTTGGGGCTTTATGGTGGTTAGGAGATGGGGCCACAGTGAGGGTTTCCCTGTTGAGGGTTTGAATTTCCTATCAGCTCCAAAGGAGAGAGAGCATGGCTTTTTGTAATGGCTTGCTCAGAGGTGGGGGCAGAAGGGGAAAAGGGACTGGTGGGCTTGAAAACTTCCAGTAGTCCATTATCCTAAGTGATCTAACACAAAGGCAAAAAACCAGATACCGCATGTCCTCATTTATAAGTGGGAGCTAAACACTAAGTACACATGATCATAAAGATGGGAACAATAGCCACTGGGGATCACTAGATGAGGGAGGGAGGGGGGCATGGGCTAAAGGACCCCATGTTGGGTACTATGCCTATGACCTGAACGACAGGATCGTTGGGACCTCAAGCCTCAGTGTCACACAGTTTACCCATATAACAAATCTGCATGTGTACCCTTAATCTACAATAAGTTGAAACCTGTTTTTAAAAAAGAAAACTTTCAGTAGTCAGACATAAAAAATAGACTCAGGCTCTTTATTACAAATCCCAGTCTAGTGGAGGAGAAAAGCAGGTGAATCAATAAAAACATTACAAGGCGATAAATGTCCACAGTGCTGTGCAAGTCCAGAGAAATGAGTGTCCAGCTGCCTGTGGAAGACTTCATAAAACTGGCATTGACTGGATCTCAAAGGGAAGAAGACTCTCTCAAAGCAGAGAAGGATTAAGGAGGACAGGAGGAATTTTCAGGCTTAGGGAACAGTATTTGGAAAATCACAGATATATGAAAGTGCATAGTGTATTCTGAAAACAATCCACAGTCCCTTTGTAAAGAGTAAGGGGCATCTGGAGAGGAAGCAGAGGCCAGAAGAGGACCCTGGGGAGGAAGTGTGTGTATGTGAGATGAGCTCTGTATGGCATTCTAAATGTTTTGACTTTATCCTTTGGAAAACAGGAAAGCCTCCCAGACAGGATAGTATCTGCATTTTAGAAATATTATTCAGGTCTCAGGAGAATTGGTGAGTGACCAAGTAGAACTACCAGGTGCGACCAGCAGGGGACACGATTGCAATCATCGAGTTTGGAGGCTAGGAGGACATTAACCAAGGCTAGGGGATTGGGAGTGGGCATAGATTTGGGAGACAAGTCTGTGGATCATTTTGTGTGTAAGGGTGAGAGAGAGTGAGAAACAAACTCTTGGGATTTTAACTTGGACTACTGGGAATCAGGAATGATCAACAGATTTCTGATTTTGGTGACCATGTACATAGTGGTGCCCTTAACTAGGCTAGGAAACAGGGAAGAGGGAAGAAGAAATAGTGAGATCCATGTAGAGAATGTTCAATTAGCAATGCCCTGGCAGGGCTTCCTGGCTAGTCCTTTTCGTACTTAAAGTTGTCAGTAGGCCATACTGCCACACAATACATTTGAGTACAGCAATGTATAATCGGACCCTAACCCAGGCGGCCTCTTCCACTGTGGTCACCTTGAGAGGCTATATCAGTTCTGTTGCTGCTGTCAGAGGCCCCATTGCTTTGAACATGCCTGCGACTCAGAGGTAAGACCTGCTTCTTACGTACCTTCACGGTTTATGAAGTACTTTATCTTAGGTGAACCTCAAAACAACCCTGTGAAGTATACAGTAGGATTATCATTTTTTACAGATAACAAAACAGACTCAAAGAGGTTGCTTCTCTAGTTCACATGGTTAGAAATGGAGGACTTGAACCCTCCTTTTTAGTGATTAATTTAATTGGTTGAGGATTTGTAGGACCTGAAAGTTTAGCTAGGTGTGTGGAGTCTGCCTTTTAGTGCAAGTTTAGCCAGCCAAGGGTTGAGAGAAACAGGCAGGGGTGGGGGTATCCCAGAAGCAGGACCAGTCAGGGACTCAGTTACAGGAGAGAAGCAGTCAGGGACCAGAGAGCTGGAGGCAGGGTCTAAATTCTGGATCACCCAGAGGGTCAAGAAGAGATGAAGTGACACCAAAGATCACTCAGATTTTAAGGCAGAAACTTTGCTTTCTGGATTGCTGTATATGGCCTTTGGGGCATGGGAAGCTCTGACCTGCAGTTATTAATTAAGCCAGGACCTTTCCATAGATGCAGAAGTTTGGTCTTCCACAATCAAGGATAATTCTTATTTTTTATAATAATGAAAAACTGGAGTGAATGTAAAACAGTACACTGGCTCCACCATTCACTAGCTATAAAATTAATTTAACATTCATTTCTTCCTATGTAAAATGTGAGCATAAAAATCACTGATCTCCTAAAGTTGTTGTCAGTATTAAATAAGACAATATATATAAAGGGCTTAGAATAATACTTAGCTCATATTAAACACTCAATAATAGTTACCTTTATTATTGTGGGAAATGATCTCAACAGAGTTTATAAAGCTATTATGTTTCTCATGAGTTGTTGCGGGAAGTCAGGGACCCCAAACAGAGGGACTGGCTGAAGCCATGGTGGAAGAACATGAATTGTGAAGATTTCATTGACATTTATTAGATCCCCAAATTAATATTTTTATAATTTCTTACGCCTGTCTTTACTGCAATCTCTGAACATAAATTGTGAAGATTTCATGGACACTTATCACTTCCCCAATCAATACCCTTGTGATTTCCTATGCCTATCTTTACTTTAATCTCCTAATCCCATCATTTTCGTAAGCTGAGGAGGATGTATGTCATCTCAGGACCCTGTGATGATTGCGTTAACAGCACAAATTGTTTGTAGAGCATATGTGTCTGAACAATATGAAATCTGGGCACCTTGAAAAAAAAACAAGATAACAGCAGTGTTCAGGGAACAAGAGAGGTAACCTTAAACTGACCGCCAGTGAGCTGGGCAGAACAGAGCCATATTTCTCTTCTTTCAAAAGCAAATGGGAGAAATATCGCTGAATTCTTTTTCTCAGCAAGGAACATCCCTGAGAAAGAGAATGCATCCCTAAGGGTAGGCCTCTGAAACGGCCCCCTTGGGTGCGGCTGTCTTCTATGGTCGAAACTGTAGGGATGAAATAAGCCCCAGTCTCCCATAGCGCCCCCAGGCTTATTAGGATGAGGAAATTCCCGCCTAATAAATTTTGGTCAGACTGGTTGTCTGCTGTCAAACCCTGTCTCCCGATAAGATGTTATCAATGACAATGCGTGCCAAAACTTCATTAGCAATTTTAATTTCGCCCCGGTCCTGTGGTCCTGCGATCTCGCCCTGCCTCCATTTGCCTTGTGATAGTGTATTACCTTGTGAAGCACGTGATCTCTGTGACCCACACCCTATTCGTACGCTCCCTCCTCTTTTGAAAATCACTAATAAAAACTTGCTGGTTTTACAGCTCAGGGGGCATCACAGAAACTACCGACATGTGAAGTCTCCCCCGGACACCCAGCTTTAAAATTTCTCTCTTTTGTACTCTGTCCCTTTATTTCTCAAACCGGCCAGTGCTTAGGGAAAATAGAAAAGAACCCATGTGAAATCGGGGGCAGGTTCCCCTGATAATGAGTTTGTAATAAGATGGCATACTTTAAAAATTGTTAGTATATGAACACAAAATAACCACAACTATAAAATTAAGAAAAAAAGAGACTGGAAAAAACTTCTCCAACATGTCATCAGTTTTTGCCTTTTTAAAAAAAGTAATAGCTATATTGAGGCTAGGTGTCGTGGCTCATGCCTGTAAACCCAGCACTTTGGGAGACAGAGGCAGGAGGATTACTTGAGTCCAGGAGTTCAAGACTGGCCTGAGCAAGATGGTGAGATTCTGTCTCTACAAAATACAAAAAAATAAAAAAATAAAAAATAAAAATTCGTAGGGCATGGTGGTTTATGCCTGTAGTCCCAGGAGGCTGAGTTGAGAGGATTGCTTGAGCCCAGGAGGTCGAGGCTGCAGTGAGCCATGATTGTGCCGCTGCAGCACAGCATGGGTGACACAGCAAGACCCTGCCCCAAATGATAATAATAATAGTCTTATTGAGACATAATTCACGTACCCTAAAATTCACTCTTCTAAAGTATACAGTTCACAGTCAGTTGTTTTTAGCATATTCACAGAATTGTGCAAGCATCACCAGCATCTAATTTTAGAAGGTTGCATCACTGCAAAAAGAAACCCTGCACCCATTTGCTGTTACTCATAATCCGCTTGTTCTTCCCAGCCCCTGGCAACCACTAATCTACTTTCTCTACGGATTTGCCTGTGGTGGACATTTGATAGAAGTGACATCATACAATATATGGTATTCTGTATCTTTCAGGAAACATAATGTTTTCAAGGTTTATCCATGTTTTAGTACGTATCTATATTCATTCCTCTTTATGGCCAGATAATACTCCATTGTATAGACACACTACATATTGTATAGACACTGTCCTTCAGTTGATGGACCTTTGAGTTTTTTCTACTTTGGGGCTATTATGCTGCCATCAGTATTAGTGTTCAAATGTGTGGACAAATGTTTTCGGTTCTCTTGAGTATATACACAGAGGTGGAGTTGCTGTGTCATATGGTAACTCTATGTTTCACATTTTAAGGAACTCCCAACTGTTTTCTAAAGTGGCTGTACTATTTTACAATCCCGCTAACAACGTATGAGGGTTCAAATTTCTCCATATCCTCATCAACACTTACTATGGTCTGTCTTATTAAATACAGCCATCCTAATGGGTGTGAAATAGGATCTAGTGGCAGAGCTGTTTCTATTTGAGTGGAGAAATGTATTACTTTTTTTTTTCACTCAATTTTATGGACTAAAATAAAGTGATGGTTTTTCTCTTTCTTTCTTTCTTTCTTCCTTTCTTTCTTTCTTTCTTTCTTTTTTTTTTTTTTTAGGAGACAGGGTCTTGTTCTGTTGCCCAGGCTGGAGTGCAGTGGCATGCTCATCCTGCCTCAAACTCCTGTGTAGCTAGGACTGTATGCAGGTACCACTGCATCTGAAAAACTTTCTTTTTTTTTTTGTAGAGATGAAGTCTTGATATGATGCCCAGACTGCTGTTGAACTCCTGGCCTCCAGTAATCCTCCCACATTGGCCACTCAAAGTACTGGGATTATAGGTGTGAGCCACCACACCTAGCCCTGTATTATATTTTTAATAGGAAAGTTTTTCATTTGTTTTGAGACAGGGTCTCACTCTGTCACTCAGGCTGGAGTGCAGTGGCAAGATCATGGCTCACTTTAGCCTCAACCTCCTGGGCTCAAGAGATCCTCCCACCTCAGCCTTCCAAGTAGCTGGGCCTACAGGTGCATGTCATCATACCTGGCTAATTTTTGTATTTTTTGTAGAATAAAGATAGGGTTTTGCCATGTTGCCCAGGCTGGTCTCAAACTCTTGAGCTCAAGCAGTCAGCCCACCTGGGCCTCCCAAATTGTTGGGATTATAGGCGTGAGCCACCGTGCCTGGCCTTTTAAAATTCTTTTTTAAGGAAAATTAAATCCATAAGCAGTATGAGAGTTTTAGTTTGAGTGCCATTTCCGTTAATTTTAAATAGTCCCTGAAATTGCATAATCCAGAAATTAACAAAACTTAATGATGTCAGCAAATTTGAAGTGGCATCTTTTCTTATTTATAAATATTTTAGCAGCACTGACATTCTAATGAGGACATCTAAGATATTTGCTGTCAGTTGAGTGATTATTTGGTATTTAAGTGTAAATTAACCCATCAGCTATATCACTTATATCCGGCTTCATGCTAAATAGTTTAGGAGGCTAAGTGGTTTGAGAATAAGGCAAAGTGATTTCTTAAAAAGGCATGAAGATCTGAACTGTCAGTTAAAAAGAACAGTATTGAACGCTGCTTTACCAAGATAAGTGACACAGTGCTTAACATAATTTGGCCCTATTTATTATCCTTTCTATGTAGACTCTTGGTAACTTTTTATTTTATTTATTTACTTGTTTGTTTCTTTACTTATTTATTTTTATAGAGATGCAGTTGTTGGCCAGGGTGGTCTCAAACTCCTGGCCTCAAGCAGTCCTCCCACCTCGGCCTCCCAAAGTGCTGGGATTACAGGCAGGAGCCACCATGACCAGCTTGGAACTTTTTAGTGCAACTCTTTTCTATCAGAGTGAATTAATTAATCCATCTCTTTGGAGTGCTACTGCTCTTTCTCTGTGGGGATATAGATCTTTCTAGAAGCACTACAGAGACAGCCCTCTCCATTCTGGACCTCCAGCCTTAGTGGTCAGGGAGAAGCGGAAAAAGGCCTCTGAAGGGAATGTCTTGCATTAATAGGGTTTCTAGAGGAATTCAGATATTGTTGGTCTAACAAGAGCAAGCTCCTTTTTTATGCCTCTGCTGTGTTAACTTAAAAAAAATACAATTTATCAATTTAGAAGAGTAGAAGAGGAGACTTTATTTTTTACAAAGGGTTGTAGCCAGCAAGGTGGCCTTTCTGACAGTCTGGGAAGCATAGTCTGTGGCCAGAAGCCAGAAACAGATACTTCAGAGGAGGGCAAAAGGAACAGGAATGTATGCCAAGTAGAGAGGTCAAACATACATATTCAATAAGCTGTAAAAGGAGTCATGAATATTTATGAAAGGAGAAACGTGCACATGCACAACTGAGCTTCCTGCTTCTTCTCCATGTTCAAAAAATGGCATTGGGAGGGGCGCGGTGGCTCCTGCCTGTAATCCCAGCACTTTGGAAGGCTGAAGGGGGTGGATTGCTTGAGTTCAGGAGTTCAACACCGACCTGGGCAACATGGCAAAACCCTGGCTCTACAAAAAATACAAAAATTAGCTGGGCATGGTAGCATGCATCTACTCGGGTCCCAGCTACTCGGGAGGCTGAGGTGGGAGGACTGCTTGAACCTGGGAGGTGGAGGTTGCAGTAAGCCGAGATCATGCCACTGTACTCCAGCCTGAGCAACGGAGGAAGACCCTGTCTGAAAAAAAAAAAAAAAAAAAAAAAAAAAAAAAAAAAAAAAAAAGGCAGTGATCTGAGGGTGGAGTTTTCAGTCCTCTAATGTCACAAAGTGAAGCAGAGGACATGAAAACCCTTACTGTGCATTCTCCATGGACTGGCCAGAACCACTCCATGGTCTGTGGTCTCAGGCAAAACAGTAGGGGCAGGCGGGGGGATGGTTCACACCGGTAATCCCAGCACTTTGGGAAGTGGAGGTGGGCAGATCACTTGAGGTCAGAAATTTTGAGACCAGCCTGGCCAACATGGTGAAACCCCATCTCTACTAAAAATATAAAAATTAGCCGGGCCTGGTGGTGTAGGCCTGTAATCCTATCTACTAGGGAGCCTGAGGCAGGAGAATCACTTGAAACTGGGAGGTGGAGGTTGCAGTGAGCCGAGATCATGCCACTGCACTCTACCTTGGGCGACAGAGTGAGACTCCATCTCAAAAATACCAAAAAACAAACAAACAAACAAAAACAAAAACAGTAGGGGCAGTGTTGGGTGGTTGGTTCACGTCAGGGGTAACATGATTTTAAACATGATTTAAATGTTTAAATCAAGCCAATAATGATTATAACTATTCCATTGGCTTTAACTTTTGAAAGTGTTGAGTTCTGTTAGGCCCTTAGGGAAGAAAGCCCAATCATGGTTGGCAAGGAAGGGAGTCTGACCCCGGCTCCCATCAGGGCCGAGAACTCTGTTTTCAACGTTACTCAGGGGTCCCCTTGGCAAAGAGATGATCCATTCAGTCCGTTGGAGGCTTGGAGTTTTATTTTTAGTTTACCATTGTTTATGTTGACAAGTTGATTGCTGTTTATGCTATTTGCAGTATGTATAGGTGTTTGGGTCACAGAATCTTAAGAAATAAATATGGACAGTTATATACTGTAGAGAAATATATTCAGAAACATTTGTTTCCTCTCTACTCTATTTTAAATTTGAAGTTAGCCATTTGCTGATTGTGCCATTACATTACAGTTGTAAAATGCAAGTTTAGATACATCTTCAGACACAAACATTTACAAAGCACACTCCAAGATACAACTTTGCACACTCCCAAAACATAGTGACTATTGCTATTTATGGAACTCTATGTTGCTGGTTATAATATCCACTTTGAAATTTCTCATTTTATTCTTTTTTTAAATTTAAAATATTCTCAGTTATTCATAGTCTTAGCCAATCAGTATTTATGCAGTTAAAGATGACAGCTAAAGAAATATTTTAGTTCAAAGGATTTTTATCTTTTGTTTCATTTGGTTTAATTATCTGGCCTCAAACAACTTAAATTCTGGCAGCATTGCTCTTACTCTAGTTCTTAGCCTTGAAAACTTCTTATATATGTCAACTATGTAAATAGCTTTACAGTATCAACATTCTTCTTGTAAGTTCAACAACTTTTATTGACTGGCAATGTTTTATGTAAATTGTAGAGTTATGTTGAAACTTATAAGGCATCTCTTAAATGTTTAAATCAAGGCAATAATGATTATAACTATCCCATTGGCTTTAACTTTCTGCCAGTAATTGTAATTATAATTTTAAAAATCTACATTTATTTATAAAATTTTACCTGGGGGTGTAAAAGCCTTCTCATACTCTATTAAAAAGACCATTATATGCTGTTAAAATGAGTCATGCTGAAATCATTGCTTACAAAGGGTTCATCTAAATGATAATGGGTATAATAAGGAAGTTACAACCTGGTAGTAGAGGTCTTTTTTTCCATCTGGCAAATCTAATAAAACGTGAAAAGACATTAAGTCATGAACAAACACCCAATTAGAAGATCAAATAAACTATGGCCCTAATTTTTTTTTTTTATATCTTTAAAGTACTTTTGGTAACAATTATTAATCTGTATATTCCAAGTAGATACAACCTCAGAAACTTTATAATACAACATTTGTTTTTAGCTTTCATGAGGTTATGTAGCTGATGAGAGAGATAAACATTTTGCCACAGGAAAATGCATATGTGCTTACTTGATTTTACATAAAAATCCCAGGGATCCACAGTTCCCTAGAACTCCTGTTATTATATTGTATTATGTATTGTAATTAAGCTAATTTTTACTAACGCTTTGAAAGTGCCTTGAAAGGTGTTATTTACAAATCATTCTTTATAAACATTGTTGTAGCTTGATATTCAGGCATTTTAATTCATATCCAGGCAGTTGTATCTATTAATAGTTTTTTAGAATAAGCTTTCAGAAAATTTGTATGTAAGTCTGGTCTATGACTTCAAACAGCTTTATTAATCAATCAACATATGTATGGTTAATAATTACTGTCTGGATCTCTTTCAGCAAGTCCAATAACAAAATATTATTTCCTTCTTTTTTCTTTTTGAGATGGAGTCTTGCTCTGTCACCCAGGCTGGAGTGCAATGGCGTGGCTTGGCTCACTGCAACCTCCGCCTCCCAGGTTTAAGTGATTCTCCTGCCTCAGCCTCCCGAGTAGCTGGGACTATAGGTCGGGACTATGCCTGGCTAATTTTTGTATTTTTAGTAGAGATGAGGTTTCACTGTGTTGTCCAGGCTGGTCTCGAACTCCTGACCTCGTGATCTAGCCGCCTTGGCTTCCCAATGTGCTAGGTGTTATTTCCTTATTTTAAAGCTCATTTCTTTACATTCATTGAAGAGTTGGTTATAAACCTAGACGGACACACCAATTTGCATACCATTGTTGGATAGCATGAGTTTTCTGGCATATACATATCTAAACTTTGCAGCCACAACTGGCAGACTACTTTTACATTCCCAGAAGAGTTGATCTAATTATACAGTGGACCAATAGGTCAACTTTCTGTGAGGAGTTTCCAGAGTCTTGCTCATCGTATGTGCCCAGAGAAGTTGTTGGAAGCAACTAGCAAGCCAGCAAGTGGAGGACTTCCTGGTAGCACTCCAGCCACTCAGAGTTGTAAAATTTCCCTGAATATGATCTGTTGTAGTTTCAGTGTAGAGGGTCTATTCATTTTCTATTACTGCATAACTAATTACCATAAATTTAATGGCTTAAAACAACAGCTTATTAGCTCACAGTTCTACAGGTTAGAAGTCCAGACATGACACAGCTAGGTTCCTTGTTCAGGGTCTCACAGGAATAAAATTAAGGTGTCAGCGAGGGCTGTGATTCTAATCTGAGGCTTGGGGTCATCCAAAGTTATTCAGGTTGTTGGCAGGATCTTGTTCCCTGTGGTTGTAGGACTGTGATTGCCACCTTCTTGCTCACAGAGTTGCTCTCAGCTTCTGTGGGCTGCCCACTGTTCCCTACCATGTGGCACCTTCATCATAAAAAGTCAGCAATGGAGAATCTCCTTTGCATGAAATCTCCCTCATGCTTCGAATTTCTCTTTCCAGGAAGAGCCCAGTCACTTTAAGGACTCATCTGATTAGGTCAGGCCCACCAAAGATGTTCTCCCTGAAACAGGAAATTTTCCCTGACCCCTTTGCAGCAGGTGGGAACTGGACTGTGGGCACTGGAGCTAGCTAGCTGCTTTGGCTGGCTTCACTTGCTTGGATCCACTGCACTCCAGCCCTAGTGGGACGGGGAGTGTAGCTGAGTGGGTGCAAGAGCCAGGGCGAGTGCTTCCGGGCACCGGCAAGAGCAAAACTCTGTGCAGGCCCCATGGCAACATCTAGAGGGGGAGTACCTGTGACTCCTGAAGCCCCAGAAGGAGTGTTAACAGTCAGTGCTCTTTTAGTTTTGCTGTCCACGGACAGCTTATGTGTTTAAAGGCTCAGTGAAGCCTCTGCCTTTTTGTGCGGGCAGAGGGTCAGTGTGTTAGCCTTCTGTACCCCGAGCTCTTGTCTGGCATCCAGGAAAAATCAGGTCTCACAAATGAATTTAAGGATAGTAAATGTGGGGGATTTTATTGCCAATGGAAGTGGCTCTCAGCAGGAAGGGGAGCTGGAAAAGGGATGGAGTGGAAAAATATTCTTCCCCTGAAGTCTGGCTGTCTCTGGCCGGACTCTGAAGTCCCATCATCAAGCCATCCCTCTGAAGTCAAGCTGCTTCTCCCCGATGTCCAGCTGTTTCTTCTCCTCTCAATGTTCAGCTGTTTCCTTTTCTCTGCCAGCTGGGTCAGGGGTTTTTATGAGTGCAGGATGGTGGGTGGGACAGGCCATGGGTGGTTTTGGAAAAAGGCAACATTCAAGTGGGAAAACAGGAATGCATGTTCTCACTTTGGGCTGTGGTTCCAGGCTCGAGGGTGGGGCCCTTGCCGGGAACCCCACCCTTTTATGCCTAGAATTTCTCTGCCTCCTGTCCCTATCACCCTTATCTTAAGGTCAACTGATTTGGGCCTCAAATTTCACCTGCAAATCCCTTCACAGTAGCACCTAGGTTAGTGTTTGATTGAAAAACTGGGAAAAGGTGTGTGCACACTAGTGGTGGTGAGGTATCTTGGAGGACACCTTAGAATTCTACCTACCACAGTGGAAGGGCAGGGCCTAGGATCTGACAGGGGAAAAGAGTAGCTAGGACTGTTTTCTACTCTTTAGAAAAAATATCTAAACACATGCAAATTGTGAGAGGACATATCCTGGGTAACTGTCAATGCTGGTAAACCTCATAGAAAGAGACTTTGCCCAAGACTTGGGAAACATGCCCCTGCCACTATCTAATTATGTGATCCCGGTCAAATGATTTAACTTCTCTGGGTTTGGAGCTGAGAGAACCGAATGGATCAGGAATTCCCTACCAGGTAGGAAAGCAGGAGGGAAGCAGCTACCCTAAAGTCAGCTGGGGAGCTTTTTCAAAGCAAGCATTTCTCCTTCCTTCCCAAGATGTCATAACAGTTGGGAGTGGGGAGAGAAAGGTTGAGAAGGGAGGCATGAGTATGTGCAGTGTGGAATTGTTCTTCAGGTCATTCCATCATTCATGCATTCATTCATTCATTCATTCATTCAACAAACATTCATTGACCGTCTACTTTGTGTCAAACACTGTGTTAAGCACTGATAATGTTAGAGTTGTAAATCAAAAATAAAATTCTAAGCCCCTCAACCAACTAAATGGACCCCCTGCTTGGCCCAGGAGATCCCAAAGAAACCTGAAACACTAGTTCAGGCCATGACTGGAAGGTGGAGGTAGAGTAGCCAGACATGCCTCCTTATAACCTCCTCC
This sequence comes from Homo sapiens, assembly GCF_000001405.40. Taxonomy (NCBI): domain Eukaryota; kingdom Metazoa; phylum Chordata; class Mammalia; order Primates; family Hominidae; genus Homo; species Homo sapiens. The sequence goes on from NC_000006.12 coordinate 119,128,074, forward strand.
CTTTGGAGTTTAGGCACAACTGACTACCATTAACATTAAAACAGAGATCTTAAGACTGACAAACAGACTCTTTGTAGCAGTAAGGTATGCAAACCCAGGTTTGGCTGCTAACCCCTGGAAAACCAGACATGAGAGACAAGAATTGGTGGGAAGAAAAGCAGGCTTCTTTGGAAAGCCCGCAAAACCAAGAAGATGGTGGACTAGTCACAAAGACCATCTTAAATTTTAAAATTTTATCATAGGGTTTTTAAAGGGAAACTTGGTATGGGAGATGTGAGGGACTAGTGCAGGATGAAGGGTCTGTATGTTTGTTCTGATGGTTATCTTGGGTAATTGCCTATCTGGAAGTATGTTTGGCATTATTTTGTCTTGGGCCAGATGGTGGTGGACTAATTGTTTGAGACTCCTTCTAAGCAGGATGATTAAGCAGGGGCTCTGTGCCTGGTTTGTTTCAAGATTATCTTCTGAAATTTCTTAAGCAAGAACATAATTAGATAAACATGAGTTACTGGAGAGGAGTGTCTAGAGAGGGAGGGAATAAAAGGGTGAGTGGGGAGGGAAGGAAGAAAAAGAAAATGTGTGATTAAAAATATTTTTAAAACTGAGGCCCCCAGTTACAATAAAATACCAAATTCTAACCTGACTCTGGTATAGCATCGCATGGCAGATAGCAGGCCTGGAAGGAAATCAAGGTATTTTACCCCCAAATATATTTCTTTGACATATTTTGAAATGGTCCTGCAAAGCTGTCTCCTGTGGATGGGGGAGGGGCCCTGGAATTTGCATTCTGTAGAGAATCCCCTTCCCTTACTAGTTTTTTTTTTTCCGGAGAGCCTGACACCTTTTAAGGTCCAATAAAAAACACTGTCTATTCTCTCTGAAGCCTGCTACCTGGAGGCTTCATTTATAAGAACCTTAGCTTCACAATCTCCCTTAACTCAAGCATTTCTTTGTGCTGACTTTAAACTCTTCAGGCAAAACTCAACTCTTTCAACCAATTGCCAATCAGGAAGTCTTTGAATCTACCTATAACCTGGAAGCCCCTCTCTCCCAGATGTCGCACCTTTCCAGGTCGAACCAATGTGTACCTTACATGTATTGATTTATGTCTTTGCCTGCAACTTCTGTCCCCCTAAAATGTAAGAAAACCAAGCTGTAACCCAACCACTTTGAGCACATGTTCTCAGGACCTCCTGAGGATCTGTGGCTGGGCAGAGACACCTAAATGTGATCTGCAGAGGATTGCATAGAGAAAGCTCTGCCTGTGGCTGACATACTGAGAACTAACCTGGGCGCCTTACAGCAAAACCATCCATGAAGCAGATGTGGTGGGGCTTTCCTGATCTTTTAGGGCCCAGATGCATTTCACTGAGATGCATGTTGCCTTTTTCTGAAAGCGTCTCATAATTAGTCTTTACATGTGTTTCAATCTGGTTTCACACTCGTTAACTGCTTAAATTGTAGAAAGCGCATTTTATTTCAGTCCACTAGGGGGAACCAGAGGGATTAGGCATTGGAGCTAACAAGCCTTTAACATTCTTAATACTGTAATTAGAGAAATTTCTAGGGGTTCTCAAAGTGAGCTGACTTTGAGAGAGCTGAATAGGGGGGTGTTTTTTGGTTTCATTTTTGTGTTTTGTGTGTGTGTGTGGGGGGTTGTTATTGTTGTTTTCTTTTTAACTTATTTGCATAAAAGACTATTTTTTAGAGCAATTTTAGGTTCACAGCAACATTGAACAGAAGGGGAGTTTAGAAATATGTAGATTTCCAGCCCTTGCCCCCAATCCACAAAATCAGAAGCTTTGGGGATGTGGCCCAGAAATCTCTATTGTAAAGGTTGGTGGAATATCTGCCTTTGGCAAAAATCTACTTAATTATATAAACTTTAAGCCCACCAGGGGCAGGGACACACTGCAAGTTCCTAGCATCCACAGCAAGATGTACAAACAGAGGCTCGCAAGGTTTTAAACATTTTTTTTTAAAGATAGAGGTGAAATACTTGGAGATTGTCAATATTTGGAGTATGAGTCATATATTTTTCCATGTCAATATTTGGAATATGAGTCATATATTTTTCCAGTTGAACAACTTCAACTGTTAAGCAGAATCCACATAATTTACTTAGAGCCCAAGGAAAATCTGAAAACCACCATTTGAGGAAGACTTCCGGCTCCAGAAATGAAATTTTAGGGAGCCCCCAAATCAGAAAACAGTATATTGTTTCTGAAATAAGCATTTAATGAAAGACTGACAGATTCCTGTAGATCTTATCCAGACTCAGGGAATAGAAATAAATGCCCTAGATTCAATTGCCATTAGACACAGATGTTTCCATAGTATCAAATACATTCTGGCACACTGGCCAACAGACACAAGTTGGAGTTACAGGGAGAAGAGAGGCCATAGAGATTGTCACAGGGGAGGATTTAATACATTCTATCTTCATAAAAAGCAGTTTAGTATAAAATGAAGATACTCATTGATTTATAGGGGTGTATGTTAGATAGCCCAAGTGATATAAAAAAATTAGCAATCTAGTTTAAGAAACACAGAACTGCCTACCCTGATGGACCCTGCTGCACTTTGGAAATTTACAAAGTAATTTGTTTAAACAAACGTCAAATTGCCAGAAATCATATGATAAGACCCGGTCTTCGTAACAGGTCTCTGAAACTCTAGTTTGAATATCAAATAAAAATTCAGAACAATGATTTGCCTTTCCCAAGGTCCACCTGAAGTGGGTATTTGACATAGTGTCCTGCTCAGAATTGTATTTCTTTTTTTCTTTTTTTTTTTTTTTTTGAGATGGAGTCTCGCTCTGCACCTAGGCTAGAGTGCAGTGGTGTGATCTTGGCTCACTGCAACCTCTGCCTCCCGGGTTCAAACAATTCTCCCTGCCTCATCCTCCTGAAGTAGCTGGGATTACAGGCGCCTGCCACCATGCTTGGTTAATTTTTGTATTTTTAGCAGAGATGGGGTTTCACCATATTGGCCAGGCTGTTGTTAGACTCCTGACCTCAGGTGATCCACCCTTCTCTGCCTCCCAAAGTGTTGGGATTACAGGTGTGAGCCACCATGCCCAGCCAGAATTGTATTTCTTGATGCCAATGAATTTCCTAAATCAAAGGTGGAAGGAAATGGCCCTTTACTTCCTCCATCTGAAGACGTAAAGATTCTCAGCTAGTCAGACTTGAAACATTTATCCTAAAATATTCTTCTGGATTAATTAAATAAAACAATAATTTAAAAATATTGCAAGGCTCAGTAATAAGTTGGAATAAATGTGGAAACAAGATTCCTCTCTTTAAGCTTTTACCTGAGGCATCTGGGCAGACTGGTGGCAATCTTAGACTTCTTCCTTATTCTTTTTTCAAAGGTTTGTTTGCCATGTATGGAGGGCACTCATACTTTTATTTATTTATTTATTTTTTGGAGAGGGTCTTGCTCTATTGCCCAGGCTGGAATGCAGTGGTGTGATCACGGCTCCCCGCAGCTTCAACCTCCTGGGCTCAAGCGATCCCCCTACCACAGCCTCCTGACTAGCTGGGCACACAGGTATGTGCCACTATGCTAGACTAATTTAAAAAATTTTTTTTTTGTAGATACTGGGTTATTGCCCAGGCTAGTCTCAAATTCCTGGACTCAAGCCATCCCCCCACCCAGCCCCCCAAAGTATTGGGATTACAGGCATGAGCCACTGTGCCCAGCCTTATACACTTTTATAACCTAACCTACTATAACATAAAATAAAATCCTGTATTGTGTTTTGTGCTATAGATACATTTTAATACAGGAAGACAGTGGAGTATTGGAAGATGTGGTAAGGAGAGTTATAGGGATAAAGCTATTCTTTAATTTATTCTCAAACTAACATTTGGAAAAGAGGTTATATGAGAGAGAACAGTATAGTTTTTAATACTCAAATCTTCCAAGGAAAGCTTGTAAATGAATAAAATTCCATTTCTAGCTAACTTGGTTATATTTCCTTTCTTGCATAACCATGCCTCATTTTAAGAGTAAAATTTTAAAAACTTTGCTCCCCCATAAAACATTCCTTCATTTGTTTATTTCTGTTTTGAAATAACAAATGCCAAATTCTGTGTAGGTTTTAATGATATTGAGTGTCAGAATATTTATCATTTCTCTCATAATAATCAATTTACACTGTTAGCCATCCTGTAATAACTGCAAAATCAGTTTTAGTCTCTTACCTGCCCCTTTCTGCTAAGAGTTTATCTTCTATCAGCCTATGGTTGCAAATGCAATGTAATTTGCAGTAAGCTGGTTGGCAGCAAATCGTGGTAAATCCTACTAGCTGGCTTGGCTAGAGGACAAGAGCTCTTGTTTGAGGTTCTGATACAACTCAGCCACAAGAGAGCATTAAAATTGTCATCTGGTGCTACAACAGCTGCCTGGATCCCAGTCTCTGTAATTCATGCACTCAAAATCCACATTTTTGAACAGAAAGGTAATTACAATTGTAAAGGCCACTTTTCATTCATTTGCAAATTTTTTTAAAAAACGTACTCATCTATTTTCCCACACATTAGCCACCCCTTACTCTGCCCTGTCTATTCTACCTCTGAGAGACATTTCTAACGGACTTACAGCTCTCTTTTCTTTTGAATGAGGATGTAGCTGTCTAATCTTTTGCAACACAGTGACCCAAGTCATTGCTGCAAATTCTTGGAAGTTGGCACGTGAGGTGAAATCTACTTATTAGCCTGGCTTTGAGCTGCAGCTTTCAGGAATATTAGATTTCAATTAACTTTTCCCTTGATAGCGAGGAGCTTAGAAGGTGGGTTGACTGGGATGCAGATGTTCACATGAGGCCCCATAATTTTAATCAACTCTAAGAGTTGAAATATCAGGGGACAAAGAGTGAAATCAGGCAAAGAGCGAAATCAGATAGGATTTGTTCATAAATACTACTGGTTTGAGGCTTCTCACTGAGTTGAAGAACTGGGCCGTAGTAAATCTTATTTGATTCTGCTTGTTTATACTCAATTGTGGATATTTTGTGGGATCAATGAGGTAAACTCATCAGAGGTCTGAGAATTAGCAAAGTCTTAGGAGGAACCATGTGTTCAGAAGAGAAAGCTTGACAAAGTGTTTGGTGCATAAGTTCTACTAGTTGGTTGTTGCCAACTGCATTCTACAGCTCAGTTCCTATATAGGCTTTTTTGGTGTGAGTTTGATTTATTCTGAATTGTTTTACTAGTTTATTATAAATTATATTAATTGAGGATTGATAAAAGTAATTGTCACAGCTTAAGATCCCTAGGAAGACTCCGAAATGGAGATTAACATGCAGGAGGGTTATTAGGGAGTGTTCTTGTTGTTAGCACCTATGGAAAGGAAAGGAAGGAAGTAGGATTGGGCAGAAGTAAGAGAAGCGGGGCTGCAGTAGAGCCAAGGGAAAGCCTCAGCCTACCCTACAGAGAGCTCTGAAACTAGACTAGCTCTTTGTAGTTGGCCTGACTTGCGGTAAGTTGGGCCTTTGTACCTCATGTTAACCAGTTACCTGAGGTAGGCTGCCCCAAGAAATGGGTGTGATGTGGGCAAAGTGACTTTGTTCAGCTGAAGAAGGCTGACCGTTGAGGGCTGTCTGCCAGCAGCACTCTTAGCTGCTGGGAGAATTACTTCACCTCAGAAGGGGGTCCTCCAAGTCACATCACAGTGTCTCTCAGTGTCTCTTACAAGTACACAGGTGCATACCACCACACCTGGCTAATTATTATTATTACGATTTTTAATTTTTTTTGTAGAGACAAGATCTCATTATGTTGTCCAGGCTTGTCTCAAACTCAAGTTTGATCTTTGGGAGGCCAAAGCAGGGCTCAAGTGATCTTCCTGCTTTGGCCTCCCAAAGTGTTGGGATTACTGGTGTGAACCCTCATGCACAGCGAGTAAGCATTTCTTGAAGAAGACACAAAAGTGCAAAATACACAGGAAAAGATTAATACACTCAGTTACGTTAAGACTAAAAATCAGGTCATCAAAAGACGTAATAATGAGAATAAAAAAGATAAACTAAAAATTGGGAGAAGGTATTTGCCACTCAAACTATTGACAAAAGATTAGTACCTAGAATATAAAACTTTGAAGAATCAATATAGAAAAGACAAACTAATACAAAAATGGGGAAAACACAGGAACTCTTAAAAAAGGGGAATACAAATAGTCTATAATCTTAGGAAAATGTCAACCTCATTGGTTATCAGGGAAATGCAAACTCAAACTAAACTGTGCGGTACCAGTTTTCAGTTATCTTTTTCTCCTAAAGATATTATTGCACATCTAATAGATTGATACAAATTTAAAAGTCTATTGCGGGGGGTGCCAAGATGAGAGGATTGCTTGAGTCCCGAAGTTTGAGACCAGCCTGAGCAATGTAGAGAGACCCTACCTCTCCAAAAAATAAAAGTAAATTAGCTGGGCATGGTGATGTACACATGTAATCCCAGCTACTCAGGAGGCTGAAGCAGGAGGATCACTTGAGCCCAGGAGGTCGAGGCTGTAGTGAGCCATGATCATGCCACTGCACTTTAGCCTAGGTGACAGAATGAGACCTTGTCTCAAAAAAAAAAAAAAAAGAGAAAGAAATAAAAAAAGAAAAAAAAGTGTATCACTTCTTATCATAAAAGGACACAATATACTCACTGAGATCACATGGGAAAAACTCACAGGCAGAAGAGTTAACAGAATGTGAGTCCTCCATCCTCTTGACATCTTTCTGGGGAGAGAGAGGTTCCAGGGGCATTAAATCATGTTGGCTCTCCTCAATCCAAGGGTGTGGAGCAATGGAAACACTATCCCCTGCTTGTGGGAATATAAACTCCTATAACCATGTCCAGAAATTTTTGCAATATTGCATTTTGCATATTGGAGAGTTGAACCTGTGCCTAACTTTTGATCCAGCAATTCCCTCCTAGTACGTTCCTTAAAAATACTTTCGTACATATGCACTAGAAAACATGTTTGCAGAAGCCTTACTCTTAAGAACAAAAAGTAATAAATAATACATAAATGGATAAACTAATTGTGGTATACTTATACAGTGAAATACTACTGAGTAATGCAAAACGAATGAACTACAGGTACATGTATCAACCTAGAAAACAATATTAAACAAAAGACTCAAGTTGCAAAGGAATGTGCACAATATATTTTTTTAGCGAGCCATATATATGACATAAAAATATACAGAAAAGAGAATGGTCAATACCCAATACAGAATGGTAGTTACATCTGTGGGAGAGGGATCAGGAAGTAAATGGAGAGGAACACACAAAAGGCTCTAAAGAATTGGTAATGCTGTGTTTCCCAAAGACCATTAAGAGCTTATTATTATTCTTTAAACTCTACAGATACATTTTAGACAATCTTTTTGTAAAAATGATATGCTTCACAATAAAAAAATTACAGTATTCCTTCAAAAAGACATAATTTAAAATGGAAGGGCTATTTCAGTGAGTGAATGAATGTTCTTAAATATTCATCACAACACATCAAGCATCTCCCCATCTTCCATTCCTCCCTGTCAGAATAGAAAAGTATAAATGGACTGAGCCTGGAAAAGAGAGTTGAGTTTCCACAGTTCACAAATGTTACTACAAAAGTCTTGGTAATTTGTTCTCAGAATTCCCTCAGAGAAGAGCTAAACTAGAATAATAAGCTCAGATCCATACTTCACGCAAAAGAAGATTAGAATTTGGTTGAAATTGATTCACCAGGTGAATTCTACTATTTTTTAGGTCTGTAGCATTTTAGTATTAAAATATTAAAATATATATTATTCTTTTTATTCTCCTAAATGTTCAAATGTTTCAGAATAGAAATCTTATCAACTCTGTTGTTACCCAGATGGCCCTAAATATTAGGGTTTTCCTGCCAAAAAAAAAAGCAGAAAGAATATTTCCAGGCCGGGCGCGGTGGCTCACGCCTGTAATCCCAGCACTTTGGGAGGCCGAGGCGGGTGGATCATGAGGTCAGGAGATCGAGACCATCCTGGCTAACAAGGTGAAACCCCGTCTCTACTAAAAATACAAAAAATTAGCCGGGCGCGGTGGCGGGCGCCTGTAGTCCCAGCTACTCGGGAGGCTGAGGCAGGAGAATGGCGTGAACCCGGGAAGCGGAGCTTGCAGTGAGCCGAGATTGCGCCACTGCAGTCCGCAGTCCGGCCTGGGCGACAGAGCGAGACTCCGTCTCAAAAAAAAAAAAAAAAAAAAAAAGAATATTTCCAGAAGTATACCACATTTTTTTCTAATGTGTATACTAATCACTAAAATTGTAAAAGTAAAATTCTTGCCCAATTATAGATATCTTTCAATATGTGTATGTATTTTAGTTGCATAATGATATCAAGATAATTTATTGGCATTAAAAAAATTGGCAGCGCAGATTTGATAGACCCATGTGTCACTGAGAGTTTTTTGGGTGGAAGCAACCAAATCCAAATCTGACTAGTTCAAACTAGAAAAGATTTTTTGGAAGTTTATGGACTGTTTCATTAAATTGAAGAAGCAACTGACCAACCAGGCTTTGGAAAGGGTAGGAATTAGGGTAGCTCCAGGAATCTAGATAATGGGACTTGTCGGGCAGTATTTGTTCCTAGATACTATCATGAAAATAAACTCGCTTCAGTATTTTTTCAATTCTTGTGTCACTGTGCTTAACTTTCAAATTCCTGCTACTGTCTGGCCTGGTTTGGGCCACATGCCCGTTTCTTGGCAAGAGAAAAGTATGGCATAATTGACAGTTCCACCAAGACGGCTACAGTAAGAGGGTTGACATGGTGCTGGGAGAAGTCTGGGATTGTCCAAAGGAAAACCAAGATGCTGTTACTAAAAAAATGGGGACATTGATGCTGGACTGGCAAAATTGCAGATAGCTACTATAACCTCTTTAGCAGAAATTAATTTTGCTGTAATCTTCTTATCCAGAATAATTGTACAATTTATATTAGTGCTACAAACATCTGGGCACTGTCCCAGTCTGCTCAGCTGCCATCACAAAAAACTATAGACTAGGTGACAGACTGTTTAAAGTAGAAATTTATTTTCTCACAGTTCTGGAGGCTGAAAATCTGGGATCAGGGTGCCAGCCTAGTCTGGTTCTGGTGAGGGCTCTCTTCTTGGCTTGCAGAGAGCTGCCTTCTAACTGTGACCTCACATGGTCTTTCTTCTGTGTGTGTGTGTATGTGTGTGTATGCTTGTGTGTGTGTGCACGCCAGATAGAGAGAGACAGAGAGAGAGAAGAGAGATAAGAGAGAGGAAGAGCTCTTTCTCCATTTTGTTATAAAACCAGTCCTATCAGATTAGGACCCCACCCATATGTCCTCATTCAACCTTAATCATCTCCTAAAAGCCCTATCTGCAAATACAGTCACAATTGGACCTCATTTAATCTTAATTACCTTCTAAAGACCTTATTTCCAAATACAGTCACATTGGGGGTTAGGGATTCAACATAAGAATTTTCAGAGGACACCATTCAGTCCACAGTAGGCACCTACTATGGGACTCAGAATTTGCTAACTCATTTTTGATAATCTTCTCATTCTTATGCACAAATATGATTGCAAAATCCAGTGAGTGAGCACCAGCCATTTCCTGAGTCATCTGTCAGGGGTTTGTCAGGTTCTATGGGGTTTACTGCTGTTGGCAGTCCTGTCTCTCCTCCTCCTGGACCAAGAAACCCTGTCCTCAGAGCCAAGGCCCTGTCTCCGATGTCTACGTGCCAGGCTGGCTTGTTTGAGTCTATTACTATTCTGTAGTTCAGCTCCACAGCAGTCACTGCTCCAGTCTTTGTAGTGTTTCCTCTTCTGTCTTGCAGATACCCCAACAGAAATTCTTAGCAAGGCCGGGTGGAATAGCAGACAGATGTGGAAGTCAGAACAGCTGTGTTCTATCCCTAGCTCCGGCACTTAGACAAGCTATATGAATTTAGGGAAATCACTAACTTTCAGTAAGTTCTTTTATGCCATGAGTGTGCATTGCTGTCTTTCAAGTTTTGTGCTAGGTATTGAGAAGTCAGTGATACATACTATGAAGGAAACATATAGAATGCTATGAGAGCATGAGGATTGGGGGAGTGCAGTTGTTGTAGGATCAAGTGAGATATGTGAGCTACCCAAATTCAAATGACTACTTTGGGATCTGGAGTTCACTGATTTCTTTAATAGAAAGTACTGTTTTTCAATTTCCTTCCTTTGTTAGTTTCCTGCTGCTGCTATAACAAATTACCGCAAACTTGGATTAAAACAGCACCAATGTATTATCTTAAAGTTCTAGGGGTCAGAAGTCCAAAATGTGTCTCACTGGGCTAAAATGAAGACATTCTCAAGGCTGATTATGCAAGCTCTTGGGGAGAATTCATTTCCTTACCTTACCAGCTTCTAGAAGCGACCTGCCTTCCTGGCACATGGCTGCCCTCCATCCTGAAAGCCAGCAATGGCCAGTCAAGTCTTTCTCACATTTCACCACTCTGACACACTCTCTCCTTCCTCGCTCTTTCACTTATTATTATTATTATTATTATTATTATTATTATTATTATTATTATTTTTGAGACGGAGTTTGGTTCTTGCTGCCCAGGCTGGGGTGCAATGGGGCGATCTTGGCTCACCGCAACCTCCGCCTCCTGGGTTCAAGCAATTCTCCTGCCTCAGCCTCCTGAGTAGCTGGGATTTACAGGCATGTGCCACTACGCCTGGCTAATTTTGTATTTTTAGTAGAGACGGGGTTTCTCCATGTTGGTCAGGCTGGTCTTGAACTCCTGCCCTCAGGTGATCTGCCCTCTTCGGCCTCCAAAATGCTGGGATTACAGGCATGAGCCACCGCACCCAGCCCCTTTCATTTATAATGATTCTTGTGGTTATATCAGGCCTACCGGAATAATCTAAAAAACCTCCCCATCTCAAGATCCTTCACTGAATCTCATCTGCAGAGGCCCCTTTGTCATGCACGGTAGCAGATTTCACAGGTTCTGGGGGCCAGGACGTGGACCTCTCTGGGGATGGGGCTTGGTCCTGCCCACTCCTCTCCCCATGTAGCTCAAATCATGAAACAGAAGTGGTTTTATCTGCTTTCCTTTTAGTTTTGTTCTCAGTGGATAACTAAGCAGTAAAGTGACTGAAACACAGGGACAACCAAAGCTAAATCAGCCTCTTTCTCTGGTGCCTGAAGAGTTTCAAAAGAAGCCCAGAGAGCTTGCTCTTTATTAGAAAGTCAAGTGTCAAAACCACAGGCCTCTCTGGAGCGGCTGGGGAGAAGGGCCCAGCAGTTTGTTTCTGGTTATCACACTTAACTCACTGTTCTCAGAATATTCCAGCCAGTATCTGGAAATCTTTAACTGTGAGTGCTCTGTCGAGGAAGATTTCCTACCTACAGGGATACTCGTGGGGAGAAAAATTAGGCACTTTAAAGAAAATCCCTGACATGTTTTACAGCAGAGACAGGAAAAAATTCAAGTGAATAAGAAAAGATATGGAACTTATTTCCTCATGGGAGACAAGATTCTCAGCAATTTCTTAAAGTATTATACGTTCTCATAATGTTGTATATTTAAAGTAAAAAAAAAAAAAAACCACTGGGGATATTTGGTGACCCATTTAAAACTAAATTAATTGGCATTTCATTGTCAGGGTCCAGGCTGTAGTTTTACAAATCTCTCTCTCTGGCACTTTTAGAAAAGCAGCTTTGAAAAAGAAGCAAAGGGTTGTCTTCACGTCCTCTTTTTTTTCCTTCGAGCAAATGACTAGAGTTTCCTGATTCCAGGTAAGAAACTGCCAATTCAATCACAGCAAGTGAAAAATTAACCCTTTCAGATGCACAAGTGTGTGAGATGTGAGTGAATTCTGCAGCTGCTGCCATCATCTGTGCTCACTCCCCAGCTTTGAGCAGTGGCGCCTTGCTGGGGCTGCCCAGGGTGGCTTGGACCTCAGGCCGCTGAGTGAGAGGGCTTAAGGACTGGCAGTGGGGAGTTGCTAAAAATGTGTGGGTCTTCATCTGTAAAACGGATTAGTAAAAAAATATGTGTGGGTGAAAGTGGGCTTAAGAGGGAGCTTGGGTACTAGAATGTTCAAGAAGGCAAGGTCATCCAGGAGGAAAATGGTGCAGTCTGCCCTCATGAGTTGCCTTGGGTGTGGTAGGGAGAGGACATTGAGGATGTAAGGGAGTACCAAGAAAGGGGAGCAGGAGAATGCATTTTCTGGCCACGTGTCTTTATTGTTTGCCATTTCCCATGCTAGTGGGTTGTCTGATCAGATTTGCTTCTTCAGTGAAAATGATTCTCCACTTTCCCTGGCCTCATGAGAGAGCCCCTGGGAGAAGCAGTGAAACTGACTTCAGACAGGATGGGCCTCACCTTTGAAGGACAAATGCACAGGAGCTACCCAATATGCAATATTCACTTTCCCAAACTCACAGGGCGTTTCTTTCTTCCTTTCTCAGCCATTTTCGGAACCATGCTCTCCGCTTTCTTTCAGTCCTTGTAATCAGCATCATCTCATCCGCACCTTTCAACCACTGGCAACACAATGCCTGCAATCTGGTTCCCTCGCCTTCCTTCTCTGCTGTTGCAGTTTGAAGTCTCAAGGGCACCAGCAGAACAGAGGCTGCTTCTGCCAGAAATTGAGTCTCCTTTCCCACACTCCAAGCAGGAAAACCGGTGAAAGGGAGGCGAGGGAGGGTCTCTCTTTCTCTTTCAGAATCCTGGTATGAGAACCCTGCTAGGATTTACACACAGCACTTTATTTTGCATCGTGGTCTACAGCCACTGTCTTTTCTATTAACGCTAGAATTGATTCACTAGGTAATAAATGGAGGAATCCTCCCCAGGCTTTCCAGCAAAATTACTTATGCTATTAGTAGCATTAAGCAGGCGTTGACAACTGGAGATAAGCCACCTGATGTTCTGTCTTCTGGGATATGTGGAAGCCAAGGCTACTTTATATGACCCGGAGTAGGTGATAGGGACAAAGGAGAATGTAACCATTTGCATCTCAAGTCCTTTTCTAAGATTTGGTCATATTAGAAATTGCTCTTTAATTCTTTTACTAGAGAGCCACAGCTCATTAAAACTAACTAGACCCAGAGAGCATAAAATAACAACACTTTAAAACTCAGTCTTTGCCTTAGGGTTTAGCAACCTGCCTAGTCGAATTGCCCTGGTGTTGATCTTACAGCAAAGATGCCTCTGTAAATAAATCACCAGGTGGCCCTGTCCAAGCCTCTGAGAAGTTTGTGTCACTGAGTTTGTCACTTCTTCCTTCTGGCTGGTTGCAGCTCGACAGTCGAGTGCAGCGTTGGCACCAACCGGAGGGGCCTGGATGCAGGGCTGCTGCCTGCTGCATGGCGTGGGCGGGGGGAGGATCCAGGGAATCCTTTGCCTGAACTCCTTTATTTTATTTTATTTTATTTTTTTTGAGACAGAGTCTGGTTCTGTCGCCCAGGCAGTGGCGCGATCTTGGCTCACTGCAGTCTCTGCCTCCCAGGTTCAAGCGATTCTCCTGCCTCAGCCTCCCGAGTAGCTGGGACTACAGGTGTGTGCCACCATGCCCGGCTAGTTTTTGTATTTTTAGTAGAGATGAGGTGTCACCATGTTGGCCAGGCTGGTCTTGAACTTCTGACCTCAAATGATCCACCTACCTTGGCCTCCCAAAGTGCTGGGATTACAGGTGTGAGCCACTGTGCCCGGCCCCTGTGCTCCTTAAAAAAAAAGTACATCTTGGGGCCCCAGAGCTGCATGTTGTGGAAAGAAGCTGTGTGATAAATATTCAGTAGCACCTATTCCAATAGAGGAGCTCAGAGAAATTTGAAGTAAAAATACTTTATTATTTTCTTACATCATCTCCTTAAAGGAATCACACAACAAATCCTGTCTAAGCCCAAATAATCACCCCTTAATTGTATCTCTTCTATAAATGCTGATTTTCATATGTTTGAGAATGGTTATTCCTCTAGAGTGCAGGGCACCTGGGTATGTCAGCCATTTAGCAGCAATATAGTTAAAGCGTTGAGAGTTAATCATTCCCATCCCTGCTCCCAGCAAATCTATTTTGTATGCCCCAGCTTGGAGAATGTTATGCAGGACTCGGGCGAACATCTGAAGACAATATATCAGCTAGGCAGCCCAAGCCTCTCTAGGGTGTGGTATTTATGGATGTGGTGACTACTGAGTCGGCCGGGAAAGGACGTAATGACCTCGAAGCCCTGATGGTGTCACTTCCCAAGATCATCCCAGGCGCACTGTTTCTTCTAGGACAAGGAGGATAACGCAATGCAGCAGAGGGTGTATTCTTCAGAGACCAAAGGCCACAACAATTAGAAAGTTTCTAAAACCAGGCTTGATCTACTGAAGTCCACACTTAACATTCTTCATCCTCCCAGGTATGAAAACGACATTGAACATTTAACAACTCACAGTGAATGCAGACCCAGTTGGAACTAGAGTGGAACTCAAAAAAACAAGTATGGATTTAACATCGCGAGTCAAGCAGCACAGGGAGAAGGACGTTCTTGCATTCAGAAGACAAACAAGCTAAATGTCAGTTTAGCCATGTCCATTACTCCTCTCCAGTACGAAGCCTCAGCATCTACAAAATGCACTTAATTCTCATAGACCTCCTGGAGGAGGAGTGTTGTGGTTGAATTGTGTCTCCCCGAAAGATATGTTGAAGTCCTAACCTCAGCAGCTGTGAATGTGACCTTATTTAGAAATGGGTCTTTGTAGATGTAATCAAGTTAGGATGAAGTTATACTGGATTAGGATAGCCCCAATCCAATTATTGCTGACCGGATAAAATGAGGGAAATTTAGACACACACAGAAAAAGCACGCCAAGTGAGAACACAGACACTCAAAAGGAAGATGGCAAACAATGGCGATATATAGCTATAAGCTGAGGGCACCAGGGGTTTCTGGGAATCACCAGAAACTAGGAGGGAGGTATGGGGCAGATTCTCCCTAAGGGCTCCTAAGAAGGAACCAATCCTGCTGGTACCTTGATTTTCAGCTTTTAGTTTTCAGAACTGTGAAAGAATACGTTTGTGTTGTTTTAAGGTACCCTGTTTTTGGTACTTTGTTGAGGCATCTCTAGGAAGCTAATACCATGATTATTCCTTTAGTAGGAGAAACAAACACAGGTTTCAGAGATGTTAAAGAAATTGCCTAAGATTGCACAGCTGGTAAATGATTAACATAGAGAATTAAAATCCAGGGTTGTGACTTCAAATCCTAGATCCTTCCCCCAACATGAACTTGCTTTATGAGATGCAGAGAAGCCCACATTGTCCTGTTCAGAAAATCCACTAATCTATATCTCTGAAAACAGTTGGCATGGAGGTGAGTAAAACAAAAGATGTGCAGCAATTCCACATCTGGGTATATGCTCAAAAAGAATCAAAATCAGGGTCTTGAAGAGATATTTGTGCACTCGTGTACACAGCATTATTCACAATAGCCAAGAGGTGGAAACAATCGAAGTATCCCACAGCAGATGAATGGATAAACAAAATGTGGCCTCTACATGAATAGAATATTATCCAGCCTTAAGAAGGAGTGACGTTCTGACACATGCTACAGCTTAAATGAACCTTTAGGACATGACGCTAAGTGAAATAAGCCAGTCACAAAAGGACACACACTGTACGATCCCACTTGGATGAGAGGCATCTAGAGTAGGCTAATCCAAGATGAGAATTAGGAATTATTTAATGGGTTTAGAGTTTCAGTTTTGTAAGAAGAAAGAGTACTGGAGATTGGTTTGACAACAATGCCAGTGTAGTTAACAATACTGAACTGTATACTTAAACTTGATTAAGATGGTAAATTTTATATGTGCATTGTACAACATTTAAAAAGAGAGAGAGAGAAAGAGATGTGCATGGGGCTTTTTCTGATAACAGCATTATTAGCTTGGCCTAGATGTGAGAAGGCAGTCTGATAGAACAGGCTGGTTTCCTCATTCAAGGAAATATTGTTTCTCACGCCTGTAATCCCAGCACTTTGGGAGGCCGAGGCGGGTGGATCACGAGGTCAGAAGATCGAGACCATCCTGGCTAACGCAGTGAAACCCTGTCTCTACTAAAAATACAAAAAAAAAAAAATTAGCCGGGTGTGGTGGCGGGCGCCTGTAGTCCCAGCTACTCGAGAGGCTGAGGCAGGAGAATGGCGTGAACCTGGGAGGCGGAGCTTGCAGTGAGCTGAGATAGTGCCACTGCACTCCAGCCTGGGCCACAGAACGAGACTCTGACTCAAAAAAAAAAAAAAAAAAAGAAAATATTTTTTCTGCCTGCCTGGGACTTGCGTCCTATGGAAGCATTCACAGAAAGGGGGCTGCCTAAATTGCTCCAGTGGGGCCTGGAAGCCGACAGCTCTGACAGGTGCTGGCTTTGCCCTTCACGCCGGCACACACTCTGCCACTGTTAGTCCAAACTGCTGTTAGAGTCAGCGTGGCTCAGGTGTTTAGCATCTGCTCCTGAGACTGACAGTGCTAGGTTCTTTTCTCAAAAGACTTGGGGAACAAACTCTTTCTTTGCTAGTAGGTGAGCGATTCTAATTGCATTTCTTCTTTATTTTGCTAGCTTGTGGTGAAGATAAAAGTCATGAGAGTCTTTTCTATGGACTGTCCCTGCCTCCAAAAGCATGCTGCTTAGTAGCAGAGCTCTGGCTAAGAAATGGGAGACAGTGCTGAGCTGCTGCCAGCTCCCGTGACGTGCCCCCTGGCCTAGGGGGTGGTAGATGGGTGGTATATGCCTCTATTTTGTTTGCACCCCTGCTTGTCTTTGTGTCACTGACATACACATTCACAGTCTGATTTACTTAATGTCTGCAACTAATTCTACTGAGAGTTTACAGAGTGCAAAAGGGCATCATAGATCAAGCAACATCATCGCGTTATGTGATAAATGTATTGGTCCTTCTCTGTCTGGCTCTCCAGGTCCACTCTCCACCCTTCTCTGCTGACCTCTAGGCATGGCATGTCCAGTGCTTCCCTTGTGCTGTAGCTGCAGCTGGTTTGTTCTTGAGTGGCACTGGCCAGAGATTGGCAGGCAGGAGGAGAATCCATCCATGGCAGGTATTCTCTCTGCTCCCTCTCTGCTGGTCCCTACCAACATCGAGACCCCTGTGGAGGGTTGGGTGGAGTGGCCTATCATGGCCACCTCTCTCCCCAGGTTGCAGCAACAGCTTCCTCCCATTGTCTGCTAGGCTGTAGGGGTGTAAGAGCTTCCTGTTGTTGCTAGGCCCTGGGAGATAACTATCTTTTATTGGCTTCTTTAGCTCTTACCCACACTTCTGCAAATACACCCTTCTGTCATTAAACCCTTCAATCACTCCTTTGGGTACGATCTGATTCCTGCTGGGACTCTGACTCAGTGAGTGCCAGGAAAAAAATACCACAGAGAACCAAGGGGCTAGGAAACAGCAAATAATATCAAAAATAAAAGTGAAAAGTTGGTTGATACACTTAGGTTCACTGCCTCACTGGCTGGCGTTTTTGACATGAAAGGCCCTTTGGCTTGGTTTCTTATTTTCAGTAGTCTGCAAATCTTTTAAGGCATCCATCCTCTGTATATTTCAACCACATTCCTCTCCACAAATAAGGCGTGAGTGTTTTGAGGACCAACTATTAGGAAGAGTTATGCACCAGTGACCCAATTCAAAAGGATAATAGTAATCATACTGATAACAGTGACAGCTAATATTAATATTTATTGTTTATCATATACCAGGCATTGTGCTAAATCTTTAGGTATCATCTCACTGAATCTTCACATCAGCTCCATTAAGCAAAAACATGATTTTTACAGGGAAGGAAATCAGACTTACAGAGGCTAAATATTTGCACATGATTTTACAGCTAGAAGTTGAACCGAGGCAATCTGACACCAGAGCCAGAGCTCTTAACTAGTATTGCACAGGTATTTCCCCAAATGTGGCACTAGTACCACTAGCGGCATAGGAGACCATCTGGGGACAGTCTATGGGTGAAGAGTTTGATTTGTTTAGTTATGTATTTATAGTTAGGATTACCTTCTATTTATGACAGGTGATATTGACTTTTCATTTTCAATAGTGATATAATTTCCCTTTCAAAATAAATATAATTAAAAATAAATAAATAAATTTAAAGGAAAACATTGAGGAACTATGTAGGCTGAGTATAGATATGGCCAAAATTAATGACTGAAATTTGGGGAACTCTGTACATTCCACACTGGCCCGCAGTGTGCTCCACATGTTCACACAGAACAAGACTGCTAGAAATGAGAAAAATTATATACCATCTGCTCTTCAGTGCCTTTCCCGATTAACTTACGTGTGTGTGTGTGTGTGTGTGTGTGTGTGTGTGTGTGTGTGTGTTTATTTGGAGACAGAGGCTCGCTATGTTACCCAGGCTGGAGTGTGGTGACGTGATCACAGCCCACTGCAGCCTTGAACTCCTGGGCTCAAGCGATCCTCCTGCCTCAGCCTTCCAAGTAGCAAGGACTACCAGTATAAGCCACTATGCCTAGCTTAAATCACCCATATTTTCCCATTTCCAGATACTATTCATAATACAGTCAGTTTTGCTATAACTAGGGTTTCGGTGTCACCAATTGGCTCATATGAATTTGACAAATAAGGAATAATGTCAGCATAGTATGGGGGTTGTTGGTCGACATGTATCTTTTCCCAGATGAGAGATGCTGTAAAAATGGGAGTAGAGTTAAAATCACTAGCAGGAAAGGAATAGTCACCCTCTCCCCTGGTGCACAGATTGGAGCTCTTCCAACTCTCCTTGAATTAAAAAGGAGTGCCTGTACCCAGGGTTTCCTCCCAGAGATGTGCACCCCCAGGCTTGCATTTATAGCTCTTGCCCTTTCCACATGATAGTCACTACATTCCAGAAAAAAACAAATGTAGTTTATTATCAGGATAGAGCCAGGGCCCCAAACCCTAGTTAGAGGCACTAAGACATCCAGCGGGGGCAGTGGCAGGCTCTGTTTTTTTTTTTTTTGTTTTTTTGTCTCCCAGATGCCTACAAAATGTGCCACCCTAACATCAATACCACGAACACAAGCACCACTTCCTCCTCTTTCTCCTGAATCTGAAGTCTCTTCCAAGTTCCTCATCCAGTCATGACTAAGGCAGCAAATAATCAAGTTGCTTCAGCTACATAGTAGTGGCTGGAAGAGGGTTTAGCGTGGGTGCATCCTAGCTGTGGGTCTGATCGATGATACAACCTGGTATTAACCGCTGGGCTTCCAACTGGTCCTGTCCCCTTGAAGACTTGATTCTGACTGGGGATAGGGTGGGGTGGGTGGGGCCTTTTGCCAATTCCAACTCCTCATTGTTTGCTGACATAAGATGAGGGCTCCCAACCCCCACCACCTCTTGCCAGGCTGATCCTTGCTTGAGTCATAGCAGGGATGACTCAGAGATGATAGACTGAATCTAGAAACAGACCAGACCACATGTAAAAATAGATCTTTGACCCACTCTCTGTACCAGAGAAGGAAACCAACCCCCTTATGTACAATAAATAACCCAGGAAGTCAGCCTGCTCGAACTCAGACTTGTAGGAAGCCAGGCTGCTGTCTCTGGTGACAATCCAGGAAGCTGAACAATAACTTCTGTAACAATCAGCCAGAAATGGCCAGGACCTGATTAATAACGGACAGCTTCCCTAACTTTTGTCACCATTTTAAATTTAGGAACAACCAGAGAAAGCCAAATCTGTACCTACCCCTAACCAATCACACAGTGTGCCCTGCTTCCAGTTAGCCCACCTGCAGCTTCCCCAGGCCAACAGCCTCCCATCAGGGCACACCTCAAGACTTCCCTTTTTTTCCACTCTAAAGCTTTCCCAGTGCTTTGCCTGTGATGGGGTCTCTGACAAAATGCAAGTGATGGTGGCCAACTTCATTGCTATAGCAAGCTCAGAATAAATAGCCTTTGCTTTTTCTCATTTGGTTGGTCTTTGTCTATTTCCATGGAACCTATAACCTGCTTACTGTCAACCCACCCACCCTAGTTCCCTGCCTAGCAATGAAACTCCATACCTCAACTTCTCCTATATGGACAAGATTTCTTCCTCTGCTGGGAAGAAGATCGTGGCCAGGAGAGTGTCAGCAGAAGCACTTTCCTGGGAAGGAGCCCAGGCAGGGCTTGGCTGGACTTCTGGTGATCTCCTGAGTGAGGTGCATGGAATGCCTGTCTTCTTCTAAGAGCCAGTGACCAGGGAAGACTGTAACTGGGTTTTAGCTCCAGTTGCTATTTTATTTCCCAGTCCCACCTACCCCACGAGAGTTGGAGCCTAGCCACATTCTTCTCAGTGATGAAAGTGTTGCGTATGAACCCAAGCCCACTAGTATGGCCCTAACCCCCACTGGGTAAATGTCCTCTCTGCCAGCTGCCTGTCCCCACGGCCAAGTCCAACTGTCTGGATTCTCTTTGTCCCGCCCCTGCTCTGCCTGCAGGGAGCCTCTCAGCTCTTTCTTTCTTAACCCCTTCCCCAGCACACTATTGCTGCCAGCATCAGATGTGTGACTAGCCAGCACTGTTCTATAAGCCTCCCAACACCATGAAACTGGAATCATTCAGTCATCCTGCCAGGCTTAGATCCAGCAGAATTTTTGAACAGATTGAGAAGTGGCCACATGATGGCACTATAAATCTAGCAATGCCCTCAGAAAGTTGGCAAACTGCAAAGCTCCAGGGAATCAGGATCTGTATTTTTTTTTTTTTAATGAATGTCAGAAAAGTGAAAACTGGTAATGGTCAATAGCCCCCAGAAAATCTTGATCTTATTTTGCTCAGGATTCTTCCTGATCAATGGCCATTTGTTTTTGACACTTGCCAAACATTAGCTATCCCTCTTCAGCACGCATCCCACCGCCCAATGCTGTCTTCGCTTTGTACTCAACGCATGCACATTTCTGTTCTAAATAGTCTGCCGGTTGCTATGAACACAAAAATAGACACACAAAGATTTAAGAAAGATGGAAATGTCTTACCTAAGCATGAGTGAAATGATTTCTTCTTTTGTTTTGGTCCATCATTATGCTAAATAAACGGAAGCCTTTTCCCTCTTCACACGCAGAGCTGAGCCAATCACAGGCACAAATGAAAATTGCCTATCTCTAGAAACAAATCCCTTGGCCGTCCTGGTTGATTAGTCATTACACATTTACATAGCACAGAAAAGGTTGCCCAGGTAATCATACAAACATTTGATATTTTCCCATGCCTTCTCTTGGCTGATCCAAATTCTTTGGAATTGAGATTTTTTTGTGTACCCTTTTAAAAATGAGCACTGTGAGATTTACTCAGACCTCTGATTTTTTCATGTGAGTGAATCATAGCCTGGTATGCCCTGAGCTTTGCATGAAAGGCAGCACAGCACAGTGGAGAAAATACATCTTCAGGCTCAAGTGGTGATGGGTAGTGGCCGGGGGCAACCTGAATCCTGGCTCAACTCTTTCTTGCTTTCTTGGCCAGCTGCTCTCTACTTCTTTGACTTTCAATATGCTTATCTGTGAACTGGGATAAAGAGTACTGAACTTCTAAGTTTTTTTAGGGGACTAAATGAGATAATGTAATGTATGTAATAGGTGTTCAACCAAGGGTAGCTAGTATTCTTCTGAGTAGAGTGGATGACTCCAGTGTGTAACCTATGGCCAAGCAACTGAAAGGTGGAGAAAGTTCCTCATGCTCTTTTGGAAATCTCATGTGGTGATTAAGAGCATGGTTTTTTGCATCAAACTGTCTGCATCCATACCATAGTTCTACTATCTTTGTAGTAGATGCAATAGAAAAGCGTAAGCAAAGCTTTCTAAGTCTCACCGTCTTGGTTTGTAATGTCAGTAATCATAGCCCCTGCCTCATGATGCTGGTGTGAGCCTGAATGAGACAATGCATGTGTTAGGGGTTGGTTTGTGTCCCAGAAAACGTGTTGAAGTCCAAACACCCAGTACCTGTAGGGTGACCTTATTTAGAAATAGAGTCTTTGCAGATGATCAAGTTAACATGAAGTCATTAGAGTGAGCCCTAGTCGAGTGCAACTAATGTGCTTATAGAAACAGGAAATTTGGACACAGAGGTACCCACACAAGGAGAACACTGTGAAGATGAAGGCACAGATCAGGATGAGGCATCTGTAAGCTAACAAATGCCCAAAATTGCCAACAAACGATAAGATGCTAGGAGAGAGGTATGGAACAGGTTCTCCCCGACAGCCCTCAGAAGGAACCAGCACTACTGACACATTGATCTTGGACTTCTAGCCTCCAGAACCGTGAGACAATACATTTCTGTTGTTTAAGCTCCCAGTTGGTGGTGCTTTGTTATGGCAGCCCTAGCAAACTAATACAGCATGGATGTATGTGACCCAGGGCATGCCTCCTAGTAAGCAGCCAGTAAATGTTCGACACTATTGCTGTTGATGTGGCTAGTGAGATCTCCACTTTATCTTTTTTATTTATGTATTTATTTTTGAGATGGAGTCTTGCTCTGTCACCATGCTGAAGTACAGTGGCATGATCTTGGCTCACTGCAACCTCTGCCTCCCAGGTTCAAGCGATTCTCCTGCCTCAGCCTCCAGAGTAGCTGGGAATATAGGCGCACACCACCATGCCCAGCTAATTTTTGTATTTTTAGTAGAGACGGGGTTTCACCATTTGGCCAGGATGGTCTCAATCTCTTGACCTTGTGATACATCCACCTCAGGCTCCCAAAGTGCTGGGATTACAGGCGTGAGCCACTGCACCCGGCCACCACTTTTTCTAATCAGTAGCTTTGCACAGGAATATTCCCAGCTGGTTTCTCCTACCTGTTACTAGAACCCACTTTTCACTGTGATGCTTAAACATGTGCAGAAAAGAAAAGAATATCCAAAAGCAGATTTCGATCAAGCTGTTGTTTAGATTTTTGGACCATTTAAATACCTTGAGCAGAGATTATTAAATAGAAAGGCCAGTGTATAAAGAATGGTTTTATACAAGGTGAGGGTAGAACCAGACAACACCCGTGATTACATTGCGAGGTGTTTTGGCAGATGTCAGATCCATGGCTAACACAAGACAAACCAGCAGTACCGAGTGTGGGGACGTGGATTCCTGATTTGCTGTTCACGCATCTCTGGGGAGGGGAAGTTCACCTCATGAAAGGCACATGATTCATAGCAGGGCTCCTTGGTGGCTGCTTTTTTTTTTTAACACTTGTTCTGCAGCAGCACAAAGGAAACAGTTTTATTCTTTAATTACTTGATATGAACTGTCTCACTGATGACAACTGTGCAGAAGTCTTGCAGAACCTATCTGGCCTGTAACTTGAGTTTGGATCTTGGCATCCTAACTGTCTGTAAGCCATCAGAATCTCTAAAACCACCTACACAGCAGAGAAGCCTGTACAGCTCCTGACTCATAGAAGGGTTCAATAATAAGTATTCGGTGTTAGAATAAATGAGCTGTGGGCCAGGTGCGGTGGCTCACGCCTGTAATCCCAGCACTTTGGGAGGCTGAGGCGGGTGGATTGCCTGAGCTCAGGAGTTGGAGACCAGCCTGGGCCACGTGGGGAAACCCCATCTCTACTAAAATCCAAAAAAAAAAAAAAAAAAAAAAAAAAAAAAAAGATTAGCTGGGTGTGGTGGCGCATGCCTGTAATCCCAGCTACTGAGGAGGCTGAGGCAGGAGAATTGCTGGAACCCAGAAGGCAAATGTTGCAGTGAGCTGAGATAGTGCCACTGCACTCCAGCTTGTGCAACAAGAGTGAGACTCCATCTCCAAAAAAAAAAAAAAAAAAAAGCTGCAAAAATAAATACATATTTTACTAATACTTGATTCTGGGACATAAAGATCATTAGGACAGCTTTATAGGAAAATATGCTTTTAAAGTTTGAGGTAGGAAGCCTTGGTGGTCTTTTTTTTCTGGAGAAATTAAAATTTCAAGCATTTCCTTCCTCTCATACATGCTGTGTACAAACCATCCCTAGAAATGAACTGTCTGGAGTATTTTATTTCTTAATTAATCCAGTTTTGCTATTTGGTGTAAACAGGATGATGTTCAGGCTGAATGAAAGAACAGGAAAGTTTAGGGGATACAATTCAAGGAGGAGTTTCAACTCCCTCCACATCTGCTGCTCTATTTTGCTTTAAATTAGATTTTAAAATTAATTTAATTTTTCATTTGAAACTGCTGCGCTCTCCACCATCTCTCTTTCTTTTCTTCCAGTAACTGGTCCTCCTCTCTGTGGCCCTGGTACTTCCCAGAGCAAACACTGCATCATCTGACAGTTCTTTTTCCATCATTTTTTTTTTCATTACTTAGCCAGACTGGTAATTTATTAGTAAGAAGAAGATGGTATCAGCTGACAGGACTAGGCTTATGGGCATATGAGAAAGACAAAGATCTCTCTCGCCAATTATAGAAATTCCAAGTTGTGATCCACTTCTTTCTAGCAAGCACCACCCTCTTTTAACATGAAAAGACTCAAAACACAACAGTAGATAATTTGACACGTCACCTTAACTTCTGCATCTGGAAAACTGAGACACAACATGGGATACCTATTTCATGGAGCTATTGTTGGAAATCATATTTTCAAGTATTTATTAATTCTCAGCTTCCCACCAAAGTTTTGATCTTCTGACCACAGACATCATACAAGAAAAGAATATAAGATAAAATAAAGGAATCAGGAACAACGAAATTACTCATAATAGTAGAGAGTCTAAAAAGTCAAAACTAAGGAAAAATATGTTCAGATGTTGGAGAGGGGTGGGCCACATAGTTTTGGTAAATAAGCTTTAAATATGACTCTGAGATCCTTGAAAGTTCAATGTTGTCACAGTGATGTCTGTGGTCAGCAGATCAAAACTTTGGTGGAAAGCTGAGAATTAATAAATACATGAAAATATGATTTTCTGTTTTGTGGTTTTTCATGATCAGAGAGAAGTTTAAGTCTTTTTTTTTCTTTCTTTTTTTGGAGTTGGAGTTTCACTCTTGTTGACCAGGCTGGAGTGCAATGGCGCAATCTCGGTTCACTGCAAACTCCACCTCCCGGGTTCAAGTGATTCTCCTGCCTCAGCCTCCCGAATAGCTGGGATTACAGGCATGCACCACCACGCCCAGCTAATTTTTGTATTTTTAGTAGAGACGGGGTTTCAACATGTTGGTCAGGCTGGTCTTGAACTCCTGACCTCAGGTGATTTACCCACCTCAGTTTCCCAAAGTGCTGGGATTACAGGTGTGAGCCACTGCACCTGGCCAAGAAGTGTAGGTCTTCTAAGAGATGATGTGTGGCACTTGAATGTCCTTAGCCCCACCAGCACTTAGGTACAATGAGGTGACATGTTCATTAAAAACAGTTTCTCCTGACTTTTGTCCCCTGCTTGTTGATCATAGACTCTTCTCATTCCTTTACTGCTCTTCTCCATCTCCTTGCATCTCTCTATTTCTTGCAGCCACAATACAAACAAACAGTGACAATAACAGCAGGCACAAAACAAGAACAATTTCCCACAGACATCAATATGTGCAAACAGACCTGAGCAGGGAATGGTCACCAGTCTCTCGTGAATTACATGAAACCAGACTCAAGATTCTATTTAGGCTCTCTGGGACCCTAACCCTATAAGACTCTCCTGTGCAAAGTGATACACAAGTGTAGGATTTTATCAGTGTGTCACTGAAGACGTTTAAAAGCCATTTAGGAGGTGGAAAGGAAAGGTGGAGACTGAAGACAAACGCTGGCTCTTTCCTCAACTTTCTTTGCCTTGTCTCTAGGCCTTTTTGTCATTGTTGCTGTTAAACCCCGATTTCCTTAGTATTCTTAAGAAATGGTGGTGGCCGATTCTTCTGCTTAGTGGTGGGGTGGGTATGAACAGGGGGAATTCAGATCTTTTTGGTTTTTAATTTAAAGTGGTATCTAAGTTACCTATTTTGAACACAGTTGAAACCCCTTGGGTGGAGGGGATAATGAATTAGGGAATTAATAGAAGTCAAAAGAAAGAAACCAGGAGAAGTCTCCCTGTATTCTAGCTGAGGACTAGGCTGCTGACCAACAGCCCCTGTCAGGCTCTCTTCCTTTTTCGCTTTGGAGATCTTTTTAGGTTACACCCTAATATACCCTTAGCAGAGTATTAGCTCTGATGCTGGGCAGCATCACTTTTTATTAACTTGTCTGTCTCTCCTTCTGGACTGTGACATTACTTGAGGGGAGAGTTTTGTCTTTTATCTCAGTATCACCATTTCCTAGCAGATTCTTGGCTCCAAGAGGGAAGAGAATTTATTTTATTATTTCCTATACCTCTTACTCAGTCTCCAGTAAATATTTATTGCACGGATAAATAAGTTACCTGGCAAATTGTAGGTACTTAATAAATATTTGTTCAATTATTGAATTGTACATGGAAATTAAATCATATTTTCAATCAGTCAGGAAGTTACCTATTTGGAGAAACATCTAATGTATCCTATGTGAAGTGACTTTCTTCTCCACTTAAAATTCCTAGTTTTCTTTTTAGTTTTTCCAGATTATGCAAATAATACATGTTACAGAAAATCAGGAAATCACAGAAGAAAATAATAATGATGCAGAATCCTTTCATGTCAAATTAAAAACTTATATTGCATATATAATTTTAAATCCTGCTTTTTACATAATCATGACTATTTTGTTACATCATTAACTTTTTTGGCTTAACATCCTGTTTAGTGGCTATACAACATTCTGACTTATCAATTTGCCTTAATTTTAGCTATTTCTCTTGTTACTTACACTGTAGTTTGGTTTTAATTTTTCACTATTATAAAAGACATTTAGCAATGAAAAGTTTGAATATAAATTCCTGCTTGCATTTCTGACTATGTGCTTAGAATAGATTTGAAAAACTCTTCTTTTTCTCCTAAGATGTTCAGGGCAGTGTATTTGAGTAAAGACTGGCATTTTCTGCCTTTCATTAGTGACACTGGGTAAAGGTGAACATGGTTACTAGCTGTTAGTTTGCCGATTGTCCTTTCTTGAAAGATAGCGGCCCAATACTTTTGAATACTGTAGCCTTGTGACCAGCTCCTGAACTGTATCTTTAACACAGCCAGGCTTATAATCCAACCCTCTATCTTCCTCACCCTCTGACCCCAAACCTGGGTGCTCTGGACATTCCCATGACAGCCAAAGAAGGATTTTGAAAAAGCTGAGATTGATGGAGCCCATTCAGGCGTGCACTCTTTAGGTGAAAGGGATAAAAGGTAAATGCATTTTTATATAGCTTTCAGTCATCCTGAACACCTATTGCCCTAACTGAACTGACCCCCTGAGTTTATGCCCCTGGTAACCCTCTGAAGAGTACTCTGGGCTCTAATACAAACTCAAGGAGATGCTGATTCTTTTTTTTTTTCTTTTTTGTGACAAAGTCTCGCTCTGTCCCCCAGGCTGAAGTGCAGTGATGTGATCTCGGCTCACTGCAACCTCCGCCTCCTGGGTTCAAGCAATTCTCCTGCCTCAGCCTCTTAAGTAGCTGGGGTTACAGGCATGCGCCACAACACCTGGCTAAGTTTTGTATTTTTAGTGGAGACGGGGTTTCACCATGTTGGCTAGGCTGGTCTCAAACTCTTGACCTCAGGCGATCTGCTTGCCTCAGCCTCCCAAACTGCTGGGATTACAGGTGTGAGCCACCGCACCCAACCAAGGACACGCTGATTCTGTAAAGACAGTGTGGGGCAGCAGATCATCCTTTCTTCTTGCTGCCTAAAATAGCCCATTAGAAGAGGAGATGGGAGACCAGGTGACATGGCTCACCAGCACTTTGGGAGGCTGAGATGGGAGGATCCCTTAGGCTAGGAGTTTGAGGACCTTGTAAAAAAAGAAAAATAAGAGGAGATAGGTATACTTTAGTCCAATATGTTGTATAAGCAATGCCAGAGCATGAGGAACAGCATATCTTTATATTTATTTAGAGACAGTCCATTCTCATCTAAAAACCTAAGTGGCTATTGATTTTAACTGAACCAAGTAGAAATTGCCACAGGGTGAAAAATCCAGAACTGGTTATAGACACCAGCTGTGCACCAGGAAGACATCTGTGTAAATCCTTCCTGCCACTGGGTTATGGTCTTCAGCAGCAAGTGGGATAGAGGCTGAGTGACTTGTATGGTAAGACACAGCTGATGGTACAGGATGGAGCACAAGAAGGTCACATGGCTCAGAAGAGTGTCAAGAGAGTCAGAATACCAAGCACCCGCCTCTCCTCTTAGAAGTTGTGTGGGTTCCGGAGCCTGACGTGGGGTGGGAGGAGGGGGGAGGGATAGCATTAGGAGATATACCTAATGTAAATGATGAGTTAATGGGTGCAGCACACTAACATGGCACATGTATACATATGTAACAAACCTGCGCCTTGTGCACATGTACCCTAGAACTTAAAGAATAATAACAAAAAATAAAAAAAAGAAGTTGTGTGGGTTACAGTTCCCTGAGAGATTGGCAGGTCCAGCAGAAAGAAGTTCTTTGAGGGACAGGGGAGTTGGGGTCATGTATTGGGGAGCTGTGTGCCCCAGGCCTGAGATGAGCGCAGAGGCAAGGACAGTCAACAGAGCGGTGGAGGGAGGGCAGGTAACTGTCACCATACCCACCTTCACAGCCAGTTAGTTCATTCTGTTACTCTGAGATTTTTTGTTTTAGAATAAAATAAACTGTGTCTGGAAATAGATGACAGGCAGGATTAAAGCAGGCATTTATTAATTAATAGCATGAACTTTAAATAAGTGATACACACACTTAGCTGTAGCCCAAACAGTGTGGTTTTTTTTTTTTTTTTAAATCACATGGCCAACAAACCTCGCCAATATATTTTTACAAGGCTGTTAAATACTGCCAACACTCTATGATGTTGAGCCAAATTATTCTGGAATATCGTGGTATATAGCACAACACCATGTTTTTGTGAAAGACTAGAGATACCAGGGGAGCAATCCACAAAGCTCATGAATGTCTCACTGTAAATGGAATGTCTCAGTGTGAGCCAGCCCCTTGGGGCTGAGGGTCTCACCTCCTTACCTTTGATGGCTTGTGGCGGTAGAGTTAGGCTCAGTGGGGCTTCTCATTTGGAGGCAGGGGAGCCAAAACCTGGGTCTGTCTTTTAAAACCCTGAGACTATATCTCATAACTAGAGTTGGGACTTTCACCTCAGTAAGTGCCAGTGATCTTTTCCAAGAGCCAATCTCAGAGCTGGTAGGAGCTCAGCTTGCAGGAGCCTGGAGCATATCTCCTCGACGTCATCAATCTCAAGCAGGCCCAGCATCCAGCTTTCACCAAATGCTCACTGCATCCAGGGCCAGGCTGGTCTGCCGCCTACCTTACTAGGTGCCATCCTGGCCAGCGCTGCTTGCCACCACTCCCAGTGGGACTTCCTTCCTGCCTTACTGCGGCCCCTCTTAATCCAGCCAGATTGCATAATTAGCAAACCGTGCTTCAGTCTGTATTTCAGTGCAAGGAGATGCAGAGGACTGGGAGTTTGGCAAAGATTTGAGTAGTAGACAAACCAGAGTACAGCTGAGAGGCTGTGGAGTGTGCAGACGATCCACATCTGGCTTTCTGCAGAGGTTCTCAAAGAGCTGGCATGATGCATGATCTCCCACGGTGCTAAGGGAGATAGCACATGGGTGCTGGCTGAAGACATTGAAATTTACTGGGGTACAGCAAACACACAAGTCATCAGCATCAGCATATAACACATGTCCTGGAGCAAAGAGTAAGTGTACCGTAACTATTTACTAAAAGAAAAAGGTAATTCCAATCATGGATAACATTGTGAAGGACAGAAAGAAGTATTTTTATACTGGGAAGTGTAGATCACTAGTTCTTTTCCCAGTAGCAACTCCCCTTCCTACCCCAATCTCTACCCTTTGAAGGGAGAGTCCTCTGGATATGTAATGGGGCTACATTTACCTCTTGGATGTATCCCCTGCAGTTTTTCTGCCATTAAGATGAAGCCATGACAACTGAATAGGAAAGAAAGAGGACTTGACCTAAGAAAGGTCTTACTGGATGGGACAAGGAAAGGAGAGTGCTCCTTTCTTTGTGGTTGGGCATGAACTTGAGAGGAGATGTAAGGTGGAGGCAAAGGTCAGCTCGAGCGCCTGGTGGCCGCCTGCAGTGGTTAGGTGAGGTGTTGGTGGCAGGGTAGGGTCTGCCTACTAGCGGTGGGCCCTGGAGCACATCCTTCTGTCCCTCTCCTCCTCCACCCAACCCGGCCTTCTGTCATGAAGTGTTTCCCAGGCTGCTGTGGCTGGAACCTGCAAATGCAAAATAAAAGAACAAAAAACGGATGGTGCCAAAACAGTGTGGTCTGTGCTTGCCATCTGTGAGTTTTCAGAGTGATTTTGCTTCCAGCCTCCCCTCCAGAGGCGGCTGACATTACTTTCATATGCAGAGCTTCCGCTAGCCTGGAAGCCTTCTTTGGCTGCCAGAAATAGAGTATCCAGGTCCAGAAGCCTCCCCAGAGATCTGATCCACTCAGGAAGAACATTCTCTGTGGCTGTGACTCAGTGGGATCTGGGCAGCCTTTGCTTCTGCTGATGCATTGAGTGTGTGCTGTGTGTCTGGGCAGCCTTGTGCATGATGGGAAGCTGAGAAGGCTGTGCAGCAGCTCTTTCATCATCAACATCAGCCCAGCACATGGAACCTTCAATGACCCCATATTTCTCCATGGGTCATTTCTTAATGAAGAATTCTAAGCCTTTCTCCTTTGCTTTCGACATCCTGCTCAGTCTGCCCCCATCCTGCTTATGTAAGTTGTTTTGCACTTGTCCTTAATATCCCTTCCTCTGTCTGGTTGCCCTATTGGCCTCATTATTAAATTTCTCATCTTCCATAGAATCTTCCAGGTCTTCTGGCTCTCCTCCCTTCTGATTACCAGTGGCACTTACTATACAGTTGGCATTCATTGTGCACCTTCTCACAAAGCTCACCCTTGTCTTTTGTCGTCTTTTCTCCCCCCCAGCTCATTTAAAACACATTGAGGTCAGGGTTATGATCTAATTCTTCTCCCCAGGCCCCATTTTGGTAAACACAGACAAGAGTGGAGCTTTCCTTGGAGTTCAGGAATTCCTAGGCAGGAGATCCAGTGATTTTCAGCTATGACCTCCTGTGGAACAGAGAGGGACAAGCCAGCTAGTTCTTAGAAGAGGAAGAGGAATGAGGCAGTTGCTGCCTGACAGGGAGGAAAATTCCTCCTCAATCCTTGGTTATTCTCAACTAATCACAAAGATACCGGAAAGCTATACCTATTATTTGGTGCATGAGCAGGAATAGTAGGCACCGCCTTGAGCCTCCTAATTCGAGCAGAGCTGGGCCAACCAGGAACTCTACAATGGGATGACCAGATTTATGATGTTAATGTTGCAACTCCTTCCTTTACATACAAGCAGAACAGGCTTCAGGATGGCCAAGAGGGGGTCTGTTCCTTCCTGCTGTTCTGTTCCTCAGCTTCACTTCTCCCTCAAGGCATTGTGACCTAAAGTCGGGCCTGGAGAAGAAACCCTAGCCTCAGTTCCTACTGGGAGGAAATCCACACCACTTCACCATGCTGGGCCCATCCTTGGGTGGGGAGGGTCTGTGGGAAGGAGAGAGGCATTTGCCACAAGAAATTGCGCATTTGGCAGTCTGGCTGCCGTAGGCTCCCATCCAAGCATCTCTTCTGCAGTAGGAAGACGACTCTTCTCCCTCTTGGTTTCCTCTCATTGGTCATAAGGGAGAAGTGGGAGAAACCACAGCCAGAATGGCTGCAACTCTCTCCCTCTACCCTAAGGAAGGTGGAAAGGGAAGCCCCCAGGTCCCCTGGAGTGAACATTCTGCTTCAAGGAAGACCTGCTACCTGCCTTCTGTCCCCTCTCTCATATGCCCTCCTTGTTTTTAAGAACCTGCGGTCCATACCCACTTCCCTCCTCCAAGAAGTACATGAGATGCTCTTTATTGTGCCCAGTGGCAACAACCAGGAGGGCCCACAGTGACAGTCACTGGGCGGCAAGATAAGACCCCACCCCACAGTTTAGGGCCCAGGCAAGCATGGGGGTGTTGGGGGAGAGAAGAGACAAGGGAGGGAAGGAGAAGCCCCTTGTGAACAAATGTTCCTCTATCTCAGATTCTCCCCATTGATGTTGAGTCTCTGGAGATTGTACAACCCCTACCCATTGCCAGGGGACTGAGGGAGCCTCGAGCTTGGATGCTGGCTGGAGGTGGGAGTCTAGGGCAGGGAAAACCTTCATATTTGTTGAAAAAAACTTTAAATATCTTATTTAAAAATTTGTGCACTCCACTACTCTGTTGTAGAGCACAGCTCCCATTTCCCAGCCCTAATTTTGGGCTAATTTGTACGAATTATGTCATCTGGGGCAAAAGAGGGAGAAGAAAAACCACGGATGTTTATGGACACTCCACTGTGTGCTATGCCAAGCCCTTCACACCTGTTATCACCTTCTCCCAGCCCCTTGCAGAGATATTTTTCTATACATTGTATCAATGAGGAAGCGAGGGCAAGAGGAGGTGAGTTACTGCTGACAATGATCTTCACATCACCCTCCTGTAACTCTCTCCTATCATTTATGCCCTCGTCCACTCCAGTGCTGCTCACAGTGTCCTCACTGTTCCTTGACCTTCCATGCTTCCTTTCACTGTAAGTCCTTTGCTATAGCCAGTGTCCCTGCTTGCAGCACTCTTCCCCTGGGAATCCCAAATAACTGCTTGGCCAATTCTTCATAGCTTTCATGCCTTTGCTCAAATCTCCTGTTCTCTACAAGGTCCATTCTGACTACTGGATCTTAATACTACAACATGTGCCACATCCACACTCCACATCCCTGAGCCTCCAGTCATCTTACTCTGTTCCACTTTTAAACTTTGCAATAGTTCCTATCATCTCCTAACTCTTATACAATTGACTTACTTATGAAATGTATTGTCTTCTGCTAGAACGTAAGCTGCATAAGAGCAGGGAACTTGGCCTTTCTTGTCCACTGATGTGTTGCCAAGCACTTGGAATGGTGACAGGCATATGGTAGGCATTCAGTCCATAGCTGATGACTCAATTTTTATGAAAGGTCACCCTAGCCTTGATCTAGTAAGAGGCAGAGCTGGACTCAACTCAAAAGCTGGTCATCTTGCCTTCCCACCAAAGAACCCATGGCCTGTCCAGGTAGAGAGCATATTGTTGGTTGCTCAAGAGATGCCCGTTTGTTAGATTTCACCATTAGACTGCTCCTTCCTAGCAGAGATGCCAGACTGGTGTCTGTGAACATAGGACCTTGCCTTGTCTTTCCTGAGTGACAGGTTTTCCCATGGGCCCACCTGCTGCTGGCATCCTGCTGTTTCAATGAGGTGGCACACTCCTGGTCATAGGGCACCAACCTCTATGGTCCTTGGGAGTGTCTCCAAAACAGCACAAGCTGTTGAGTCCATGCTGGATGCTTAAGACACATGCTTGAGATTTCTCCAAGTCAGACACCTGTCAAATCCAGGGTTGGCTCTCAGCCTCTGCTTAAAGGATTTGCTTTCTAGGAAATGATGGAAGGAAACAGCTGGGGCTTGTCAGATGTCAGCTGGAGGTGCCGGGCCAGGACAGAGCCTGAGAGGGTGTGAGGAGAAGCCAGTGGAGCAGGAAATCATGGATTACCAGGGTGGCTGCTTTCTGGGCAGGAATGCAGTTGAGTCTTTCTTAGGGTTGGGCTGCTGCGGTGGTTTTGTTCTGTTTTGTTTTTTGTTTTTGTTTTTTCGACACGGAGTCTCGCTCTGTCACCCATGTTGGAGTGCGGTGGCGTGATCTCGGCTCACTGCAAGCTCCGCCTCCCGGGTTCACCTCATTTTCCTGCCTCAGCCTTGCGAGTAGCTGGGACTACAGGCTCCCACCACCACGCCCGGCTAATTTTTTTTTGTATTTTTGGTAGAGACGGGGTTTCACCATGTTAGCCAGGATGGTCTCGATCTCCTGACCTCATGATCCGCCCTCCTTGGCCTCCCAAAGTGCTGGGATTACAGGCGTGAGCCCCCACGCCCGGCCTCTGTTTTGTTTTTAATTAGGATTTGGGATGGAGGTGTTTACTGTAAAGAAACTCCATACCATGAGGGCACACTTGGACCAACTGGTGGGGTCCACCAGCTTTAGATTACAGATATGTAGCTGTTTATCTCTACCTCAGTTTCCTCAGTATAGATCCTCTTCTGAACTCCCATTCATCTGCTCTTTTTTACCTATTACGCATGTGGTTCTGGTTTCTGTTTTGTTTTTCATGTTTTTGTTCCTGTTATTGGCTGACCTTGTTTATGCTGGCATTAAGGGCAATTTTCATTGTAACCTCAATAGCTTGGTAATAAAAAGTTACATATTGTATGGATGCTGGGAGGAAGGGAACATTCATATTTATTCTCATACTCATTGGCTCACTATTAATGTTTCTACAATAGCCCAGGAATTAATGTTTTAATGAAAACTCCAACTGCTCAGGAATACCATCCTGGCACATATTAACCCAGTCAATGAGCAGCCAGTTAGACTGGTATTTGGTCAACAACAAGCATTTCTTTCTCACAAAGAGAGTAATGGGATTCATTTAGCATTTCCTAGCTTGTGGTATCTATTTCAACATAAATCTCTATATGGAGATCGATTGCATATATAACTATAAAGCAGAGTATTTGGGGGAATAGTATGATGAAGAAAATCAGAACACAAGCACAAATCAGGCCTTGGCTGACGGCATGCAGGAAGCCAATGCGTATTCTTGGGAACAGCACTTAGAAAATGGACTTAATGAAAATAAATCACTTATATATAATTTCCCACCACAAGAAGTTGATATCTGCAAATATCTCAGTACTTGGAAAGAACATGGCATTCCTTTTGTTAATTTTGGATGATTTTCTTAGTTTTGCTCCCAAAGGAGACACATTTTCTCTTTATTAGCTGCTTTGTAATGAAAGATTTCAAAGCATGTCTCAGGATGCGGATTGTCACTTTTTGATCACTTAACAAATAAATGAAACAAATCTTTTAAAGAGCACCCGAGTGGCTTTGAGACAATATTCTCAACTCCCCAGAGTGCAGTGTTTAGCAGTATGCAGTTTGTCCGCGGCCCCTTGACAAGCCCACCTACTCTAGCAGAAATATACTGGGTATCGCACAGAAGCAACTTCCTTTTCCACATGTGCATCTCTTCTTTCGTATTTCTTTCTTTCTTCCTCTTTTTTTTTTTTTTTTTTTGAGATAGAGTTTTGCTCTTGTCGCCCAGGCTGAAGTGCAATGGTGTGATCTCAGCTCACTGCAACCTCTGCCTCCTGGGTTCGAGCAAATCTCCAGCCTCTGCCTCCCAAGTAGCTGGGATTACAGATGCATGCCACCATGTCCAGCAAATTTTTGTATTTTTAGTAGAGATGCAGTTTCATGATATTAGTCAGGCTGGTCTCAAACTCCTGACCTCAGGTGATCCACCCACCTTGGCCTCCCAAAGTGCTGGGATTACAGGCATGAGCCACCGTGCCTGGCCTCTTCTTTGGTATTTCTAATTGAAATTCCTAAATAAATAAAAAACCACGTTTACTGTCTGTTATCCGGGAGCATGGAAGACAAAGTGAGCAATTTTAGCAGAATTCTACAGATCCAAGTAGATCTGTGCAACAAACCTGCATTTGGGGGGCTCCTGGTTAATGGAACCATCTGTATTTAATTGCTTACTGTAGCATCTCTCTGAAACAGTGGTTTCCAATCTTTCTCAGGTCACAGGCTCTCCTCCTCCTCTTTTGAGAATCTGATTAAACTTTTGTATCTTCATTCCTGAAAAATACACATATACGCACACCCCCTGAGACCCCAGTCATGGGCCCCTGGGTCAATAATCACTCATCTGACACCATGCCAAAAATTTGTTGTGTTTATATGTTCTTTGGTGTGCACTCTAGAAATGTACCAGAATTGTGCTGTTTATATTAAAACATGTGCACATACTACCTACATATGTGAATGACATTTTCTCTACTGAATGATTACATGAAATAATGTGTATGAAGATATATCCTAAAAAGTCAAATGTGAGAATGTCAACATTGTTCTTCTTATTTGCACTGGCCATTTAAACATTCAACACTAAAGCTGCTGGGTGACGTTGCAGCTGGTAAGTTATGGAAACTGCTCTTAAATATGATCTTTCCATTCTCATAATCCAAAATGCTTTTTTATTCTTGTTTCATTTGAATGATTTATTTAAAAAAATCACAGCCTTCCTACTCTTCAGGCTTTACAGAACCGATATTTTTTGGGTGCATACTATGTGTAAGGCCCTTTGCATTCTGTGAAAAACAACAAAACAACACTTCTCTGTAGTATTCTGTCAAGCCTGCACATATCTGTAATTCCAAAAAAGGTCTTGCCAAAAGCAGTTGAATTCCGACCTGAATTAGCAATTTTATTAATTACATTTCAAGCAAGCCAATTACTTGTTTGTTTAATGGATTTCTTATTATGAATTGATTATAGACCATTAATGTTCGTTAACACACCAAACTAGATTTCATGTCCCCTGCACCATATACTGGTGCATATACTCTTCTCTCTGAGAGAAGAGTAGGAAGAGAGACAATGTTTATTTTCCGTTTTGAAAAGTAGCATCTTAGCTCAGTAGAATCAAGTTTGAATTCGTGTATTCATGCAAACTCTAGGGGCTTCAATAAAAAAAGACCTCTGGCCAGCCAGTATACACACATTTGTTGAATACCTGAAAGAATGGATGCCGTCTATTGATATGGATTGTACCCAGTAGGAAAAAGGACAAAAGTTATATTCATAGTCATTTATTAGATACTTATTATGAACTATGAGCTAAAGTCAAAGATGAATAGGTGTAAGTACGATATTTTTCTATAAAAGGGAAACCATAACTTACATACTGTTTTCTAGCCAATCAACTTTAGACTTTGAAGTTTTTCCAATTTGTCTCCTGAACATGTGTTTCAAACAATCTTCTAAATTGGATATTTTGGTTGTTTCATCTTTTACCTATTACAAACAACAGAGTAGCAACGACTAGCTGAAAATACATGAGGAACAAATGAGAAAAATGCCCAATCCCATTTCTTAAAAAGTGACAAAAAATGTTTAAATTCTGGACACATAAAGTGTTGAAAAACAGCCCCATTGTACAACAGAATTATAACAGTTGGCAAAACGGACTGGGATATTAATTTTTGACCAATTTTTGGTACTGACTGATTTATATTTGTTCAATTTATAAAGTTAAATTGCTTTTGACAAGTTGTTTTTGTCTAAATTACTAGTAGAGAGAGATAGACTGGCAACAAATAATTGTAATATAATGTAATAAGTACATCCATTAAGGCTTATAGAAGACACTAACAGAACAAAAAGGAAGGAGACAGGGAAAGCTTCAGAGGTGACATTTGAACTGGGCTTGAAAGAGTAGGTATTGCCATCTAAGCTCAGTGAGAAATTCAGAACAAGATGTTCCAAAATGTCCTTTCTCTAAGTAATTCTTTTAAAAAAAATCACAGGGCTCCAGGCTGATGAGTACTGTGCTATTAAACTAATAGAGTCAGTGTCTTAAAAATAATCTAAGTTCTGTCTCTTACATGATCATTTAGCTTTCATCATTTTTATGCTCCACTTGGTAGAATATAAAACGAGGCTGGTATATTTGGGTTGGCAGATGAAGGCTTAGGAAAGTGTTACTGTCAGTTATATGAAAATTTGGAGTTAGGATCAGTTGTGATCCAAAGCAGGGTGGGCAAAGTTTAATCACTGACATTTAAAATGATAATTTTGATGGCCATGCCTTCTACAGGCTTTATTTTAGGCTTATCTGTCTTTCTAGTCTCTGAGAACAAGTCCTTCATGAACTCAGAGATTTTCTTCTCTGAAATCTATTCTTCAGTGGAAACCACTTATTAAATATCATTTTTGAACTTTCATGGGTGTGCCATTTGTAGCTTCTCACCAGCAAGTTCAGTACTGAAATATGAAGGAGCTCATAAAGGCTCAAAAAATACATCCAATATTTTTGCTGTGTAGGGTCAGGGAGGATACAGAGATCACAATCAAGGCTCTAAACCTGTCAATGTCTAGTCGCTGGTTTCTTCATTTCAATGAAGACCGCTCAAGCTAAGCAGAGGCTCCAAATGGTGAATCGTGACTAGGCTATAGTCACTTTTGCCAGTCATTTAACTGTTTTCTCTCATCTCTATTTCCCAAACTTCCTCAGGTTGGCCCTGCATCTCAGGGAACTCTATTTTTCAGACTTCCTTGTCCTGTTTTCTTGATAGTCTTGACCAATGGGAGGCACTGGCAAAAGATTGGAAGGAAGGGGACCCCAGGATATGTCTTCTGTTCACTGTGCTTCTAGTGATGTCTCTGGCAATTGCTACATCTCCTTCATATTGTGCCTCCTATTGGACTACTGCTTCTCTCTGTCATCTCACTTTCTGCTGGGAAGCCCTCCATTGCATATCTATTAATAGTTCATGCTCTGCTTCCTATTTCTGGTCTGTGGTGACATCACCTCCACATTGTGTCTTTCCATCTCCTACCCCAGATAGAAGCATCCTGCTGTTGTTAATTTCAGTATTGTCATCAGAATTCATCATCCTTTGTGAGGCTTCTCAGCTCTCTCATCACAGGTATAACCAATTCCCTGTGTTAAATTTCTTCTTTTTGAGATAGAGTATTTTCTGTTTTCCTGGCTGATAACACCACTTGTAATGTCAAAGATAATGATTATGAAAGAACATGGGAGGCAGGACTAAACCAGGAAGAAGTCGAATCCCTGAATAGACCAATAACAAGTTCTGAAATTGAGGCAGTAATTAATAGCCTACCACCAAAAAATGCCCAAGACCAGACGAATTCGCAGCTGAATTCTACAAGAGGTACAAAGAAGAGCTGGTACCATTCTTTCTGAAAGTATTCCAAACAATTGAAAAGGAGGGACTCCTCTCTAATTCGTTTTATGAGGCCAGCATCATCCCAATACCAAAACCTGGCAGAGACACAACAAAAAAAGAAAATTTCAGGCCAATATGCCTGATGAACATGGATGTGAAAATCCTCAATAAAATACTGGCCAACCGAATCCAGCAGCACATCAAAAAGCTTATCCATCACGATCAGGTCAGTTTCATCCCTGGGATGCAAGGCTGGTTCAATATACACGAATTAATAAATGTAATCCATCACATAAACAGAACCAATGACAAAAACCACATGATTATTTCCATAGATGCAGAAAAAGCCTTTGATAAAATTCAACAGCCCTTCATGTTAAAAACTCTCAATAAACTAGGTATGGATGGAACAAATCTCAAAATAATAAGAGCTATTTATTATAAACCTGTAGCCAATATCATACTGAATGGGCAAAAGCTGGAAGCATTCCCTTTGAAAACCGGCACAAGACAAGGATGCCCTCTCTCACCACTCCTATTCAACATAGTATTAGAAGTTTTGACCAGAGCAATCAGGCAAGAGAAAGAAATAAAGGGAATTCAAATAGGAATAGAGGAAGTCAAATTGTCTCTGTTTGCAGATGACATGATTGTATATTTAGAAAACCCCATCATCTCAGCCCAAGTACTCCGTAAGCTGATAAGCAACTTCAGCAAAGTCTCAGGATACAAAATCAATGTGCAAAAATTACAGGCATTCCTATACATGAAGAATAGACAAGCAGAGAGCCAAATCATGAGTGAATTCTCATTCACAATTGCTACAAAGATAATTAAATACCTAGAAATACAACTTACAAGGGATGTTAAGGACTCTACAAGGAGAACTACAAACCACTGCTCAAGGAAATAAGAGAGGACACAAACAAATGGAAAAACATTCTATCCTCATGGATAGGAAGAATCAATATTGTGAAAATGGCCATACTGCTGAAAGTAATTTATAGATTCAATGCTATTCCCAAACTACCATTGACATTCTTCACAGAATTAGAAAAAACTACTTTAAATTTCATATGGAACCAAAAAGGAGCCCATAGAGCCAAGACAATCCTAAGCAAAAAGAACAAAGCAGGAGGCATCATGCTACCTGACTTCAAACTATACTACAAGGGTACAGTAACCATAACAGCATGGTACTAGTACCAAAACAGACATATAACAGCATGGTACTGGTACCAAAACATACATATAGACCAATGGAATAGAACAGAGGCCTCAGAAATAACACCACACATCTACAACCATCTGATCTTTGACAAACCTGACAAAAACAAGCAATGAGGAAGGGGTTCCCTACTTAATAAATGGTGCTGGGAAAACTGGCTAGCCATATGCAGAAAACTGAAACTTGACCCCTTTCTTACACCTTATACAAAAATTAACTCGAGATGGATTAAAGACTTAAATGTAAAACCCAAAACCATAAAGACCCTAGAAGAAAGCCTAGGTAATACCATTCAGGACATAGGCATGGGCAAATACTTCATGTGTAAAACACTAAAAGCAATGGTAACGAAAGCCAAAATTGACAAATGGGATCTAATTAAACTAAGGAGCTTCTTCACAGCAAAAGAAACTATCATCAGAGTGAACAGGCAACCTACAGAATGGGAGAAAATTTTTTGCAATCTACCCATCTTACAAAGGGCTAATATCCAGAATCTATAAGGAACTTAAACAAATTTACAAGAAAAAAAACCCATCAAAAATTGGGAAAAGGACATGAACAGACACTTCTCAAAAGAAGAAATTTATGTGGACAATAAACATGAAAAAAATCTCAACATCACCGATCGTCAGAAAAATGCCAATCTAAACCACAATGAGATACCATCTCACACTAGTCAGAATGGTGATTATTAAAAAGTCAAGAAATTGGCTGGGTGCAGCGGCTCATGCTTGTAATCCCACCACTTTGGGAGGTCAAGGAAGGTGGATCATCTGAGGTCAGGTGTTCGAGACCCACTTGGCCAACATGGTAAAACCTCGTCTCTACTAAAAGTACAAAAATTAGCCAGGAGTGGCGGCGGGTGCCTGTAATCCCAGCTACCCAGGAGGCGGAGGGAGGAGAATTGCTTGAACCCGAGAGATGGAGGTTGCAGTGAGCCGAGATTGTGCCACTGCACTCCAGCCTGGGTGACAAGAGCGAGACTCTGTCTCAAAAAACAAACAAACAA
Organism: Homo sapiens; assembly: GCF_000001405.40. Classification (NCBI taxonomy): domain Eukaryota; kingdom Metazoa; phylum Chordata; class Mammalia; order Primates; family Hominidae; genus Homo; species Homo sapiens. Next base: position 119,169,239 of record NC_000006.12, read on the forward strand.
ATGAACAAACACACACAAAAAAACAGTCAAGAAACAATAGATGCTGGCACGGCTGTGGAGAAATAGGAATGCTTTTATACTGTTGGTGGGAATGTAAATAAGTTCAACCATTGTCGAAGACAGTGTGGCAATTCCTCAAGGATCTAGAACCAGAAATACCATTTGACCCAGCAGTCCTATTACTGGGCATATACCCAAAGGAATATAAATCATACTATAAAGACACATGCACATATATGTTTACTACAGCACTACTTACAATAGCAAAGCCATGGAACCCACGCAAATGCCCATCAATGACAGACTGGATAAAGAAAATGTGGTACATATACACCACGGAATACTATGCAGCCATAAAAAGGATGAGTTCATGTCCTTTGCAGGGACATGGATGGAACTGGAAACCATCATCCTCAGCAAACTAACAGAGGAATAGAAAACCAAACACCACATGTTCTCACTAAGTGGGAATTGAACAATGAGAACACATGGACACAGGGATGGGAACATCACACACCAGGGCCTGTCAGGGGGTGGTGGGGTAAGAGGTGAGGGGAAGGAGGGCACTAGAACAAATACCTAATGCATGTGGGGCTTAAAATCTAGATAATGGGTTGATAGGTGCAGCAAACCACCATGGCACATGTATACCTATATAACAAGCCTGCATGTTCTGTACATGTATCCCGGAACTGAAAGTTAAAAAAAAAAAAAAAAAAAAAGAACACGGGAGGGATCCTCACCTTAATCTCTTCACTATATGCTGCCTGCTTCTCAGGGTTCTATCTAGGTATATTGGTATATTCTTAACCATCAGAGTCACAGAAAAAGGAAGGGGGTTTTTCTGACCCCATTTGAGATGTGGGGTCCATCAATAGTTTAGCCAGTGGTCTCAAGGGAGTTTCTCCTGTGTACCGGGGGAGTCACCAAGTGACCTCTGCCCAGTGGAGTATTAATTCTTGGATATCTACTTGGAATTACTTGGAGTAGTAATTCTTGGAGTAGTAGTTCTTGAATATCCATCTCAGGAGGAGAAATACAATTTCATTGCCAAGTGGATTATTTTCCTACTTCCAACTTTTTATAGAAATATTGCAGGCAAAAATGTAACATATATTTGTAGGATGGGAGAGGAGTAGCAATGTCTCATTTTTCCCTTTACACCTTTTACCCTAATGTAGAATAAAACATTTATTTTAGAGAGTATTTAAGATTCGTTTTAAGCAGAATATCCTCTACAGTTAATCAATAGATAAAGAATCTTTAGAAGTCTTTGCCTGGACGTGCTGAAACTTCTATTTAAAGAATGAGCTGTGTACGTGAGCCAAGAATGCTTTTTTGGTTTGGCAGTCTTTATCTAATCTTTGGGAGAGGTTAAAAGCGCAGATACACAATGTGGAAATTTTGAAACTTCCCCTTAATGCAATCATCATTGTTTGAAGAGGACCAAAAAGAAGAAAGCAATCTATCGTATATTTTTTAAAGCAGCAAAATAAATTCAAGAGCTTGTTAAAATTCTTTTTAATTGTGGCTTTGACATACTATATGGTTTTTTTAAAATCTAGTGTTTAAAGAAATCCTGTATATTGGTTTATAATGGTGACAAAAGTCACTTTCAGATTTTCAGGGACTGATTAATCTCTCTGAGATCCTTTGTTTTTCTCCCTCTCTGTTCTTTGATCATTATGTCAGCACCTCCTCTGGAGGTAGAGATAAGAAGATAAGGTGGATGATGGCGAAATCGTAATCAATCATTTCGTTTCTGTTAGAATGGTTGAAGAAAAGTCAGCTTGGAACAACAAAGTGAACTTATTTGAAAAAAATGTAGCAATACAATTATTAATGGATTTGCTTTAGCCCTAGAATCCTTGGTCCTATTACTAGAGAGGATTACAGAAAGGTTGCAGTCACTACAGAGAAGTTCTTTATTATTTACATCACTCACAGTGCTCTTCAAGTGTTCCATTGAACAGAAGAAGCCAGCCCTGGATGTGTGGGCATGCCAATTTAGGCATCGATAATGGCTCAAACAAACAAACAAACAAACAAACAAAAACATCCCCTGACTCCCCTACCCTCAAACCAAAAACAAACAAGACAAACTCTAGCGGAATTGAGAATATCTGATATGTCTGTTGATCTCAAGGATAGTGAATAGTTCACAAGCAATGACAAGGAAAGAATATAGCTTGGACTCTTGTGGGTTTTCCCTAAGACAGTTGGTATATTTTGAACATACTAAAATATGAGAAAACCATCCTACTTTTGGTAAGTTTGTTTTGAAATTGTAGTGATGCAATTTTTCTAATGGCAGCTTATACTTAGGTGTCTCACAGTTAAGGTAAACACCAGATTTTTCACTAAAAATAGAATCTGTATTCAACTTTGTAGATAGAAGTATCACTTTGAGTTAGTAGGGCTTAGCAGGGCTGTGTTCTGTTGCAGGCAAACTTAAGATGAAAATCGTGGATGTTTTTGAACAGGAGTTTGAGACTCACTTTTTCTTCATTTCTTAACAATTTGTTCACTCTTCACCAAATGTTCACTGAGTGCCTCCTATGTGAAGAATGGAAGGGTAAACTTGGGTTGAAAACAAATGTGTTCCAGATGCTATATCAAATCCAGTATTTATATTAGCAAATAAGCCATGATGCCCTCCTTTTTAAATTTTAAAAATTCTATTTTTTGCATACTTGCCTTTTTTCCTAGTCAAGACTTGCAAGAAGCAAGTCTAATTTGCTTACTGCTAAATTCCCCAGGACCTATGACAGTATCTGAAATATTCTGGTTACTTAAGAAATATTTGTGGAATGAATGAATGAATGAAAACCAGTAATGACAATATAGTGTGACACATGAATAGGAGTTTGCACAAAGTCCTTTGGAGTCCCATAAGAAGCAAGAACAAATTGGAATGAGAAGCAGACTGGTCACAGACATATAAATTGAGACTCAAAAGGAGGAATAGACATTTTCCAAGAAGTGGAAGGAGGTAGACCAGGAAGGCCTTTTCAGGGATAATACAGAAAAGTGAAGGCCAGCAGGAGTGAGGCATATGGGGGGAAGGAAGTGGACTATGGGTACTTTGTTCAACAGTGTTAGCCTCTCTTCAGAAGCTAACAGCCTTATTCTTGTGTGGGGAGTGCCAGAAGAAAAGGTAAGTGTTAGTTGCATATAATTTACATCTCCACTGCTACAGAAACCAAGAGCTTTTTTTGTTTGTTTGTTTTGTTTTTGTTGGGGGGGAATAGGTAAGTAGACTCTCAATCAAAATCACCTTTACATTTTTCTTTGAAAGTGATCAGTTTTAAGTCACTGTAAGTAATTTTCAAACATATAAGCTGATTTTGGAAGCAATGCTGGTTCTTTCAGAAGAGTTATTTCAGTAAGCCTTCCTAGTTCATAAAATTGATTTTGTTGGTTTCCAAAGCTACTGTGGGTTGAAAATAAAACTGACTTTCAATCTAGAAGGAGTTCTTAGCTGTTGTAGACACTGTCTTATTTTCATTGGATTGTTTGAATACACAAATAACACAATTGATAATAGTGCAACAACCATGCAGCTTGATCCCCATTTCTTCTACAAATGCTAAAAAAACCCCACAAACCAAAAAATAAAACTCTATTGGCTCGCTAACAAAAAAATAAGTGGAAAAATGTCCAATTAGTTCATGATGCAGGTGTGAAGAAAAAGAGCTGGCTATTTCTGTCTTCTCATGTCAGAAAAGAGCTGAACTTTGACCTTAGAAGATGAGTAATAACATGTGTTTGAAGCAGTCTGATTGAAGGAAGGCATCCAAAAAAGCCTAGGGTTATTGGAAACGGCAAGTAAAATAATAACAAATGTGTTGTCATAACAAAACAAGCTGGAGGCTTCCCAAGGTAGAGGAAAGATGATTATTTTATAGAATGCAAAAGCTGAAAGAAGGGGCTGGAACTCATGGATTGAAGGCATGAGCTAAGACCTTTTACATATATTAGTTTTTTAATTCTCTGGAAAGTAGATATGATCCCTCCCATTTTATGGATGAGAACACTAAGGTTTTGATGTCTTATAATTTGGGTGTGGTGGTCTCTAGTCTATGCATGGAAATATTCTAGGCATGTGTACTGCTGTTTCTTGCTCAGGTATCCACAAGAGATGTCATGCAATGCACAGCCTAGCTGTTAGGCCTGGGCTGATCACTCCTCTTATTTTACAGATTAAGGAAAGGGAGATGTGAAGAGTAAGTGCTTGTTCCAAATCACGCAGGGAGTTAATGACACCAGCTAAGGTTAGGAACCCTTGTCTGGATTCTTAGTGAGGTCAGCTTCCCATTGGTCCACTGCACCTACTTTCTACCCCTTCTGTATACTGCGTCGTATACAGAAAAGAGACTTAGGCTTAATGTATTTTAATGGGGGCATTAAAAATATATTTTTGCAACTCCCTGCCATGATTATATAAGTCACAAAGTTATCAATTTGACAAAAGCAAGATAGAGACGGAATGTGGATAGCTGAGAGGCACTTAGGGTTTATTTAACCAGTGAGGTTTATTTAACCAGTGAAGTGCAGTATTGAAAGGCAGAGTGGTAAAGAGGTTTTGCACAGGAAGGAAGAGATTTAGTTTGCTTCTCCTTCAGTCACTTATTAAATAGAGAGCCTTGGGTCATAACAAGCCAAAGCTGTCACATACATGAAAGGGAACCAATAGCATCGTGCCTCCCTCAAGAAGTTGTAATGGAACCTCCCATCCTGGTTCAGCGAGGTGATTGTGTTTCTATTTTCCACAGAGAATGCCAAGAGTTGGAAAGTCAGGAATAAAGTTCCCAAAGATTTTGTGAATGGGAATCATTCATTTGTTTCTCCTAGGAGAGTTAAACAAAACAAAACAAAACAAAAATCTCTCAGGTGCCAATGATTTTGGAAAATACTGTTTGAAAAGCAGTACATTTTATGACCCTGTTTGCAGAATTGTGAATTAGTAAGTGCTTGTAGCCTAAGGCCAAAATATCCCAGTATGTGTAAAAGTTTTTAGAAACTATACATCTATCACTGTTTTCTAACGTTTCACGGTAATTTGCATTCACTGGGGAATTAAATGGATCTGTGATACACATTTAATTTATTCTGTCGGTAATGGCATGTTTTAAGGGGACTCAAAGTAATCATAATAATGGCAAGCCAACAAATCTTTGACAATTAGCATAGCAATGAATGTAAAAACGCGGGCGGGGGAAATGAAGGTATTTTTCAGAGGTCATTTCCAAGAACGTTTTATACATTTACATGATATATAGCCAAACTAGAAATTCCGTGTAGTCTGTGCAAGTGACACTCATGTTAAAATCAACAAGAACAGTAGAAACAATTTGAAAAATGACTTAAAAATGCAGTTATTGGGAAAAGAAAGCCAATGAAACAATTGCTGAATAAAAACAAGCATGATTGTAGTTAATACTTTTGAGATTCCCCTAATAAGAAAGAATTATGTATAAGAATCTAGTGTAAATCTGTTTCTAAAAGATTTAGGTGTATGGCTTATTGCAGACTAATGCTTTTGTAGAAAAGGAAGAATCTGTGTTTTCAAAGTGACCAAAGTTATGTCAAATTGTACTTAAACCTTGAGGTAGAGACAAAAATGCAGGAAAAGGTACATATTCTTGTCATGATTCGCTAATTAACTCATTAATTGTTCTGATAGTCTTGGAATTTCCATTTACCTAGAACTTAAAATTGTTGTTTTCAACTTTAGTGTGTGTAGGAATAACACAAAGGGCTAAACATGGGTATTCCAGGACCCCATCGCAATTTTGATTTGTTAAATTTGGGGGAAGGCTTTGAAATCTGCATTTTAACAAACCTTAGCTGAGATTCAGATTAGGTAAACTGTAGCCCACATCTGGAGAAAGAAACACAGCAGTAGACCAATTCCTAAGGGTGAACTCTGAAATTATACCTTTATTTTGGAGTGGCTGGTTGGAAATAACATATGCTCTCATATATGGCCTTTTTTTTTTTTTTTGAGGTGGAGTCTGGCTCTGTCGCTCAGGCTGGAGTGCAGTAGTGCGTTCTTGGCTCACTGCAACCTCTGCCTCCCGAGTTCAAGTGATTGTTTTGTCTCAGCCTCCCAAGTAACTGGGATTACAGGCATGCGCCACCATGCCCGGCTAATTTTTTTGTATTTTTAGGATTAGCATGAAATCTTACCATATTCCTGTGTCTGGCAGCACAGAGGAAGGATAGAAAAACAGTTCCTGTTGCTGGGAAAATCCCCATTTCCTCATATTTAAAATGAGAGTTGGACTAAATGCTGTCTACATTCCCCTGTAATTCCAATACTTTAAATATGTATCTGATGCCTGGCAAATATTTCTTGAAAACTGTGACTCATGTATTGGCTAGTGTGGAGGATGGAATGAGCCTGGAAAAAATAGAAAGGAGGCTTCAGGCCATAAAATCAGTTAAAAAGTTTCCTAAGACTCCCCTTCCTGCCCTCACTCTTCAGTCACAAGGTAGGGAGCCTCGAATGGCAATTATATATGAACTCTATGTTCAAATGAAAAAGATTTTATCTTGTTAACTTTGAAAAACTTTTCAAGCAACCATCTACATATCATTATCAGTCATTAGATGTATTTGTTGCCAAGCTGCCATCTCTGTGTTGATGGCTGATAGTATACATAAACACCATGCTTAGAATAAATTTTAATAATTCTGTAACCAACAACATGAACACAACCAACATCAATTTGTGCTACCATAATTTAATTCAGAAGGTTCCCATTTGACTCTGTTAGGTAATAAGCTAATTTCTTTGGTGCTGTTGTAATCGTTTTTTGTTTTTTGTTTAACATATGTGGCAGGGACTGTGACATTAAGTCACATAAAACAATAATGGGCTGTTGAATACTGAAAACTATTGGAGGAGTCATGCCTTACTTTATTTTACATGATGTAAGTGGATTAAAAATAACCTGTTGATTGAGAGTTGATTCTAGTCACAAACATGTACTTTAATATTTTTTTTAAAAGTGTATTGCTCAGTGAAAGACATTTGCAAATAGTTGTAGCAAAGACTATGAATATAAGATCGAGTTTCCTAATTCATGCACTTTCTCACTCAATTGTGAACTATACTCTTGGCACTAGACAGAGAAATGGGGGAAAATGCCAGTTGAAGTTTCTTTTCTCATGGGGTTTCATACTAAGGGGTTAGAAAGACATAAATAAGGAAATAAATATGTAATACAGCAAATGCTAAGCAGAAAATAAAATAGGGTAGGGGACAAAAGGTGGAGAGAATTTTACACTGATTTGTCAAAGAAGCCATTCTAATGAGGTGACAATTGTGCAGAGACCTGATAAAGAATGAGCTATAAAAATATTAGGGAAAGCAAGTTCCAGGCAGTGGCAACAGCAACCAAAATATCTGAAATATTCTAAAAAGTACAGTACGAATTTGAAGAACTTAGAACCTGGGCTTTTTGAAAAATTTCGGAGGATCTTCTATAGCATAAGTTCTCCTTTTTCTATTAAGCCTCTTTGACCACTCAAACGCTATGGACCTCCTGTTCCCATGAACTTATATAGAATTTTAGCTTGTAATTTAACACAACTAAATGCTATTTTTGTCTTGTTTTGAGGGGTGGTGTGGGGTTAATCTCATTTTCTTAGCTGCATTGCAAATTTATGAACAAAGAACATAGTTTGTGCTATTTCTGACATCAAAGCTTCTAGCCTCTGTGTCCTGGTGTTGAACATATGTTAGATCGTTAATAAAGGTTATTTGATTACCCAAACACTGTATATGCAAAATTATGTGCAATGTAAAGTTTCTTAATGGGAAATATTTCCTTGTCAAGACCCTACAGGTGTGGTATGGAAATGCTGTTAGGATCAAATATTTTTATTTGCAACTGAAGGCACTCACCCCTTAGATATACAAAAGCCTACTAAAAAGGAGAAAAATATAACAAATGAGGAGATATATTAAAAGACTTTATTCACAATAGAGAAATTTTACAAATATAATTTTTAAAAATTATGTGTCAATCTATTGTTTCCCATAACATTGGAGATTTATATATAAAGTTGAAAATGACAGAATGGATTTATGTAAAAATAAAAAACAATCAATGTACACAATGTGTAGCTCATATGAAAACCTCATGACAAGTCATTGAGTTCTGTAAACTGCCATACAACTTACATGTGTAATATTAATTGCACAAAGTATATCAAGACATATTGAAGAAACACAAAATTAAGTGCTATTTTAACGGTTCATCTTTCAGTATGTGAATACGTATACAAATTTAACTGCACAGTTTTGTTGAAAATAAGTTTCAACAATAAGACTTCAGTTGTTAAAATTAACCCAAAATATAACTTTAATTAAATTACATCACTACAATATTAATCTCTTATCTTGTTTACATTTTTGGTGTTTTGGGACTTTTGTTAAAAAAAAATCCAAGTTCTAGAATTGCAAAAACTTCATTGTTGCCACTGAGAGAGCAACATATAGTACAGCTTCTTGTCTATTCACACCAGGACACCAAGGTACCTCATAGTGCAGTGTGTACACACAACCTGATTTTAATATTCTATCTGCTGCAGAAATACTTATCAGCTTTCAAATCAAAGTGAAAAGAAAATGAGTTAATTTAAATGGCAAATTCAAGGACATTTATACAAACATTATATTCTTAATTTTGGCAATAATTTTTAATATTTTGCCTTAAAGTCCTGGGAACAAAGGGCTCTTGCTATCCATTCATTTCATTAGGTGAACTGAAGATATGAGTGGGAGAAGTTATTCTGGATCACAGACACACATTAGCATGGAAATAATGATGTACGGAAGAGTCTTTTTCATTTACTAATTTTACTAATTTATTCTTTGACATACACCAATGTATGATATTGAAAAACAGAAAGCAGGTCATAAAGATGGTCCTGTCCGATAAAGGAAATCTTTTAAAACACTTTCAAAAGCTAAAATAACTAAAACTATTAAGCCTATTGATAGCTAAGAAAATAATTGTCTTCAATAATATTAGGTGGAACCATATGAAACTGCTGACAGTTTTTAAACTACAAATGCAGCAATTTCATATGTTTCAGCCTAATCCATGGGGTTGTACTGATCTTTCTGACCATTCTCGGCTGAAAATTGACATGGTCAAAGTCCTTGCCCTTCAGTATATGCATCGTATTAGCCCTTTCATGGAAGTATATCTACATAAATATATATGTATATATAGTGGGCCAATGTAAGCAAACACAAGGTATCACACCAAATCTATTCTTGAGAAAACCATTCCTATTTCAAACTTAATGTTTAAAAGAATCATATATTGATTTTGATTTACTCCAGGACTGTGGGGGATGGGGAGTGGCCATTTCTTTATATTTCTTCTAAGTTGTGATCTCTGTGTTGACTATAACCATACTAAATATGCTATATTCTTATTTGGCCTAAAATTTATTAGATTTTCCTTGATTGATCACGAATAAGTAAAATTGGCAAAGCTTCTTTCAGAGTCAAATCCTGCTTTCACAAACTGAAAGGAAATAATTTACTACATCTGAGATAGAGCCTTTTTCAAATCTGAGAAATCTGAACCAAATAGAATGCTTTATTTTCCAAAGAAAAAAATCAAGATGAAATACAAACAAGTGAACTAAAAGCCATATGAAATACCCTCTCTTTAGACAGACCCAATTTCTTCATATATTCAGTTAAACCCAAAAGCTAATCCATTAAGTTGTACTATTTTCTTCAGATAAATGTAATTCAGTGATAGCAGAGCTCTGCAAAATTTGAAAGCTCACCTCTCTGTGTAGTGGGGAATGGAAGAAATTAACTAGTATATAATCCAGAAATGACACAGGGCATTTAAAGTAAAATTAAAGGACACATTTACAAAATAGAAAACACTAATATAATTAACCAACAAAAATATACTGCAGTTCCGATGAAATGAGGTCAACATGACATGATCCTTTTGGAATGACTTTCTAATTTGAATTACAATGTGAGTGAAGTATTTTAGAAGACATTCTATCAAATAATGATAGACCTGCATAAGGAGGCTGTCACAGAAGATCTGTCTCTGGTGGACAGACAAACCAGATTAACATGAAATTGTAAAGGAAAAAGCTTTTTTATACTTATTATTATGGCTTTTTGCAACATGGCAAAACATTACAGCTTAAAGCAGACATCATCTCCTCTTAGAGGAGGAAAAAGTTTTGCAGTCAAATCAAATTATAATTAAGAGGTCATCGCTATACAATTCTATTCAGTTTAACAAAAACGATATTACACCTTCATGAAATCCAGAGATAATAGGTTACTTAAAAACATAAACAAAAAACTGGTGGATACACTGGCTGAATTAATAAAGGATATGATAAGGAATTTAGGTCCACCTATACCTATGATAATAAACATAAAAGACTGCAAAACAATTTAAGAACTTAATCACAGACCTACTAATCAAAGTTCATCATGTGCCTGATTACCAGAAAAGGAATTATTAAGGTATACAGTGAAGGGAATGGAGCAGAATAAAATATAAAATGTCTTTTTATTCCTCTCTGATTTCAACTTCCTTTTTATCTTTAGGGAGGATAGGGAGAAGATGTGCCTCGCTATTGAAGATCCAATGCTCCAGTGGAAGAAGATCGTCGTCAGAAAATATTAGGTACAAATATCTGGTGAGAGAAACATAAGTATATGAGGCCCAAGACACTAGGCAGGCAGTGAAACCACAAACACACAGCAAAAACCACATCAATGTCTGCATTCATCTTACCAAGAAACATGGACAAGAGTCAAATATATCAAAACCCTGAGGGGTTATACTCATTAACATGGGGTAAAGCAGCTACTCAGTGCTTTGGTGTTAGCAGTACCAAGTCACTGAACCTAGTTATTGAGAATATACCTGCAATTATAGCCATGCCTGATATTCTGAATCAGGCATACTTGATATTACTTGAATGTGTTCATGATAAAGACATCTACAAAGATCTGTTCAGGTACCTTAGCCACATGGTTTTAGAATAATTTTCACCTACTTCAATGTCTCTGCCAGGAAGAAACTCTGCTGCACATCATCATAACTCTCATGAAGAAGGTAAACATCCCTTAGGCCTGAATAGCCTCCATTCACTCTGCAATGGTTTTCCAAGGCCTAAATTATAGAGGAGGAAAAAAAAAAGTCACATTTCAGTAAACTGATTGTCACTAATTTTTATTATTAGATTGTCAAGTTCAGATAAAACATTTTTTTTTTTTGAGACAGGGCCTCACTCTGTTGCCTGGGCGGAGTACAGTGGCACCATCATGGGTCACTGCAGCTTCTACCTCTTGGGCTCAGGTGATTCTCCTGCCTCAGCCTCCCAAGTAGCTGGGACCACAGGCATTCGCCACCATGCCTGGCTAATTTTTTGTATTTTTTGTAGAGATAGGGTTTTGCCATGTTGCCCATGGTTGTCTCAAACTCCTGGGCTCAAGCGATCTGCTTGCCTCGGCCTCCCAAAGAGTTGGGATTACAGCCATGAGCCACTGTGCCCAGTCAAAATTTATTTTTTACAAATTGGATTCAAATTAAATGAAAGTTTGTTATAGAGTTTTAGGTAAAAAAAAATTAAAACCATAAACTAAATGTAAATTAAAAATGAAGTCATAGAACATATGGACCACATATCTTACCTAATTTGAAACACTTCTGCCTTTAGTTTTGGAAAAATTTTTCACTGATTTTTACCAATTCCCCCTATGGTCTGGAGCAGGGTTTAGCAAAGTATGAACTATAGGCTAAATCCAGTCCACTGTTTATTTTTGTAAATAAACTTTTATTAAACCACAGCCATGTTGTTTAAATATTGTCTGTGGCTGTTTTTGTACTACAATGACAGAGCTAAGTAGATGCAAAAGAGACTAGCTGGCTGTCCCCCAAGCCTGATATTGTCTGGCCCTTAACAGAAAGAGTTTGCTGACCCCTAGTTTGGAGAGACTGCTAATGTCAACTGGGATCATAAACCACTGGTTGAGAAACCGTACTGGAACAAAATCAGCTGCTTCTATAATCAGAGTATCTGAGTTTCTGAAAATTGATTGTAGGGTACTCATCAGTGATATTGGTAACAGAGCTAAAAGAAGAAAATGAAAGACAGTGAGAGACATGTGGCTGGGATCTATTCCTAAAATACATGTTTTTTTTTTTTTTCAGTCTAGTATGGAAGAAGATGGGATGACTCCACTGACAACTCTCTAGAGAGAAATGATCCTACATTTCTGTAGTTGTCTGAATTTAATGAATATTTGGAAAACAGATGGGTTGGGCAGTGTGAGGATGAACATTTAGGTAACAACCTAAACCAACCTGCCTTCCACTTTGTTGGTTACCACTAAGATGGCTGCTGTTTGTGTTTTCTTTTTCCCTTTCAGAGCCCACTTTCTTTCTTTTGTTTGTTTCTATTTTTCTTTAACCTTTTTCCAGCTTTACCGATGTATGACAAATACAAATAGTATATACTGGAAGGTGTACAGTGTGATGTTTTGATATACACTACTTCTGTGGATATACACCATCTTCTGTGGTGGATATACATCATCTTCTGATGTGGATACACATCATCTTCTGTGGATATACACCAAGAATTAGGATTGCTGGATCATATGGTAGCTCTATTTTTAATTTTTTGAGAAACCTCCATACTGTTTTCCATAATGGCTATATCAATTTTCATTGCCACCAACAGTGTACAAAGGTTCCCTTTATTCTGCATCCTCACTAAGACTGATTACCTCTTGAATTTTTGATAATAGCCATTTAAAAAGGTATGAGGTGATATCTCACTGTGGTTCTAATCTGCATTTCCCTGATGATTTGTGATGTTGAGCATCTTTTCACTACTGGCCATCTGTACGTCTTCTTTGGAAAAATGTCTCTTCAGGTCCTTTGCCTATTTTGAAATCAGGTTGTTTTTCTGCTACTGAATTGTAAGTTCCTTATATATTTTGGATATTAACCCCTTATCAGATATATGGTTTGCACACATTTTTGTTGTGTTTTTAGTTGATTGTTTCCTTTGCTGTAAGGAAACTTTTTAGTTTGATGTAGTTTCATGTGTTTATGTTTGCTTTTGTTGCCTGTGTTTTTGGGTCGAATCCAAAAAATCATTGCCAAGCTCAATGTCAAGGAGCTTTTCCCCTGTTGTTTTCTCCTAGGAGTTTTATGGTTTCAGGTCTTACATTTAAGTCTTTAATTCATTTTGAGTTGTTTTTTTTTTTGTGCTGTTTATATTTTGAAATTACATTTGTTGCTCTGCTAGTTACCAGGCATATTCATCTCTAGGAAAGTTATTTTCTGCCATCACATCCTACTAATCCTATTAATTATATGGTCAAATAAAAATTTCCATCGTACAAAAATTGCCATCTGCAATCTGGTTCTCATTTATTGACTGTAGACAAAAATAATAAAGTTTAAGACTAAAACCCTAATATATTTTATAGTGAAATAAAGAAAATGTAAACAAGATATACTTACTCTTAGTTTCTCATGTCATTTTTCACTTACGTTTCAGTTTTCCCCTGTGGATCATAATTCTGTCCCTCTTTTTTTTTTACATATATAATTGTACCCCATTTTTCTCCCATTTAATCCAACTACCAAGAAGATGGAAAGCATAGACTTTGCCTTATCAGTTGAGAAAAACCTTCTCTGGCTAGAAAGGATTTTGGAGGAAAATAAGGCTCTAAGAATGTAGAGCCCAGAAAAGAGGCGAGGGAAAGTAAGTACCAGCCACGGATTCTCATGAGCAGAGATGTTGCACTGAGAGCTCAGCTCCCATCTGCAGATACTGATAATGAGGTTATTGATTTTTCACATCAGGGCTGGAGGACAGAAGGGAGAGAGCAGAGAGACTATGAGGAGAAGCATTTAATTACCTGGTTAAAGAAATTCTGGCCAGCAGGCCACATGAATAAAGAAAATAAAGAAAATGCCTCATGATTTCATACTTTTAAAAAGCCCCGAAGAAAATAAGACCGATCAACTTAAAAACAGATGCTTCGATTAAATTCTAAGTTCCAGACAGTGCGTCAAATGGAGGATGAGCATGAAGAAAGAAACTTTCAAGTCCTATTATTTTTTCTTTCCTCCTTTTTTTTTGACAAAGAGTCAAATACCAGATATGTAGAATAAGCCAAAAATTATTGGTTAAAAAAAGGAAAAAAATCAGAATTTAGAAAAAATGGGCAAGGTTTTTATGGGAAACCCTATTTCCGGATATTTCTTTAAACAGATTTTAATCCCAAAACCTTTTCTTAGTTGTTCCCTTGAGGTTTTTTGGTAATGAGCTAATGAGAGGGCCAGCCATGATAAACAGCCACTCCTCCTCTCCATGGAAACTGCTCTAAGCTCCTTCTTTTGTTAGAGGAGTTGCTTTTGGGGTGGACAATGCCTAATCACCTTTCTTTCTAGTTCACCCTCTCATTCTTGTTCCCCACAAGTCCTCTTGGGGTAAGCTATAGTATTCAAGAACACAGCCAAAAATTTTGAGTAGTGGGCCAACTTCCAGCTTGAGACCCCCTTATCAGTGGCCCCAGAGGTTCCATGTCCCAGGCAGCATCTTCCTTCTCAACATGGGGTTGTACGTGAGAATAAAACAAAATGAAGAAATGCTTAGACAATAACAAGGGCTTCAGAGGTTTAGAGAGGCCCAGTCACTTTGCTTTTGAAGTTTTTGGTAAATTAAAAAAAAAAAATTTTTTTTTAAAGGAAAAGCACCCAAGAACTCCCCCTCACCCCTTACGCAAAAGTCTAGATTTTAAGACTTTAGGAACGTGAAGCTGGGGACAAATAGCTTTCCTGGGCCCTTACAACAGCCCTGATTCTATCAGCATCTCAACAGTGGAAGCTGTCATGTGTTTGTATGACTAAGTCTAACCAGATCATCATTGTACTATAATCTGTTCTTGGGATTCTCAGCCTCTAGGCATGGGGACCACCTTGGTTTTGAGTAAATGCTTCTATTATTAGTGATCCTATGTGACTGGGATGTGCAAATAGCAGAGAACAGGATATGAGAATGTTTATAATGATTGGAGCTCTAAACAAAGGATGAAGGGTAGGTAAGAAAATAGCAAGCATCATGAGTTAAATCCTAAGTCAGAGGACAGAAGAGTATTCTCTTGCCTACCAGATATATAAATGGCTGATCCGTGGAGTAAGGCTGTCTGCTTGAGTGTCGTCTGAACTCAAGGATAGAACACAGAGAATCAGGCACCTTGAACAAATCAAAGAGGGTTTGGAAACAGGATGAAGCCTGAGGAGGCAGGAGTAGGAAGGAGGAAAAGAAGTCACTTCCTGAGAGTCGAAATGTCTGAGTGGAAAAGGTTAGGTTTAGAAGAGCAAAGAAAATGTCTGTGCAAAAAAACAAAACCAAAAAACCTGAAACTACCAAAAAAAAACCCCCTAAAGCCAAAAAAA
Source organism: Homo sapiens (assembly GCF_000001405.40). NCBI lineage: Eukaryota > Metazoa > Chordata > Mammalia > Primates > Hominidae > Homo > Homo sapiens. The sequence continues at coordinate 119,184,736 of NC_000006.12, forward strand.
AATCCCAAATCCCTAGGTAAGGCTTTACCCTTTACCATAGATCAGCTGAGACATTATATAATCTATGTGAATATATACATACAATATTCTGATAAAGCTCATGCTGTAAGTTATCAGATGTTTAAATGGAAGGAATTTGTCAGTTTCTCATGATTTTTTTTTTTAAAATTTTCAAGAGAGTCTCGCTCTGTTGCTCAGGCTGGCGTGCAGCGGTGTGATCTTAGCTCAAAATAACCTTGAACTCCTGGGCTCAAGTGATCCTCCCTCTTCAGCCTCTTGAGTAGCTAGGGACTATAGGAGTGTGCCAGCATGACGGGCTAATTTTTAAATTTTGTAAAGACAGGGTGATGACTTGTTGCCCAGGCTGATCTCAAACTCCTATCCTTGAGCCATCCTCCCACCTCGGCCTCCCAACATGCTGGGATTACAGGCTTGAGCCACCACGCCTGGCTTTCATGACATTTTTGAGAAAAAGCAAAAGAAATTATCAGTTAAATATTATTTCTGTCAGGCAGACTCACAAGTGCTTGAACACCTGTGATTAATGGAGTGCTGTTAACCCACAAAAGAACTCTCTAGTGTTGTACTGCTGGATTATATACCTTTTCACATCTTATTTGACATTATTATTAGAAATTTAATTAAGACACAGAAAGCAGGTTTCTCAAGTGTATCAGTGAAAGAAGGCTGGGAAGGGAGTGCTTTGTTAGAAGATAGGAAGACGGCTTACAAATACTTTACAAACTGAAAGTATGGGTGAAAAAGCACAGTGCAAAGGAGATGTGACTCAACGGTAGCAAATGGAGAAGCTAACACTGACCATAATTTCAATATAAGCCAGTTTTTCTTTATTTTTTTGGAGTTGGAGTCTTGCTCTGTCCCTCAGGTTCGAGTGCAGTGGCGTGATCTCGGCTCATTGCAAGCTCCGCCTCCTGGGTTCATGCCATTCTCCTGCCTCAGCCTCCTGAGTAGCTGGGACTACAGGCGCCCGCCACCACGCCTGGTTAATTTTTTTTTGTACTTTTAGTAGAGACGGGGTTTCACCGTGTTAGCCAGGATGGTCTCGATCTCCTGACCATGATCATGATCCACCCACTTTGGCCTCCCAGTTTTTTTTTTTTTTTTTTTTTAAATATAAATCTACTAAAAGAACAAGTTGGACCATAAGCTGTGAAAAAATCACACTGCGAAGAGAGAAGAGAGGTTCACACTATTCAGCCCTAAAAGACCACAGCTGGAAACCAGGTCAGGAGAAGAAAATCAAGGGAAATGATGGATGAGGAAAGGAAGAGATGGCAGAACCTGCTGTCTTCGGATAATTGAGGAGCTGAAATGCAGAAGGGAGATTTTTTCCCTCTGGTACCCCCAGAGCACAGAACACTGTAAATTGTGGCTTCAAAATAAATAACTTTCTAACACCTTCAATATTACCAATTGGAATGAGTTACTTTATTAGGTGATACATTCCCCTTTGCTGGAAAGTCCTTGGGTTGATGAGGAACAGCTATCTTGCAAAGATATGGAGGGGAGTCTTGTCTTTAAGCGGAAAGCTGGATGAGGTGATTTTTAAGACCCCCTATGTTTCAGTTTGCGTTCCCTTAAAAATAAAGCATGAGACAAGGGTTGGACGCAGGATGCAGGAAGTCTATCAGGGAGGTGACATCAGGAAGTGGGCAAGTGGGAAAAGCAAAACAGGGACAGAAGAGCCAATGAATCATATTGTTCAACTGTGTGCAACGAGGCTCACTCCTGCTAGAAACCCTCTGAAGAACCATGTAGCATGCATTCCAGAATGATTCTTGAAGGAAAGAAGACTGGGACAGTTATCCACCAACTCCAAAACCTCCTTGGTTGACAGCCATTAACTCCCCAGCACTTCCCAGACCACAGCCAGCTGGCTAGGGAAAAGCTCTTCCACCTTCTTTTCCTGACATGGTTTCCAGCTGTGGTCTCAAGTATGCATCAGAACAGCCAAGTGCTGGAGGTGGGAGCTGCAAGCATATGCGGGGCTGCTGCTGAAACACAGGAGGCCACGGGGGTGGGCATAACACCAGGGGAAAAACGTGCGGCCATGCCTTCGAAGTCCCAGTTTTTCTGGTTTAAAAAATGCAAGACCCTACAGCACTCCTGGCTCACCACTATAGCTCAGGTTCTAGCAGAGGTTACTGGGGGCATCCCCAAAATTGAGACCTCAGTGTTGTGACACAGGGAAACGATTTCAGGTCATATATTATGTTAAAGAGTTGACAAGAAATAAAAATCATAACACATAAACCAACCTTATGATCTCATAAACAAGCAACCCCCTGAAGAACACAGCAAACCAAAGCATCCTGTCTACCTGGCAATACGAATTTGCTTACTTCCCATTTTTGATACCTTCTCGGCCATACATTTTGTACATTCTAACATCTATAAAATGGATGTCATAACTTAATTGGTAGTGTTATTTTTCTTAGTGGTATATAAAATAATGATGCTTCTTACTAATTATGGTGTTTTAGATTTGATGGAACACACCATTCCTGATATTTTCAACTTAAAATATTCAATTCATTTGCTGGCCAATTGAAGACCAAAACAATTCCCTATCACCAAAGTTTAGAAAAGCTTCAACTTTAACATTTTCTCCAGAGGAAAAAAACAGAAATGTAAAGAAATTACAATGACTACTGATTAAATGTAATAAAACTGCCCCCTCAAAGAGGCCTAGAGAATTGCTGTTATTTAAAATGACTGATGATTAATGATAAGACACATATTAAATGAAGAGGATAATAAGCAAGATTCACCGATGGCTTCCTAAGATATTAGTTAAATTTTACCAAAGGCAATATTCATTTTAGATTTCCTGAGAGAAGTCATTCCTCATGGACAGTTTTTAAAGATAGCTAACTTTCTAACAAAGAGTGCTAGAGAATGAGAGTGTAATTAAAGAATTTGCTTGTTCTTATCCCCTGAATTCCCTCCCACTCCTTGAGGAATAATAACTCTTACAATTAGACAGACATTGTTAGATGCATATCCTGCAGGTTGCCTCCTCAGGCATTCGGCACACAAAGCATTCACTAGATTGGTTTAGGAAGGAGGTATACTATCCTCAGCAGGAAGAGACCCAAGAGGTGACAGACAAAACAACACACTGGGCAGATGGAAAGCTTATAGATATTCCAAGAAACCTGAGACTGGTAAAGGAATATCCTTATACAAAGTAATTCTTCTATAAGTGCTTTCTAAAAGTTAGATCTAAGTAGCTATTTACTCTAAGTAAAAGCATATACTAGCATTTTAAAGCCCAAAGACAGAAAAAAACATGAAGTGGTTTATTGAAATAGAGGTGAATACCCCAAGCTGCCAACAACCCTTAGGTGGAATTAAGAGATCATCATTTTTGTATTAATGGGAACTTAATTTTAGACTATGCCTTTCTAGTTATCTCCTTCAATATCTAAGTCTATCAGTAGATATATCTATATCAATGTTATACAAAGCAAAGCTGAAGCCAGGGATATAAAATGACTTCAATGAAAATACACAGTCCTGGGTGGAAAAAATCCTGGTCGAAGCATTAAAAATTATAGAAAAGTTGATAAGCCTGATTTATGGGTATCACTGAACATTTTTTACTATGAAATTTATCTATAAGAAACATGCAAATTAAAACATCACCTCTACGGCTTCCCAGGCCCATTTCCTGTACTTTGGATCATGAGTCAGTCTCCACATATACATGTAAGTCTCCATAACTTCTGGCCGTAAGATGTAGTATTTTTCATTTTGTCTTGTAGCGATGGCTTCAACACCACCATCAAATCTGAAAGCTTCTGGTCCCAGTTTCATAACTAAAGGACATGGAATGAATGAATAAGGGTTATTTTCCTGGACAGTGCTTACAGTCAATAACTTAAATGAAACTAGAAAGTACAGTCATCCCTCAGTATCTATGAGGGACTGGTTCCAGGACCCTCCGAGGATAACAAAATCCATGGATCCTTGAGTCCCTTATATAAAATGGCAAAGTATTCGCATACAACCTGGGTACATCCTCCCATATACTTTAAATCACCTTGTTTACTTATACTACTTAATACAGTGTAAATGTTATGTAACTAGGTGTTATACTGTATTGTTTAGGGAATAAAGATAAGAACAAAAACTCTATAAATGTTCACTACAGACAGAACCATCCATTTTTTGGGAACATTTCTGATCTGCAGTTGTGGAACCCAGGGATACGAAGGTCTGACTGTACTTTAACAACACTGAAGAGAAATGTCAAAGTAGTCATTTTAAAAACGAGTTATAAACATCATGTAATATATAATATTCATATACTTAAACAATTTAGTCATTGAAAAGAGTCCATTTTAGAAAATATTAACAATTTATTTTTTTCATTTAACCCCCATTTACTGAGCACCCACCAGGCAGATACAAGGCACCATGAAATACCATTTGAGTTAGCCAGAAACTTAGTGGTTGACAATCCTAAGTAATTTCGTAACAGAAGGCCAGTTATTTACACTTTGTGTTTCAAATTCCTATTTTATAAGAAGGGAGTGGGATTCATGATCTGTTTCATGGGGGATGTGGAGAAGATTAATAATGGTTAATAAAATGCTAAGTTTCTCTTTGCAGGGAGATAGAGACCCTTGCCCAATGTTATTGGCAAAAGCAGAAGTCAGTAAATTAGGCTGGCTTTAACTCTTTATGGCCTGGATTTTTGTTTCTTGGTAAACTAAAGGTAGATATTTTTAGGAAGAAAAGCATTGCCTTTTAAAATAAAATATACATTCCTTTGAGACATTAATCACGATCATCAAGCTTCATAGGCAGAGCGGATAGTCTTTTGAGGGCAGCAATGACAAAACTGCATTAAATCAAAGCATGTGGGAATAGACCATAAATGAAGAATAACATGTACTCACATGTTCGATTATATGATTCATGACAAGTACGGGCAATTTCAGCCCCGAGTTCAAGGTAGTGTTGGGCCATGCCTTCGGGAGCTGCATCAGCCCCGAGTGCGAACATGCCCCCCGCGAAGCAGGTCAGGTGGCCCATCTTGTGCTCCAGGAGGCCCCCTTTCCACTCTGCGATATAAGTTAGTCCGCTGCTAGACTTGCGGATCAAATGAGTCTCGATAGCCTGTGAAAAACACTTATTTTTTAACATTTTGTAATCTCTTCTCAAATTTATACTAAAAATATGCCCAACATTAAAAAAAAAAGAATAGAATACACCTGACAATCAGAGTTTGGTGTTAAAAATCCATTCAACCTGAAATTACATGCTATTGCTTTCTGTATTCCTCCTCTAGTTTATGCCTTATTTGTTTGATTAGTCAGAATTAACACTGCTGCGCCAGCACATTTGGTTTTGCTTGGTTCTGTGACCAAACATTGTATTCCTCATATTCAAAAAACTTTCTCCTTCCCAAAGACAGGCCACTGTGCAGCAGTAATAGTTGGTTTGGTACATTTTCATTTCCATAAGTGGTGAAATAACACAGCCCAGGCCCTAAGGTGGATGAAGAACACAGCATATTTGTGCATGAGATCCAGGATGGTGGCAGAACTCTTCCTTTCACTTCTGTAGGCTTGGAGGGATAACAAAATAGAGTGGCAAAGAGGAGGTGTTCTGGGGCCAGAAGACTTGGCTTCAAATTCCAGCTCTGACACTATCTCTAATTTGTGGGAGTGAACAATTTGCTTACTATATCTCTAAATCTCAGCATCCTAATCCATAAATGGGAACAACAGGATCTCCTGATACGACTCTGCCACATTTTGTTTATAAAGCAGTCACTAATGCAAGTGGCACTTGATAAGAGTCATTTATAATTATCATTTACATCTCCAAAGTGGTGACGCTTGAATCAAGTTCCTCTCTAATACTTCTATTAAAAAGCACACTATTATATAATGAATAAATGTATATATTTTAAAAATCAGAAAAATCTTTAAATTTGGGAGAAATGATAATGTTTACAAAAATGATTTATAAAACATCTTTTATTTCTATCCCAGGTCTGTTGATATTCTCTTAAACTAGACAGGTAAGTAAAATATGCCTTATATTTTAAAAAGCAAAAATAAAGTGTGTTTGGCATTGCTAATCTCCAATTACTCTAACAGAAAATGTTCTCCCCACTGCCCCACAATTACTTCATGGAAGGAAAAAGGACATGACTGTGTCTATACCTGTACACTGCTATCAAGAGAGAGGGATTTGTTAGGAAGCACATTTGGGAATAATAGACACAGAAAAAAACTTGTGATAGAGAAGAATGAATGAAAATGAACACACAGGAAGCTAAAACCTTTCCTACCTTTATTAGAAATAAACGAATGAAACCAAGATGGTAAGAAATAAATGAACATATTACTGTGCTCATTAACCGTGGTTAAGCTAATGTTATTGATGGTTTAGTTATTACATTAATATTTCATTCTTATTTTATGCGACTGAACATCTTAGCTATTTATACTTCTCATAACACAAATTGCAATAAAGTCCTTCAAGCAGATACTTGTTCATCACCTAAGAAATTATTCTTTCTACATGGCAAGAGTAGTAGCTTTTGAGGATGAATTAGAGAAACATTATTACCCTGTTATGGATCCTAAATAAAGTATTTCTGGCATGATTCGGACCAAGTTGCTACCTCCTAATAAAAACTACAATGAAATTCCAAGACCTTCAAAGCAATAATTTTGTGTGGCCATGGGAAATATAAATAAATACAAAGAAGGATAGTCTTTAGTAGATCTGAAAAAACTGTGTCAAGGATACAGATAATTGATTAGAAAAAAGAGTACTATATATTTTGTGATTTAATCCTTGTATAATTGATTTAAAAAACTGGTTTGATGAAGCCTTCAGAATCGTAAGTGTCTGATATGTCTTCTGCCCAGGTATCATTTGCCATTGTGAGTTCCTAGTGTAGTCTCCAGATAGGGCCATGATAGCCAGTTGAAAGCTCAAAATATTTTGTTATTAAAATAATCAAATAAAACATATCACTCTGGGATTAAATGCTTCCCAAAATCTACTTGAAGCTACAACAGAGTAGCCATATCTTCAGTAATCAATTGTCCAGAACAATAGTGTACAGCATCCTCCCCTTGGTTACAATAATCTTCTAAAGTACAACTTAGCAGAAATAAACTTTGCTGTATAAGACAATGCTACTTCTCAAAACAGAAATTTAGTTGTTCTAGCTTTGCTTTCTAAGTTGAAAATATACAGTGGATTGAAAATTAGCTTTTACTACTAAGAGAAGCAGGAAACACTTTGACTTCATTTGTTCTTAATGGATTTTCCTGTCAATGATTTGTCTGAATACAATATACTAAAAGTTGTGTGGGTATGGTTTTAGGAATTAGGAAGAAAATATTTCAAATAATATTTTAAAGCTGTCTTTTTTTGAACATCAAGATCTTAGACGGCCAATTTAAGATTAGAATAATTAAAATGTCTGCCAGTATGGTAATTAGAGGATGACAGAATGGAAACTATAAAATATGGAGAACTCCCCAGGTTAAAATCTGAAACCTCACAGCAATGAGGAAAAATAAACCTAAAAGAGGCCATGTGGATCATATCCTAGTTTGCTTTTGATGTTAATCATGTGCCTTTATAAAGGCTGTGCCAAATGTAGGCCAACGTTCTCACTAAGGCGCTTCTGGTTCCTACATGTGAAGTAGTGAAGACTTGTAAAGGAAACCAATGTCATACTCAGTGTAGTTAACCAGAACAAAGCAAGCTGCATTTATATTTAAATAAAAAAGTACGCCTATGTCAAAATAACCCAGACCTCTTGTTAGAAAGACCAATTTTATAATGGCTACATCTTTGGGATTACAAATTTCCATTTTTTTCCTATGAATTAACACTTTATTAAAAAATTTCTAAGCTGTCAAGAAAAATAAAATTTTTCTGAGGACTGAGCCACTATTTTACAACACTACTTGAGAAGCCTTGATAATAATATTAAAAGAATATATGTATTACCACATAAAATACTTAATCGCAAAAGCACCTGATTCCACTAAAAAATTTTGTTCCTGAAGAGTACAAATATTTTAGATAAAGTAATTTTCTTTCTAACTTTATTTACTTTCTAACTTTATTTTCGGTTTTGATTGAGGCTTAACTGGAGGTGTTTCTTAGTTTACTTTTATACTAGCCTCCTCCTAGAGACTTTAAGTAGTTTCTAACTTACCTTACTAACTTACTGCTTGCAAATTAGTAAATGAAGATTTAAGTGTAGAATGGAAATTCTTACAAATAAATCCACAGTGGATGAGTTAAAAGGAACAGGTGCTGATATAGACAAACTTTAATCTTAATTTTGGTTCGACATGTAATCTCTCTGAGGTACAGCAACTTTATCTGTAAAACTGGGTAATAATCTCAAGTACTGTGAGAGAGAAAAAAACCCAACTCCACCGCTTCATTTAAAGGAGCTACCTAACACACAGCTTAGCACATGGTAGGCAATTCAACACTCAACTGTTGCCTCTTACTTCTCCACTGTAAAGAATCTTTGATACTATTAATGATCTTCCCTGAAATATGAGTTTGTTCAGATTTTTATGTGTGGATTTCCTTAGAGTACTGTCCATTTATCTCTGGGGACAAGTTTACTTCACATGGAGGTAGCCATTGGGACTGTCTGTCTTCTCAGGCAATTTTAACTTAGGCAATTGTCAGAATACAAATTCAGGATTTCCCCCTGCATAATTTAAATTGTGGTCCTAAGGAGAGAATTCATATTTATCAAAGAATACTACTTTTTCAGATATGTGACTCTTAACTGAGGTTTAAACCATGCAAAAACTTTAACGGCCCTATTAGAAATAAACATCAAATATGATTACCATTATTACGATGATATTAGCAGATATCGAACTCTACCTAATTGGAAATACTTTGTAACTCACTCATGTAGTATACCACTTATTCATTAAAACTTGATTAATATACAAATTATAAGTTAGGGCTGAGTGGCAAAGATGATTTAAATATTGGGTTACCTGAACAGCATCAAAATACATCTTCTTAGCTTCCAGATCTGTCTTGTCAGACATTAACCAGGCCTTCAGCAAATACTCATAGAAGCTGTCTCCAAGTCCTCCAACTGATACATGATCTGGAAAGAGAGGGAAATGAATTTTAGAGTGATTCAGCTTTTAATTCAGATAATGCAGCAAAATCACATTAGCAACTAGGATGCAACCCTATGTCAACTGCAAGTCACTGTTACATTTAAATTCCAACAAATCTCTTATTTTCAGAAAGATATTCTGAAATGAGCAGATGGGCTATTAACTAATGTAACATACTCTAAATAATTACCAGAGTAGTTTTGTAAACATGGAAGATAAAAGATATGTAATTACCCCTAATTCTAAAAATCTGGTTCTCTAGTGAAAAACACCCAACTAAAATGTTCACAGTATATATTTAAATACATTTTTATTTGCTTTAGTTCTGAATAATATAAAATTCTGGCAAAGCTATGAGTATTAGCAAATCTTTTTTAGAAGGTGGTTTGTAATAAATAAAACAAGAAGCTCCTCAGGTTCTTGCCATTATTATTATTTCTAAACTCACTCTGTCACCCAGGCTGGAGTGCAGAGGCACGATGATAGCTCACTATAACCTCGAACTCCCGAGCTCAAGTGATCCTCCTGCTTCAGCCTCCCAAGTGGCTGGGACTACAGGCACGCATCACCACGCCAGGCTCATTTTTAAATTTTTTGTAGAGACGGCATCTTGCTATGTTGCCTCAGCTGATATACAACTCCTGGCCTCAAGCAATCCTCCCACCTGGGCCTCTCACAGAAGAGGGATTACAGGCATGAACCACTGTGCTCAGCCTATTATTATTTGATAAATTTTCTAGTGCTATGAATCTGAAGGGTCAAATACCTATGGGACAGGGGCAGTCAGAAAGGATATGGGGCAGAAGAAGAAGTTTTTCCTCCTAATACTCCATTCCTATAGTCCACCTTCACTGCCATTTATCATGCCAGATCCACTACACGTATTATCAACAATCTCACAACTGTAGGATAGGTATCTTCATTTTTTTTCTTTTTTTTTTTTGAGACGGAGTCTTGCTCTGTCACCAGGCTGGAGTGCAATGGTGCGATCTCGGCTCATGGCAACCTCCGCCTCCCAGGTTCAAGCTATTCTCCTGCCTCAGCCTCCCGAGTAGCTGGGATTACAGGAGCCCACCACCACACCTGGCTAATTTTTGTATTTTTAGTAGAGACGGGGTTTCACCATGTTGGCCAGGCTGGTTTTGAACTCCTGACCTGATGATCTGCCTGCCTCAGCCTCCCAAAAGTGCTGGGATTACAGACATGAGGCACTGCGCCTGGCCCAGAGTTCTAATGACAGTGCCCCTTCAATCTATTCCCCACATTAATGCCAGAATAGCCCTCTTAATACATGAATGAGATCACCCTTTACTCGAAGCCTTTCAATCCTGTGTGTTTGGTGCCATGCAAGATCTCAATCTTCTCTATGCCATTCAGTCTTGCTCCACTTGCTCTCTGCTCACTTGCTATAAAGCCCTTCTTTTGGCTCCTCAAAAACATCAGGTTCCATCTCATCTCAGGCAGGGCTTCTATAGGCCTTGTTCTCTCTGCCTGAAATGGACCCTAGGACCCCCTTCCCCTTCTTTAGTAGTTCTTACTCATACTTCGTATCTGGGACCAAATGACACTTCCTCAAAGGAGTGTTCTCTGACAATGCCACTAGGTTCCTTTGTCACACACTTTTTGGTAGCACACACTTATCACCTGTAATTTCATAATGTGGTAACATTTTCTTCTGTCTCCTCCACAAGATTATGAACCAAGAGGGCAGAGACCAGACCTATTATGTTTCCCAGTCCACCCCAGCCCCTGGAAAGTGTCTTGCACATGGTAGGTACTCAACAAATAACTGACGAACAAAGCAAAATTCTTCTATGTCAACCTTAATAAAGGGCTGTAACTACTCAAGCTAAAGAGCCATGTTTTAAAGTAGTTAAGTATGTGATTTTCTTTTTGCAGAAAGTGTAGAATTATAGTTTAAATTTTAGTGTAAAAATATATTTTAAAAATTCTAAGTCTGATTCTTGAAGTGACCTTTACAGTTTCCTAAATCAACACAGAAACCTCTGACATTTACAAACTAAATAGACTAAGTACGAACTCATCAATAATAAGCCCTGTTGTTATCAACATGATTGTAGGAGACACATGCAAGTGATGCGTGGAAAAGCAAATCATGGTTTGGCATTGTCAAAACAACACTGACTCGATGAAGTGATAGGAAATGATGGCCAGGATCCAGACGTGTCATTTGGAGTTAAAGCAATGAGAGCTGAAAACCAATGGCCAGAAGCAGCTTGATGTTTTCCTCCCCTTGGGTTATGATTTTCTAATAGACGGAAGAAGCAAGTTTGAGCAGCTGGGGATTTTTTTTAAAAAAGAAAAAAGTGTTATATAAGAATACATTTGTTTTAATTAATTTTGGTAAGTGCTAGTTTTCTATTTTTAAAATTTCCTGCCTATAAAAATTTCACATTAAAAAAAAAAAAACAAGACAAAGGAACGTAGAAGAGAAACAGGTCTTCTCATTAATTTAGCATGTCACTCACTAAGCTTCCTTCAGGCCTGGATGGCTGTTTGTCAACACAGTCCTGTGTAAACATCTTAGTGGATGTCGGGGAGAGCAGGCCCGAATTTATCAGCAGGAAAGGATCAACCTACTTCTGGAAATAACATAATATGGTATTTTTATGTCCAACTGCTCTAAAGGTGAGGTGTACTGTAGTCAGTCAAATATTACGCTCTTCTCTGAAGGAGTAATTTATTCTTTTCTTCATAAGAATAGGTCCCATAAAAGGATTTCTAATATCTAAAAAAGAGAAAAAGCAAGTAGCAAAAGAATCAAGACAAAGAAGAATTAAAATACTCAATATCTCCCTTTTAAAATTTTTGTTGACTTCATCTGAATTTCTCTCTTTGAAACAATCCCCCAATGATGCTAGTGACACTACACATAGCTAGCTAGACTAGATATAGATAGATGGATGGCTGTTATAGAAATCAAGGGATGATAAATACTCTGTGTACAGACAGGAAACCCTGCCATCTGGCCTCAATAGTAACAAGATCAGTTCATATTATCAGTGACCAGGACCGGATACTGCCTTTCAGCCACAACTGAGGAGCAGGGGCAACTGCTAAAAGAGAACAAGCAGAACAACCATTAAAAGCAGAGGCAGGTCCAGCGTGGTGTTTCACACCTGTAATCCCAGAACATTGGGAGGCCGGGGAGGGCGGATCACCTGAGGTCAGGAGTTTGAGATCAGCCTGGCCAACATGGTGAAAACTCATCTCTACTAAAGATACAAAAGTTACCCTGGTGTAGGGGCGGGCACCTGTAATCCCAGCTACTTGGGAGGCTGATGCAGGAGAATCGCTTGAACCTGGCAGGTGGAGGGAGCTGAGACTGCACCACTGCACACTACCCTGGGCGACAAAGTAAGACTCCGTCTCCAAAAAAGAAAAAAAAAAAAAGGTAAGGGGCAAAAAGATAGATCAGATACAGAGCACATATGTATTCACAAAATTCAAGTAAGTAAACACCTACTAGGTGCAAGACACTGTGTACTGGCTTAGTAAATATGACTAAGACATGGTTACTACCCGCAAAAGCTTTGGATCCTTAGGAAGATGCATATGGATGTGAATCATCAGGAAAAGGTTTGTGATAGGAAAGCACTCAAAGCGCTGGGGCAGGGAAAGAATAGAGGAAAAGTGGATGCTAATAAATCCCAACCGGAGCACTGAAGAGGGGATCCTGGAAGAAATGGCAATTGAGCTGGGTCTTGAGAGGTGGGAGGGCTAAGGAAATGGCACAAGCAAAGACCTGAACATGGCCAAGCAGGCCTCGATTGAAGAATAAAAAAATAAGTGTGTTTTCCTCTGGCTAGAACACAGAATGGGGGTTGGGGCAGGAGAGAGAGCTAAGACTCATCAATCCTGTTTTGTTTTTTGTTTTTTTTTTCCATCAGGAAATTGGCCCATAAGGAATCTAAATATAAAGGGCTCTTTGTACTAGGAAACATGGCCAAATACATAGCATACAGGTGACCCAGAAGGTGAAGCGGAGATGTTCCAGTACAACTGGCTCCTTCTGTCCCCCTTCATAGCAGCTTCTAAATCCTAAATCATAGGAAGGAAACAGTAAATGAAGGAGACTTTTCTTCAGCTTTTGAAATGTGTGGTGAGGAATACTCCAAAAATGCTTGTGCTTTTAGAGAATCACATCCTGTCACCTTATACTTAGAAAAATATACAAGGGCCAGGAGCGTGGCTCACGCCTGTAATTCCAGCACTTTGGGAGGCCAAGGTGGGCGGATCACCTGAGGTCAGGAGTTCGAGACCAGCCTGGACAACATGGTGAAACCCCCATCTCTACTAAAAATACAAAAATTAGCTGGGTGTGGTGGTACATGCCTGTAGTCCCAGCTACTCGGGAGGCTGAGGCAGGAGAATTGCTTGAGCATGGGACAGGGAGGTTGCAGTGAGCTGAGGCTGTGCCACTGCACTCCAGCCTGGGTGACAGAGCGAGACTCCCATCTCAAACAACAAAACAGAAATATACACAAGTTGTTTTATCCCTAGTCCTCTGGTGGCCCTCAAACTGTTGAGTCTCAGCACCCTTTTGTAATCTTCAAAAGAAATGGACACCCCAAATAATTTATGTAAATAATACCTATATTTACTACATTGGAAAATTAAAATAATTTAAAAATATTTTCGTTACCTCGTTTAAAATAATAATTACATGCCCATTATGTTAACATATACAATTTTTCAAAAAAGTTATATTTTACAAAACAAAACAAAAAATTAGTGAGAAGACTGACACAATTTCACATTTTTGCATATCTCTTTCTTGTTTGCCTTGACAGGAGACAGCTGGATACTCATGTCTGCCCTACTTTCAATCCTTTGCTATATGTTGTTTTGGCTGTAATACATCAAGACAAGTCAGCCTCACACAGTAATACAGTCAGAAAAAGAAAGGATATTTTAACAGGCTTTTCACACAATTGTGGATATTTTTCTTTGATATTACAACAATAGTCAACAAGTGGTTTCTTTTTTAAAGGTTAATTGCATTGTAAAATTAGAAATTACATCAATGAATTTTCGTATTGTTACATTAAAAGCCACTGGTCTATCTTGTACTTTACACAGATTGTTTTCCATATATGATCTTATAATATCATGCTTTGGTCATTTGGAAAATCCTGGCTCACTGAACTATGCAGATCTTTCAAATATTGACCCATTCCATTATACAATATCAGAAAACCACATTTGTTAATATCATCATCAATCTAACAGGAAAAGTATTTGTGTCAAGCTCATGGTAGCATGTACAAGTTTTCCAAAATTCTATTTTTTATTTAGAAACTTGGATTATAATCATTGGCACAAATACTGTGACTTTTTCTTGAAGTGACAAGCTCATTTTCAAGAACATGGCTCCTGACTACCTAGCCTAAATAATCATTTTTTAAATTGTTCTTTCAAGTAAAAATGTTGAATCTGTGAAACAGTAAGTGGCTAGCTCAGCTTGCAACTCAAAACACCCAAGAGCTTTTCCTTGATGCAACTATCATTTTTCATAATTCAGCAGGAGTGATTTATGAGTATTTTCCATTTCACCTCACAGAACATGACAAAGGTGTGTACTCACAGGTTGGTATTTATTAGAATCACTAATTTTTTTTTTTTACTGTTTCAGTAAGCACATTCATAAGTGAAACCAGTATCCTTTTTTAAAATGCTATTAAGAATACAATGGGGGCTGGTGTGGTGGCTCATGCCTGTAATCCCAACACTTTGGGAGGCCAAGGCAAAGGGATCGCTCAAGCCTAAAAGTTTGAGGCCAGCCTGGGAAATATGAGACCTTCTCTCTACCAAAAAAAAAAAAAATTAAAAATTGGCTGAGCATGGCATCGTGCACCTGTAGTCCCAGCTACTCGGGGCGGGGGGCCGAGGTGGGAAGATAGCTTGAGCCCAGCTTGAGCCCAGGAGGCAGAGGTTGCAATGAGCTGAGATTATGACACTGTACTCCAGCCTGGGTGACACAGTGGGACCCTGTCCCACAAAAAAGAAAAAAAAAAGAAAAAATATGAATATTAGTACTATTTGGTGTTTGTTCGCCTTTGTTCTCAGTGAGGCTTCAGCAGTATCACCTAACACTGTAGGTGTAAATATCAACACATTAGAAAAGGCAGAAAGTCTTTCAAAGTACCACTATTAAAAGCAGAGGCAGAAAGAGAGATGAGATACAGAGCACATATGTATTCACAAAATTTAAGTAAGTAAACATCCACTAAGTGCAAGATACTGTGTACTGGCTTAGTAAATATGACTAAGACATGTATTATATGTCTTGTTATTATATATCATTATACTAGTATTATAATAAAAATATTTTTGACCTTGTGGGCCTCCTCAGAGGTCTCAAGGACTTCCAGTGATCTGTTGACCACACTTAGGTAAGTGGTAACCTTGATTATAGTCCTAAGGTTTCAACAGCTAGGCCTTCCAGAGCTACAGACATATTTTAGCATATGGATTTTGGCATATACTTTCCTATTAAACTATTCTTTAAGAAAAGTACTTCTAAAGTAATAATGAGGTATCTAAGAACATGATATTAAAATATAAAGAAAAAACCCAAATTAGAGTAAAATCTTAAGGCAGTGTACTCTTGCTACAGTTGGGTATCTCAATATTCTTCACTTGTTTTCAGCTATTTAATCTACTACTGTTTTTCCAAATCAGCTTGAGAACATTTCTTTCAACTACTCTGAATCTTTATGCCCCTGCTCAAAATCGTCTGAAGAGTCTTAAGTGCAGGCTTCTAGGATCAAAAGTTCTTGTGCAATACTTTCTCCCATCCTAAAGGTAATTCTACTGGCAAGAAACCTTTATATCTGGCAGCTTAAAATTAAGAAGAGAAAAACAGGCTGTTTGCTCTTCCAATTTCCCAACTCTTAAAAATTCAGGCTCCTCTCTCATTATATAGCCATGCAGAAACAGAATGTTAGGAAGCAGAATGGTCTACCTACTCTCTATAAAACCCTCATAGTCATTAGTACAAAGGAATGAATTTCCTTTCTATCCACATGACCAGCTTGTTACAGATTAACATCCCCACACTACTCTGGCCAGATCTTCCCTTTCTGATTAATAGCTGTAAATGTGCTTATATGTCATCACACTTGGAGTTATATATGAAAAATACACAATCCAGTGTCCTAATAACACAATCTGATGACAGAAGCCTGTTTATTAAAGGAGCCATGCCCTTTTCTCCTTTTCTAAACATTTCTCAACAAAATCTGTGCTGCTTTTGTGCTTCCTCTCTCTCCACGAGTACAGTACCAAAAAGAGCTATAATAATGCAAATCTTCTGACTTACGTTGACCCCACTGTCCACTACTGGGATTCAGATAGTTAGGATAAAGGCCTTGTGGTTTTTCCAGTTTGTTCAGTACTGTTCGAATATTCATTACCTATAATAGAAAATAAAATGTTACCGTGAAAATCTAAAAAACAATTTTCATGCCATTCTTCTTCTTCTTGAACATACAAGTTGACTTAAATGATGCAGAGTTAGAACAAAGATAACTGCTGTTAGCTTATTATTACAAACATAATGGCAGTAAGTGAATATAGTCACACTGATTAGTTATCTACCATTAGCCAGATGCCATACTAGGAACAAGGGGCCAGTGGATAAACAAAGTCACCACACTCTTAGAATTGTGCATCCTAGTGGGACGGGACAGACAATAAATCAATAAGTCTAGTCATGTGTCCCTTAATGACAGGGATACATGCTGGGAAACACAGGCAATTTAATTCTTGTACAAACATCATAGAGCACACTGTCACAAATGTAGTTGGCACAGCCTACTGTTTCTAGGTTACAAACCTGTGTAGCATATGTTACTGTACTGAAGTATTTGTGTATCTAAACACAGAAAAATACACTATAAAAGATGAAAAATGATACCTTTCTATAGGGTTATACATTTTATAACCCTATACATAAATACAGGGCACTTTGTATAGGGCATTTATCATGAATGAAACTCGCAGGACTGGAAGTTGCAGTGGATGAGTTAGTAAGTGAGTAATAAGTGAATGTGAAGGCCTGGGACGTTACTGTATAGTACTGTAAACTTTATAAACATGGTACACTTAGCCATTATTAATACATTTATAAAAGTATTTTTCTTTCAATAATAAATTAACGTTAGTTTACTGTAATTTTACTTTATAAACTTTTTAATTAAAAAAATTTTGACTCTTTTGTAATAACCATTAGCTTAAAACACACTTTGTATAGTTGTACCAAAATATTTTCTTTCTTTATATTCTTATAAGTTTTTTCTATTTAAAATTTCTTTTTAAAGTTGTTTAACTTTTTAAACTTTTTGTTAAAAACTAAGACACATATACACATTAGCTTAGGACTCCACAGGACCATCAATATCACTGTCTTCCACTTCTACATCTTATCGCACTGGAAGGTCTTTCAGGGGCAGTAGCACGCATGGAGCTGTCAACTCCTGTGATGATAATGCCTTGAAGAGGAATACCTCTTGAAGGACCTTGCTTCTAGAGCTAACTTAAAAAAAAAGTGGTACATTCTAAAATAACAATAAAAACCATAGTAGTACATAAATCAGTAATGCAGTCATTTAATTATCAAATATTATGTACTGTACATAATTATATGTGCTATACTTTTATGTGACTGGGAGTAGAGTATGTTTATGCCATCACCACCACAAACATGTAAGTAACGCATTGCACTACGACATTATGACAACTATGATGTCACAAGGCCGTAGGAATTTTGTCAACTCCATTATAAACTTACAGGACCACTGTCACATATGTGGTCCACTGTTGAATAAACACTGTTAAGTAACACCTAACTGTATAGTATGTCAGGAGATGATAAATACTGTGGAAAAAAATAAAAGGGTGCTATGGATTGAACTGCATACCCCTAATTTCATATGCTGAAACCCTACTTCCCAGTGTGATTGTATTTGGAGATTTATTTGGAGATGGTAATTAGGTTATGACGGTAGAGCCTTAAATGGGATTAGTGCCCTCATGAGAGACACAAGAGCTCTCTCTCTCTCTCTGTGACTCCTTCTCTCCCTCAGAGCACAAAGAAGACATCATGTGAACACACACTGGGACAGTTCTCGTCATCTACAAGCCCAGGGAAGAGGCTCAGAATAAAACCTACCTCATGGGCAGTTTGATCTTGGATTTCCCAGCCTCCAGAACTGTAAGAAATAAATTTCGGTTGTTTCTGGCTGCATTTTTGTTATGGTAACCCGAGCTGATTGAGAGTTAACGGGACAGGGTGATGTGGAGAGGCTATCCCATGTTAGTCAGAGTGGCCTGGCAAGGCGGAGGTGTTTGAGCAGAATATTAAAGAAGTGAGGGAGTAGGCCACGTGGAAATGTGGAGGAAGAGCACTCGGAACAGAGAGAGGAGCAAGTACAAAGGCCCTGAGGAGACAGCAGGTTTGCAATGCTACTGAGGCCAGAGGTGAGGAGACAAAGGGGAGAATGTCAGCAGGTAGAGGAGAGGAGAGCCAGGGCCCAGGTCACCCAGGCCCCACAGGCCACAATAAGGGCATATTTTACTCTGAGTGTCATGAGAAGGCTGAGGGGGTGAGGAAGGGGTGGTCAGGTGGCTACTGTATGGTGTACATACAGTACACCAGGTGACCTGATGGATCCCAGATCAGGACAGCAGTAGAGGCAGTGAGACACCCAAAGGATTTCTTAGTGGACTGGGCCTGGGGTTTACCAAGAAGAAGAACCAGGAGGAGACCACTGGGTACAGTGAGATGTCATTTACCAAGATAGCAAAGACTGGAGAAGCACGTCTAGGCGTTAAGTCCGAGGCATTTTAAGTGGGACTTGTCTATCGGGCCTCTTAGTGGAGATGTTTAATAAACAGATATAGAGTCTGGAGTTCAGGGGACAGGTTGGGACTGAAATAATAAACTTGGAGTCTAGAGTATAGAGATGGTATGTAAAGCCCAGAGACTAGATGCAACAATGTAGGGAGTGAATATCAACAAGCAGAGGCACAGGATTGAGTGCTAGGGCTTTCCAATATTTAGAGGGTGGGGTGTTGAGGAGGACACAAAAAAGACAGAAGGAGCATCCAGCAAAAGAGGAGACAAACTGGGAGAGTATTACATGCCAAGCGCGAAGTGTATCTCAGGAACGAAGAACTGACTGTGTCGAATGCTAAGAGGGCAAGGAAGATGAAGGGGAGAATGGTAAGTGGCTTTGGCACTGTTGTGCTCACTGGTCACTGTGACAGGTGTGGCTGGGGGAAAAGTCCTACTGGAGCAGGTTCAAGAGACTTGAAAAGTAGACAACAGGGACGACTCTTTCAAGCAATTTTACTGTAAAGGGAAGCCAAAAAGCAGGTTGAAAATAAAAGTAGAGTGATGGGGGGAACATGAATTTATCCAAATATTTGGTTTGCTTTCGGAAAACGAGGGACCAATTCAGCTGCAACATCACATTTGTACGACACTTTCAGTCTGTCTTTCACATAGTTGGCTCATGCAGTGCATTTATTACTAAATATTTTTAGATAAGGAAACAAACTTCAGATGAGTTAAGTAACTAACTTAAGGTAAAGGGAACCAGAGGTGGAAGCTGTGCCCTCACATCCTGAACTAGAGTGGTGCACTGGAAAGGCTGTAGGTTTACAGTTTGGCTAAATGAAATGCTGCATGTTGCAAAACTTCAGAAAGAGCTATAACAAATTTGGTTATTATTTCCACTTCAAAAATTCCTAAACCTTCTCAGAGACAATACTGTTTCTCATAAGTGTTGCTTTGCAGGCCAAGGCACATTGAAGAATCTCACCTTTTCAGCAAAGATGGGGTTTCCTGATAAGTGGCTCAAGTGCATAAACTCCAAATGCAGGGTTCCAAATTCTGCCAGAATACTGCTGCCTCCAGAGGCCCAGGGCCAGTTCCTTCCAATACCACTAAAGAAGAGATGACGTCGAAGAGTTATGGGTCAGATTAACTCCGTTTTTCACTATCTAAATAGCAGACATGAAATAGACAGCTTTTAAAAAAAGGCATCCTAGCTAATAGTCCACTCTAGATATTATAAAACCAAGCACTGTCTTCTTTGGCTACCAGTTTTAGGGTTTGTCTCCTATCTCCAAATTGAAAATTACTGTTGACTTAATTTAGAAAAAAGCTGCTGAGTACTTGCTGTTGGTGAACACACAAATCTTTTGGAAAATACAGGTGCTATATAGATGCATAACCATTCCACATAGAATATAAAAGAAAATCTGACCAAAACACTCCCACCATGCCCAAATGCCACATAAAGCTCTTCAACATTTTAATTTCAGCCTAAGAGACCAAGGAATTTTGGACATTCACATTATATACAAAATTTTATGTGGATAGAAGATAAATTTCAAAGATTCACTAATTATACACTCACTTCATCCCTCTCCAAATCTTCCTGCATTTACCAGACTTCCTTTCTTACGTGTATCTTCACACTATTTTATCTTTTTCTAAGCATATTACCTAAGGTGCTAACTCATTCTGTACTCTATATAACCTATGATCAAGAATCTCAACAAAATTATGTTATAAAAATCTGGAAAGGTGAAAGCCATGAGCTTCAGAAATTACTGCTTCATGGCCTTTCTTGGAGAAATGCTTTTTTAAAAAACTAGGCCTTTTAAAAAAGTTATAAACATACATACATACAAATACACATAAAGTGACTCCTGAGACATGGCAGTACTCTTGGGTACAGTTTATTTCTGAAGAGCCACTTAACACTTCAAGAAAGATGTGGTAATTCAAAAGAATAAAGTTCGTTATTCTCCTAATAAATTCCCTTTCTGATAGCTAAAATCCTACACTTTTAGTTTAGATGCACATTTAGTGCATGCCTACTATTTGCTAGGACTATACATGGCATTGGGTTACAAGCATGGTTATGATAATCAATCACTTTTTCTCAAAGACCTAATAGTGCAATGACAGAACAAGAACTAAGCATAAATAGTTCCAATCACACATGATGAATGCCGAGATAAATGTGTGAAGAGTTCTCTGAGCATCTAAAGCTGGGACACACAATCCAGCGTAGTGGGGATGGATCACAGAAGACTTCTTCAAGGAAGAGACTCCTGAGTTGATTCTTGAAGGGCAAGTACGAGTTGGTGAGGAAAAAATGATGAGAATCTGGGCAAGGGAGAACACACGAGCAGAGGGGCTGGCCAGGAACCAGAGGCAGCTGTTACACTGCAGAATGGAGGAAAGGAAGGTTGGTGGGAGAGAAGGCTGGAAGGACAGGTTGGAGCCAGGTCTTAATGGCTTGTGGAATTCTTGCTTTCCTCTCTTTCTAAGGTAGACCCCATCAAAATGCTCTTGGTGTCCACCCCCACTTTGTTTTTTGCCATGTATCAGTCACAGCTCTGGGTAAACCCTTTCAGTCCTGTCCTGGCGTCTGCTGCCAGGCTGCTGAGGAAGAGAGAAACCATGAGGATTACTGGCGCTTGCAGTCCTGGGCTCGCCTCACTCTCACTTCCTGCTCCTTTCTACAGCAAAACCTAGAGTTTCCTCCAAAACACTGATATACAGTACATCTAAGAAAAAGTAAAGAGAAATAAGACACAGAGATCTGAAAATGATATATTCATTTATTTTACAAAATGCCCTAAATTTATTAGGCTCTGGGAATGTGAGTCAGGTTTTATTTTCATAGTTGGCTTATAAAAAAGAATTTCCAATCATCCAAATAGGATGAATAGCTACTTTCAAAGTTTACTAACATATGGCAAATGCACATGGTAATTGGTCATTAACTAGTTGTCATGACATATCACTGTTTTATTCCAATCACTCCATCACTGACTAACGTCAATAAGCCTATTTAGCAAAACTACAAATTTCTGTGGTCTGGAGAAATATTAAAAACAAAGCTGCGACATAAGGCAATATCAGGGTAAGAGGAGATGATGACTTTATCCTGGAAAAGAAAGAGAACACAGTGTTGAGGAAGCCCAGCCCGCCTTCCAGATCTTCAGGGACTGGTTAAGTTTGGGGATTAGAGCATGTGGTAGCACACTCAGATGAGAAAGTTAAGCAATATATATGTACTAAATGAAACCTCAAATTACTTTGTATCCATGTATTTGTTCTCTGCCATTAATGTGGTGAATCGAGAAAAATCCAGAGATATACTGGAAAAGCATTCAATACGTTTAGAAACATTTCTTAACATTTAATTTAAAAAGGGTTAAATTTATCCTTCCTTCCTCTTTGTACACATTCATATCAGAAGGAAAATGGTACTCTTTTCTGTCACCACCCCCCCAACCCCCAACCACGGAAGCAAGAACATTAAAATCACTAGCAGAGGAAATGTTATACTAATAGAAAGAAAACTGGATTTAGAATATAAAGTATGTTCATATGAAAGGACATCTTTGGTTACCATTCATTCAGTCTGCAGAATTAATGTATTTCAGTTAGATTACTTATGAGATCAACGGTTCTACTGGCTCTTTATAAGTCAGGGAAGGGGTTCAAGAAATTAGAGATGGCACAACTATAGACATTAGATGAGGACATGGGGCACACATCTATCTACCACATGCCGCCACAGCTGAAATGTGTCTGTGTGTCTCAGAGAAATGGCTGCCTCCTGTCTTGCATAGCAAGCATGTAAGCTTTGGTCACTCACAGATTGAGGGAGATGAACTGAATGATTTCTAAAGTCATTTTTGTCTTTTAAATTCTATAAATCTACTGAGGAATCTATGTGTTTATAAGGCTTTAATGTTTAGAATGATGTATGGACATGGGCATTTGACACTCAAATGGGGGGGTTGGTGACAAAGGGAAATGAGGCCAGAGTAAGAGTTCAGCTCCCTTGGTCTGGTGGAGAGGGGGTCACAGTGTCTCGGGCATTCCCGGTTACCAAAGGTGAGGCTGGGCCAAAAACGAATTTTATCTATGGCAGTGGGAGATTTAAAATGTCTCTAACTTCAGTTCCATTATGACAGTATTTTAAAGACAGCTATGGTGTTATCTGGTCTATTTTATAAAAACTAATAATATTTAGAAAAATATTTTAAAGATAAAATAATAATTTGTGTTCAGAAACCATTAGTTCCATAAGACAGGCATGAAAGGAAAAGATATTTAAATATTACCAATCTTGTTACAATGACTACATTTCAAGCCAAGACGACAAGTTGGCCAGTGGAAATATATACACAAAAAGGCAATAAATGTGGTCTGGGGAGCTGCCAAGTGTTTGGTTCAAAGGATTCTGCAGCAGAACTTCCAACTTCTACATCACTCTAATTATTTATTTCTGTTTCTTCCAATTCCTACTTCTTCCATTTTAAATTGGAGTATTACTTAATGTATATGTTTCAATTTTTAAATTTTCAGTATTCTATAAAGGTAATAAATATTTAAAAAGAAATATATCACAACTAAAATAATAGATTTTGGCAACTATAATTAGAAACATCTCTTTAAAGGAATTGAGTCACTATGATCTTTTGAAAGTGTGGAATGCTTTTGTTGCTTTGGAGGCTATAATTTGAATGTAGTTTATTAACTGTGGTAATACATTTCATCCTACTTTACTCAAAAACAAGAAGGCATAATTATTTACAGACCTCAGAGCTCTGATAGCAATGGGCTTTATGTGCTTTTCCTCCTGTCTTCTGGGAATGGTTAATAGGGCTGGAGGAAGGAACCACAGTACTAATGGTGCTAGTCTATTCATATCTGAATCCTATGGGAGAGATGCTAACTCTTTTCCTAGAGCCCGTAATGATTCAACTAGTTGGAGGATTGCTCTGGATTGATGGTGTATTCTTTCAAAATAATCTTAAATTAAGGTAACTCAAGGTACAGGTTGCTGTGTGTGATGCATCATTCCAGTAATCCCAGCACTTTCGGAAGCTGAGGCAGCCAGCCCACTTGGGTTCAGGAGTTCGAGACCAGCCTGGGCAACATGGTGAGACCCCATCTCTACAAAAAATACAAAAATTAGCTGGGCATGGTGGTGTGCACCTGTAGTCCCAGCTACCTGGGAAGTGGAGGCAGGAGGATCACTTGAGCCTGGGAGGTGGAGGTTGCAGTGAGCTGATTGCCACTGCACTCTAGCCAGGGTGATAGAGTAAGACCCCGTCTCAAAAAAAAAAAAAAAAAAAGGTATAGGTTACAGTGACTGTCCCGATACAATTTGGATCATTAACAAATATATTTGGCTACCTATTATCATCAAATGTACCAGATAATTTATAGAACTGAAGCAATTCTAAAAATTGCCAGATGAATATATAAACAAAGCATTAAATAGTTATAAAGTCTTGATTAGCTATGACTTTCGATTTATTCTTCCTCACTGCTTGCTATTTTATGCAAAATGGGAAATGAACCAAAAATAATTTTCTTGAGAATTCTGGTTTGAATAATTTCTGAGCTGTAAACAAACTTCATTCAAGTTCATAGTCCAGAATATAGCTGACTCCTTGGGGTTATACAGTTATCAATTTTTGGAAGAAAAATACTCCCTCACATCCCATACAATTATTGCAAAGGTTCAGTCATGTATGCAAACAGAATGGCAAACAGGGATATTTAATTCAAAAGAGCAGATAATCCAACATTATTCCTTTTGGATTTTAGCACAGATTGGGAAAGAATAATCAGAAATTTCATCAACGATTGCGTCATTTAGCTGTATTCTCAAAGTGAATTGATTTTTAGATAAAGCAATTTGAGCTTCACTTACAAACGCGTCCTTCCTGAAAAGGTTTGCACAGTGCTGATCTTTCAAATTTACACTCTTAGGACCTCACTAAGACCTGGAATAACAATTCCAGGGGACTGGCATTCTAAGACTAGCCACGATTCTATTGCAGCTTGCAGAAACTGACTGTGGAGGACTATTTCCCAATGACTATCTCTCTGGGGAAAGGTGGCTAATAGAGGGCAGCTATTTACTGAATTAACCCATAAACCCCAGCTTCCTGCTTTCAAACAGCAGCAGGGTAAATCTCCACACAACTTTTTAACTAAGGGCCAAAATAATGTTTAAAATTAGTCATATCTTGCTCCATCTCATCACGGGTAGTTGTTTTAGACAGAGCTGAAACCGAAGATGTAACAATTTAGTTTACTCTTGACTCGCAGTACTGCTGTTCTTACATCTGACTACCTTGGGCTGTGCGGGAAGACGGGGGTTATGAAGACAAAGATGGCGAGAGGCACTCTCTGATTCCACAAATAACCTGCTCCTGAGAGGTTCAAAGATGCCACATTTCTCGTTCCCATCTATCTTTTGGGTAAGATCTCCTTGCTAACTTCTATCAACAAATTGCAGATAAGTCGAGTGCAGTTTCTGTCCAGTTACTGGGCAAGTTGGGATATTCTATCAATAGCTTCAGAGAACACCACCAAAAAGGCGAGCAGAACTGATGAAAAAGCAGTTTGGTGTATTTAGATGGGCATGCATATACACCACTTAAAAAAAAATCAGTCCTACATGCTGCTTTAAATATATACTGCATTTTTCACAAACATTTTCCATGCCAATCAACATACATCATTATTGCTGTTGAGTGCATACTATCTGACTAAACAGATACATTATTTAAAAAAATTTTCCAAGGATATATTCCGATTTATTTAAACTCACTGCAGCACTGGACACTGAAGCTAATTTATTTTTATGTTTTTGCCACTATAAACAATTCAGTGGTGTCTAGTTTCTTTTTTTTTCATTCCTGTCATGTTTATGAATCATTTCTTTTTAAAGCTAACTTATGTTCAGACAAAAATGTCTACAAAGATGCCAGCTGGAAGATGTCAGTTTAATTATCTAAACTGATAATGAGGAAGGACTTGGGAATGTGTATTAGAGACATAAACATCCACTACTTACAGAGCTATTTCTCTTTCCAGTGTGGGCCAATGATATCCCACCTCATATGGTAGCCTCCATAGCCCTTGGGATATTGCACATCCACCTGTTGTAAATCATCATATTGAGTCTTTTTAAAACTGGGGAGGAGAAATCTACACACAATCATTTATATCAAGATATTTTTCTAATAAGCTTCAAGTTGGAATAGAAGCATAGTATATTCCATCTTCGGAAATAATAATAATATATGAAGTTAGTTTGCCAAACATCTCTTAAAATTTCCCCTTACTTTGATTTTAGATACAACTGTCCCATCACTGTAAGAGTTAAACACATATTTTCATTTCAAGACAGTACTTAAGACACTAACACCATAGTGAAATTTGGCTATGTTTTCCATCTCTGTCTTTCATTCTATGGGTCTGTGGATCATCTATGGCTTAAGACACATGAAATCAGTACAGACTTCAGGCTTTTAGTAACTCTCCAAATTCTGTCCTATGGTCTCTTACTGTAGCCAGTGTGGCCAGTATTACTTGCTTCTCCTAGTTTCTAAGATCATCAGCAACAGATATCTGTGCATCACGCACATGTTTTATCCCAAAGTCTACAGCAGTGCCAAGAAAACAGCAGTGCTCAATACATGCTTAATTTAATAAAACCGAAAAGCAAAAACAAAGAGGTTGTGTCATTGGCTCCCACCCTAAACTTACATCTAGATAATCTAATCCCATATTTAGTGTCACCACATACATGCCCCTCTTATAGCCAATTTAAGGAAAACTTCCTCTTCCAGGCTGATCCCATGATTTACCATCACAAATTTGCAATGGTCTGAAGTGACTTCTAAGAGTCAAGAAAAGGTGAAATGAGGAAAATAACAACAGGGTGGTAACTTCTTATGAAGGCTTAAATTTTATTCAATTTAAATGATTGTCTTTTATTCTGAATCTCTGTCCTTCCTACTTTTGTGATGTTAAGCTTATCTTTTTTTTTTAAATGAAATAATAGTAGGAATTTTTTTTTTTTTTTGAGATGGAGTCTCGCTCTGTCACCCAGGCTGGAGTGCAGTGGTGCGATCACGGCTCACTGCAACCTCCACCTCCCAGGTTCAAGCAATTCTCCTGCCTCAGCCTCCTGAGTAGCTGGGATACAGGTGCCCACCACCATGCCTGGCTAATTTTTTGTATTTTTAGCAGAGACGGGGTTTCACCATGTTAGCCAGGATGGTCTCGATCTCCCAACCTCATGATCTGCTCGCCTCAGCCTCCCAAAGTGCTGGGATTACAGGTGTGAGCCACTGTGCCCGGCCAATAGTAGGTTTTTTTTTTTTGGTATACTTTTTAAATGAAATAAAAACATTGGTAACCTAAGGCCAATCTCTCAATAATTAGGAAAATTTTTACCTTGCCCATGAAAGCTACAAGTCTGGCACCATTAGTCTCAGGGCCCAGCTGAATTACCAGAGCAATTACTATTGGAAAGAACAGTTTACTATCAATTATACCAAAAGTAATGGTAGTTTTTGGCAGAAATTCTGAGGCATAAAGGCCAATATTAAGTGATTCTGTTCAACAGGTTAAAAAGTAAGCACTTCGGGGATGCATCTTGCCAAACTCAGCAACTTAAGACTGAGCCAGTCAGTCAGGCATAATTTACTGAGTGCTTACTCTATGCCCGTTACCGTGCCATCCAAACACCAAACACCCTAGGAAATATGCTCAGGTTATTTTTGATGACCAAGATATCCTACCCTGAAATGCTGGAGGATTGGGGTCTCAATTGCAACTCAATTAAATTTTGTTCTGGCAGCTGAGTAGAGGAAAAACAGTTTTTGGAAAACCATTTCTGTTCCTCCTCTGGGCATTACTTAGCCAAGATCAAGAGGGTCTAATTAAACTTCTATAAAATAAACTGAACTTCATCTGACTGGTATATGAAACACACTGATATCTTATTACCCATTTCAGCAGATCCTTACTGTAGGTCTTTTCCGGATATTAAACTACTTAGGATTAAATGGAACGGATTCATTCCTTGATGCCTAATACATTCTTTATCACTACACTTCAGAGTGGGTAATCAACTGTTTTAAGGCAGGATCAGTAAAATGGATGCTATTAAGGAACCCACCGGGAGAAAATGGTATTCAAATTCCCAAATGATGAATTAATATGAAGCGAGTTTAGGAAAACAGATGATGTCTAGGTAATCAGGATCAATAATTAGGGTGTAATTTTTAAGCTGCATGAGGTAAGTTTAGATATTTCTCTTCAAATTAAATGCATCTACCCAACCAAAAGAAACCAGACAGTTAATTAAACCATCTTATAATTTAAAATGGTAGCTTTTCTTACTTTTGGTTTTTTTTATGAAAGAAGTAATGCACAAATAAAAATGTGCGCATAGCTTGTGATAAAAACAAACAGATTCAGAGATTACTCTCAAACAGATGCTGAAGAATAAAGCTACCAAACTACTTCATTCTCATTTTCCTTCCTTCTGCCTACAACTTATGGTTTGGAGGTTGTTGGATGCTGTGTTATGAAACACTTTGGCATCTAAAATTTTAAAAACATAAAGATTAAAGAAAAAGACAAAAGAATAAAAAGGACAATAAAGAATAAAAAATGAGGAAAACTCAGCAATAAAGATAGATAATCTTTTCAACAGAACATAAACTACTACAACGAAGTCAATGTGTACCCTGTTTTGGTCCTTAGAAACACCTTTATATAAAATATAGTCAGCGTTAAAGGACAATCTGCATATAATCAGCTCTTTGCTGCCTTGCGACATCTTCTGTGTTTCAACTTCTCATGCCGATCTAAAGGCAGAAAAACAATTCTGTTTCTTTTACTACCACCAGCGCTCCCTCAAAAAGATAGTTACATAATAGATGCCATTTTATAACTGCTGCATTTGTAATAAGGCAGCGACAAATCCATTTCTAACATATCACGGTAATCCATTATATTTTCTATGAAATAGAAAACAAGGTTTATTACTCAAGAGTTAAAATATTTTCATGTATTGATACTTTCAATTTATGTTTACCTTTAATTTACATGTTTATACATTTTCAGTGATTAAGATTATATTATTAGATAAATATATTGCAAATGTAATGAAATGCCTAAAAACATTTTTTTTTTTAGATGGATTCTTGCTCTGTCAGCCAGGCTGGAGTGCAGTGGCACGATCTTGGCTCACTGCAACCTCCGCCTCTTGGGTTCAAGCAATTCTCCTTCCTCAGCCTCCTGAGTAGCTGGGATTACAGGCGTGCACCACAGCACCTGGCTTAATTTTTGTATTTTTAGTAGAGACGGGGTTTCAACATCTTGGCCAGGCTGGTCTCGAACTCCTGACCTCGTGATCTGCCCACCTCGGCCTCCCAAAGTGCTGGGATTCCAGGTGTGAGCCACTGTGCCCAGCCCTAAAAACCTTTATAAAGTAAGAATAATCAAAATGGGGCTATTTTTCATGCTCTGAACTTCTGGTAGCCTCTTAATAATGATACTAACATTAAAAAATGTTTCAAAGAACAAAGTAACTGGCTGATAGTAAAACTACATATTTTCTAGAAGAAATATTCAAAATATGTCAGTGTTGACAGAAATAACTGCAGTTTATAAAATAAGTTTTTAAATTGTAAAATGCAAAAAGTAAAAACATCACTATGGTATTTTGTATTTTTGTTTTGTGTTTTTTAGACAGGGTCTCACTCTGTCACCCAAGTTGGAGTGCAGTGGCATGATCTCAGCTCACTGCAGCCTCTTCTTCCTGGGCTCAAGCACTCTTCCCACCTCAGCCTCCTGAGGCGCATACCACCACGGCTGGCTAATTTTTTGTATTTTTGGTATAGACGGGGTTTCACCATGTTACCCAGGCTGGTCTCCAACTTGTGAGCTCAAGTGATCTGCCTGCCTTGGCCTCCCAAAGTGCTGAGATTACAGGCATGAACTACCACACTTGGCCCACTACAGTATTTTGAAACAAATTACCGTCATTATTTTGCCTTTAAGGAAATACTCAGATAAATGAATGCTGACACAAGAAAACTGTTAACTTTTGGAAACTGTATTTTTTAGAAAGCATTATAAAATGCTAAAATAAAAAGAATAGCATTTTAAAATTAGAGATACTACACTCATAGGTGGGAATTGAACAATGAGAACACATGGACACAGGAAGGGGAACATCACACACTGGGGCCTGTTGTGGGGTGGGGGGAAGGGGGAAGGATAGCATTAGGAGATATACCTAATGTTAAATGACGAGTTAATGGGTGCAGCACACCAACATGGCACATGTATACATATGTAACAAACCTGCACGTTGTGTACATGTACCTTAAAACTTAAAGTATAAAAAGAAAAAAAAAACAAAAAACAAATTAGAGATACTAATCATTCTCATTTTATCTTTAAGGAAAAGGAAGAAAGAAAATAAAAACCTTTCTTCTTTATGTTCTGCTAATGGAATCTGGGCTTTACATGGCATCAAGCATACAGTATGAGGTAAATGGCAAAGGATACAGAAAAGTTTATGTAATAATTAGGCCCAAAACTCTCACTTCTAGGGAATCATTAGGGTTAGAGACTGGTAATGTGATAAGAAGAGTCTCTACGAGATAGATGAATCTGAAACAGCAGGAGAGAGGCTGAACTTCAGACTGTTTACACTAGACTAATACCAGACTTTTCCAGATAGATCTGGTGTGAAATGAACTGTTGAGAAATAAAGCAATGAGCCAGTGGGAAGATTCCACAATTTATAGATTGGGTCTACACTTGGCACAAAATATATCTTATGGTTGGGATGAGTTCCTTCTTTTTCCTTGAATGTCAATTTAAGTATAATAACAATATTTTTTGGGCTATTTTTCTCTTTACTCAAAATGAAAATGTTTTCTTGGATCCCAAGGGGGAAAACAGATATTCTTAGAATTTAAGATTACTTATTTCAGTTAAGTGGAATGCCAATGTGAAAAATGGCAAAACTGTCTTGTAATGTGTGACGTGCAAAATAGAAAATAAAACAGGTTGATGTGATGGAGTCTGATGAGAAGCTTCTTTAGACTGGCTTGTTGTGAAGAACATGTAGAAGCAGAGATCTTCAAGGTGAGACCAGAAACGATCGAATGAACCTGCCAGTGAAGACCTGGGAGTGGCTCTTACAAGTGTCCTAAGTTAGGCATGAGTCTGCAAAGTGTGAAAACAGAAGCTTGGCTGGTGTAGCTGACAGTCAGTGAGGGGACTCCAGTGCCAGGGCCTCTGGAGAGCTGATGCAGGGGCAGATTACACAGGGACACTAGGCCAGATCAAGCGTTTCAATTTATTCTAAGTGCAGTGGAAAAGCATTCCAGGCTTTTAAACAGGGGATGATAAAGTCTGATTCACATTTCTAAAGTTCACTCTGGATACTGTGGGAAGAATAGGTTACATAAAAGGAGGAGTGTAGGCAAGCAAGCAAATGATTGTATAGGCAAAAGGCAGATCGTTGGTGGCCTGGTCTGGGTGCTGATAGTAGAGATGGACTGACGTGGAGGAACTGGAGCGATGTTCGGGAGGTAAGAGTTGTCAGGAAGAATTGGATTTGGGGATAAGGGAAGACAGGATCAAAGATGACTTCTAGTTTGCTAGCTCTAGCAGCTGGGTAAGTACTGATAGCATTTAAGACGGGGAAGAGTGAAGTAGGAGCAGGTGTGGTAAAGACAAGCATGCGTTCTCTTTTCAGAGTTTGCTATAATAACTATCACCCACAATTACAAGGAAAAAGCCAAATTCATGCATTTTAATTTTCCTTTTTTAGTTATTTATAAAGATCAATTTGTTCAATTTGAGGAACATTTTTTCTGCAATGGCTTTTCTGAAATCATTAAAAAGTATAACAATAACATACATATGGTAAAAAATTGAAAAGAAACAAAAGATTATGTAACAGAAATGAATCTGCCACATACTCCAGATCCCACTGTCATTTCTCAGAGTAAACATGAATGGAAGTATACCATACATGTTGTTGTATACTGTGTTTGCTGAAAACAGAAAGTATCCTGGTGCTCTGCCTAATTACAGCTGCACAGTATTCTGTGGATGTACAGTAGGTTACTTATTCAACATTTTTCTTTTGCTTCAAGTTTTGCTACGATAAACAATGTTGCACATGCATGGATAGGTCTCCAGGATAAAATCCTACAAGTCTAATTCCAAGTCATAAAGTATGTATTTAAAATTTAATAAACATTACCCAATTGCCTTCCAAAGAGTATGTCCTAATACACATTCCCTCTTAATGGGCATGAGAATGGTCTAGTTGCTCACTAACTGGGCATTTATCAAACTTTTAAAACTTGGTCAATCTTTTAGGTTAAAAGTAACACCTTAATGCTGCTTTAACTTGCATTTATTTAATCATAAGCTTCCAGTGTTGAATGGCAAATTGAATTTTTTTTGTTTTGTTTTGTTTTTTAAATGGAGTATTGCTCTGTCGCCAGGCTGGAGTGCAGTGGCCCAGTTTCGGCTCACTGCAATCTCCCCCTCCCAGGTTCAAGCAATTCCCCTGCCTCAGCCTCCTGAGTAGCTGAGACTACAGGCATGCACCACCACGCCTGGCTAATTTTTTGTATTTTAGTGGAAACAGGGTTTCACCATGTTGGCCAGGATGGTCTCGATCTCCTGACATCATGATCTGCCTGCCTCGGCCTCCCAAAGGCGTGAGCCACTGCGCTCGGCAGCAAATGGAATTCTTTTTCTGAGAAGTATACCTGTTTATGAATGTCTCATTTACATATTGAGTGTTACTCCCTCTTTCACTTCTATTATGCTTTATAATTAAAAAAATTTACACAAGTAATGCATACTCATTGTAATGAGTGAAATAATGTAAAGATGATAGAGAAAAATCTAACACTGTATCCCTACCCCATTGCAATTCCTCCTGCGCCTCCAACCTGCCAATCCTAGTTCACCAATGTTATCCATCCACATGCACACACATATATGGATATCTAGAAAGGGAGTTCGTTGTTTTTCTAATAAATAGGATTACATTGTATACATTACTTAGCAACATGCCTGTTTCAATTAGTAGTAGCTCATCACAGACACTTTTCTAGGATAATTTTTAACAGCTGCATAGTTACATTCCATAAGTGAAGAATCACATTTCATTAAACCAATCCTCTATTGACAAACAGGTAGACATCTCCTAATTTTTAAAAATTCTACAATCATGCCACATTAGCCACCAGTGGTCATCCTAATGGTTTTAGAAAGAGCTTTTTATACATTAAGAAAACTTGCCTTTTATCCGTCCTATGTTTTGTAATTTTTTTTCTTGATTTGTTGTCTTTTGATTTTAGTCATGTTTTGGGTTATACTAATTTTCATTTGATAAAAATTTTCAATTTTTCCCCATATGTGTTCTGGGTTCTGTACCCTATTTAGAAAGCTTTCTCCTCTCACCTAAGATTATGTTTAAAAGACCCTGAAAATCTGTACAATAACTTATTTTTTCCTAATTAGGTTCAGGAGAGAAAGTTATAGTAGTATATACAGTATGTAAAGTTTACTGTTTTAAGCTATAAATATTTTTGTTTTTCACATCAGATAACACATTGTATTAGGCTCACCTCTACAATATCTTAGCTAATTATTGCTATCAAATATTAAACCACCGAAGATCCTCAAATAAGGTCTTTTCAATGTCCTTTACTTATAACATCGATAAAAAAAAAAACACAAAAAACTTGATTCCAGGCTGGGGCCACTGCCTGTACTGAGTTTGCATGTTGTCTCATGTCTGCATGGGTTTTGAGTACACCAGCTTTTCTCCCACATCTCAAAGCTGTGCATGTTAGGTGAATTGGCATGTCTACATGGTCCTAGTCTGAATGAATGAATGAATATGTATGTATGAATGCACCCCGCGCTGGGATGGCGTACTGGCCAGAGCTGGTTCACACCTGGCACCCTGAGCTGCCAAGGTAGGCTCTGGCAACCAGCAACCTTGAACTGGAATAACTGGGTAAATAATTATCTGTTTTTTTTTTAATTAATCTTTCTTAAATGTTAAGTATAGCTCATATGTACTTCAATGTTTAATATTAGAAATGCTTTGATCTTTAGAAGTTTGGTGATGTTTTTGTGACCATGAATGTGCTGCAGAAACTTAACCCTTGTTTATAACAATTAGCCAAGGGTAAAACTGGTTTGGTTATATGTCATTTTGCTTAAAGCTGCAGTTTCAAAGAACCTGCTGATGACATTAAGTGAGGACTTACTGTATTCTGAAGTTAATTTTCACTTTGGCATTTCTTTCTCTTTTCCCATCTTACTGCAAAATTTCACTGATTTATTTTTTCTTTATAGAGATTTAGTGTTTTCATCAATATTTCTCCATAAAGAGAAGGGAAAATCATTGCATTTAAACAACAGAGAACATTTTATCCAGAGGAGTTTTGACAATAGAGAGACTAAAGGTAAATTAGGGAATGGGTCAGATAATCATTAAGCAGCATTTATGCACTTACAGAATTTTCAGGTGTTATCTTGGGCATGTCCCTTCAAGTCTTTGACAGCAATTTCCTGATCTATAAAACAAAGTACCACTTACCTACCCCACCTTATAGAGTTTTAGTGGGATCAAATGGAATAATACACATGAAAATGCTTTGAAACTACAGGGATTAGTCCAGCAAAACATTTTTATCTTTTTGGATTAAGCAACTGACATTTAGCTAACCAAAAGAGATCTGTTTTTGTTTTTTTTTCCCTTCAATTTTAGACATCTACTCAAAAAAAAAAAAATTCACCAAATGTTCACTTGGAGATAGAATTGTAACACAAGTAGTAATGAAACAATGTAAGGTATTCCCAAAATTTAAAAGTGTAACAAATTGCTACTGTTAACAGCCAACTTTCTTAAAGCAATGTAATTGCTACACAACTACCAAATATGTAGTATTTTAAGAAAGCTCTTACATGTCATACGTCTTCTAGAAAAAGGTAATAAAAGTATTTCTAATAGTAAGAGACAGCCACAGACATCAATGACACATTATACAACTTAGTAAGAAAAGCTAGGAAAATCTTGTCTGGTGATTTTTTTTTTTTTCCTCAAAGGAATATCTTGCAGGTGGCTAAGTAATCAACTATGAGTTCTTACAGAATCATCATTTAAAAAATCCATACACTTTTGAATATCCACATGCACAGGAAATTAATAAAAGTTGTTCTCTTTATTCCATCATAAGAGGACTTTTACCACAATCTTCATTTTAGAATGATTTTCAAAAGACTACCATAGAAATCTTTCTTCTGCCAAAACTTGTTCATTACGACAACTACTTTACTATGGACAATATATAAGGTTTGTAAAGGACATCATGATATTTGGAGTTGCTGATCCAATCACCAGTGAACCCACTGGTAAAATGAAATAGAAAATTTAAAGCTTAATTCCAAGAGGTAAAAACTTGATAACACAGGAATTTATTTTACTTGGTGAGTTTAAAGATACATTGATTAAATTTTAATTTAATTAAACATTACTTTCACGTAGTATCCTTTTATATGTAAAATGGTTTAAGTTTCCTTCTCTTTAGAATGACTTGTAAACAAATAAGGCAATGCATATAACCAATGTTAAACTTCTAGCCCTTCATACTTATTGGTAATCCACATTAAAAAAATAAACAGGCACCTTCTTTAAATGAGGACACTACAAGTAAGAGTTGTTTATGTAATTCAATTAATCACCACAACAACCTCGTAGATGGTAGGATATTACTGTTTAGCAAAGGAAACTGGGTCTCTACAAGGTTAAGTGACTTGCTCCAGTTATTAAGTGGCAAGGGTGGGTGGGTTTCCACACCAGGTCTGACTAGTTTAACAATGTGTGCTCTGCTTTTTTCAGATACTACAGGATGTCATTTTTCATATAAATACTTCTATATAGGTTAGCAGTTAAATTAGCCAATTTCCTGAGCCAAGGAGAGCAAAGGAAATTTATTAGCACTGAAAATTGAGATATCACCAATCTATATTTATTTGAAACAACACGGCATTAAAAAAACCCAATATGTACAAAACTGACTCATAATATACTTTTTTCTTTAAAAGTCCCCAGTGAAAACATGTTATAAAAAGACAATAAAAGAAAAACAATGCTGACATGTTGTAACAAAGAAAAAGAAGTCCAATTTTTTAATACCCCCGAAGCAAATTCTAAATGTATTATCAGCAGGTCAACAACAGTTACAAGCCCAGTGCTTTAGCATTATCTGAAAAAATTTCTGAGCATAAAATAAATTTTTCTATTTTTTTAGGCTCCAATCTTTAATGACAATATTCTCTCTTTCAATATGTAATTTTTATTAGATAATAAAATGTTTCAAAATATTAAAAAGCATAAAAAAGTAACCACAAATTTTACTTCCAATTCCTGCCCCATCCACACTTTTCCTATTCCCTCTCCACAGATAACCACTGTTACTTGTTTCTTCAATCGCATTTTAAAGATAATTTTTGCATATACTGACAAATATGAATAGATATCTTCCTCATGTTACCTAATACTAGCAAACTAAACACATATTCTTGTTTTGTGTCTAGAATATTCAGAGACCCATTTTCTTTTCTTTTTTTTTTTTTTTTCGAGACAGAGTCTCATTTCTGTCACCCAGGCTGGATTGCAGTGGCACAATCTTGGCTCACTGCAACCTCTGCCTCCTGGGTTCAAGCAATTCTCATGCCGTAGCCTCCCCAATACAAAAAAATACAGGTAATTTTTGTATTTTTAGTAGAGACAGGGTTTCACCATGTTGGCCAGGCTGGTCTCAAACTCCTGACCTCAAGTAATCTACCCACCTTGGCCTCCCAAAGTGTTGGGATTATAGGTGTGAGCCACTGCGCCCGGCCTCAGAGACCTATTTTCCAAAACTTTATTTTTAATGAAAAATGTCAAATATATGAAAAAGTAACAGCAAGAGTGAGATAAACACTTAAATTTACTCATATACCCACCACTTAGATTTAACAAATATTAGTAATTATTTTGTTGTAGTGCCTTCACCTATCTATATAAAGCATAATATTCTTTCTCCATATTAATATACTTTTGGGAAATTATTTTGAAGAAGTCACAGATATCAATTCACTAAATATTTTACTATGCATCTCCAAAGAGTAGGGAAATCCTCCTTTATGACCACAATACCATATGGCAACAAAGAACATTACAAAGAACAATAATTTCCTCAAATGACCTAGTATGTTGTCCATATTCAAACTTCCCCAACTGACTTCAAAATGTGAAGAGCCATATTTTCCAGAGTTCATTTTTGCTACAGTACTGTTAGCATAAGATAAATATTATATTTTGGCTAATATAAAACGTATTACGGATAATACTTTTTAGCTAATAAACACCCTGAAGTGTTTTTTATTTTGGTTGTTGTTATTATAGTATCTTTCATCTTTTTTTTTTTAAGGATTTTTTTTTTTTTTTTTTGAGACAGGATCTTGTCCTGTTGCTCAGGCTGGACTGCAGTGGTGTGGTCATGGCTTACTGTAGCCTTGACCTCTTGGGCTCAAGCAATCCTCCTACCTCAGCCTCCCAAGTAGCTGGGACTACAGGCATATGCCACCATGGCTGGCTAATTTTTTAAGTTTTTATAGAGACAAGGTCTTGCTATGTTGCCCAGGCTGGTCTCAAACTCCTGAGCTCAAGAGATCCTCCTGCCAAAGCCTCCCAAAGTGCTGGGATTACAGGCATGAGCCACTATGCCCGGTCCACCTTTCATCTTTACGAAACAATGACAACACAAAATGATCTTGATTTCATTTTCACATTAGCACAGAGAAACTTCTTCACCATGACTAGTTTTCTACAGTTTGAAAAATGCACAAAATTGCCTTTAAAATGTTATTTATATAATCACAGCTGAAATCCTGGGCAGTGTTTGGGAGTGAGGAGGAGAAAAATCCAGCTTCTCTGGTGGCAGAATCTCTCTTCTCCTTGCCCCATAATCTCTCTCCTTCCTGACCTTGCCACTGGGATTCCATTTGGTACTCCCATTTTGTTATTCAAAAGGGAAGGGAAATTTGTTGTACTGATGGTTGCACAACTCTGTGAATATACTCAAAACTACTGAATTGAACCTTTTAAGTGGATGAATTGTATGGTATGTGAATTATATCTCAAAGTGGTTTAAAAAGGGGGGAAGGGAAGAAATAAGAAACAGGAAAAGAATATTTTAGAATGAATATTTAGAATATTCATTCTAAAATATTTTGTGAACAAAATTAGTTCCCTATAGTGGAATTTAAAAATTTTCTGTTTTTGTATTTACTGAAATAAGTCTAATAATTAAACTAAATAAACTAAAGCTCCTACTCATTCTACTATTTTGGTTATATAACCATATTACAAGTGATATTTTTCTTAATGTAAGCATAGCCTATGCAGTTTATAAAACAATCAGGAATAATTTTTTTGCTTATAAAACAAATCAAATAATTCTTTTAGCAGAAACCAAACACCACCAAATCT
This sequence comes from Homo sapiens, assembly GCF_000001405.40. Taxonomy (NCBI): domain Eukaryota; kingdom Metazoa; phylum Chordata; class Mammalia; order Primates; family Hominidae; genus Homo; species Homo sapiens. The sequence goes on from NC_000006.12 coordinate 119,223,386, forward strand.
CATAAGTTTAAAGTTATTTGACTTAAAAAAAAGTAACCTTACATTTCATAGGTGGCACTGAAAACTGGCACAACTATTCTGCAGGGATGTTTGGAAAAATGTATCAAATGTATTAATATTCATACTTACTAACTGAATTCATTTCTAGAAATTTGCCCTAAAAATTATAATTTTATCCCCAATAAAACTTATATTCCCAAGTAAAAATGGTTTATACATTATAGTACTAATTATACTATTATAAAACTGAAAAGAGTTTGGATATCTAAAAACGGGAGACAGGTTAAAAATTATGGCCTATTTAGGAGATCTGATATTATGCAGCTACTAAAGGTCAGAGAATGCTTAATGACAGAAAATTATTGAGGATATTTTAAAAATGGAGGGACTTCTGGCCTCTAGTAATGGTGAAGAAAATTGGTTACCAAATACTCCAGTAATAGCAATTATAAAATCTGGGCATTATATATATATATTATAAAACTCAACTATTTAAAGGCATTAGAAAGTGACCAAAAAGCAGGCACAAACTAACAGAGCATTAACCATTGAAAGACACCAACAGCAATTAGTAAGAATTTGAGTTAAAGGCTTTTTAAAAAAATCTGATTTTAAAAAATTGCAGTTATATTTTAAGATGGCACAGGACAGAGTTAAAGGCTGGCAGGGTAGCTGAAAGATCAGGGTGGAATCCTGGAAACAAGTAAGCCATAGAAGAGGTGGGACCAAAACACTGGGTATAATCTCTGCTGAAATCCCTGGATGACCACTAAATAAGACATGCTATAAGGGAGACACTGGGGATCACCAAAATAGCTGAGAGAAACCAGAGGGATAGCTACCTTTGAAAGAAAGACTGCACTAGACAAGATTTCATGTTTGCTACTTTTATAGACTGAGTACTCCTGAATCCATGCTCTACTCAGGATACAGGAAGCGAAATCCTTACTGAAGTGTCAGAAGACAGAGCTTAGCAATGTCTACAAAATTTGCCAAAATCCTTGACTGAATGCTAAATTGCACAGGTACGGAGAAGATCCCCAGGGTGCCAGGTTAAAAACCAACAGCTGGAAATGGAAAGAACTGAGCAGAAATACCAGCTGTCACACTTGGCAGGGGACACAGTTTATGGTTTGAATCCAAGAGAGTTAATGGCTAGGTAAACAATAACAAAATAATTCTCAGAAGAACGTAATATATCAAAAGCTACTTAACATATCTAAAATATCCAGTTTTTAACACAAAGTTACCAGACATATAAAGAAATAGGAAAACGTGACCCATGCTCAGGAAGAACAACAATGAACAGAAATGGACTCTGAGTGGGTCTAGATGCTGGATTTAGCAATGACTTCAAAGCAACTATTTAAATACATTCAAAGAATTCAAAGAAAATGTGCTAAATAAATGGGCAGAAGAAACAGTAAACTTGAAGATATCACTAAAAATAATTGTATCTGGGGCCGGGTGCAGTGGCTCATGCCTGTAATCCCAGCACTCTGGGAGGCCGAGGTGGACAGATCACAAGGTCAGGAGTTCAAGACCAGCCTGCTCAACATGGTGAAATCCCGTCTCTACTAAAAATACAAAAATTAGCCGGGCATGGTGGTGCATGCCTGTAATCCTAGCTACTCAGGAGGCTGAGGCAGGAGAACTGCTTGAACCCGGGAGGCAGAGGTTGCAGGGAGGCAGAGGTTGCAGTGAGCCAAGATTGCGCCACTACACTCCAGCCTGGGCAACAGAGCGAGACTCTGTCTCAATAAAAAAAAAATTGTATCTGAAGAATATTCAGAAAAGATTAAATATAAATGAACAGAGCTTTGGAGACTTGTGAAATAACATTTAGGGGTCAAAGAAAAGTATAACTGGAGCCAGGTGCGGTGGCTCACACCTGTAGTCTCAGCTACTTGGGAGGTTGAGGTGGGAGGATCACTTGATCTTGGGAGTTTGAGGCTGAAATGAAGTGCCATTGAACTCTAGCCTGAGTGACAGAGTGAAACCTTGTCTCTTAGAGAGAGAGACAGAGAGAGAAAGAGAAGGAGGAGGAGAAGGAAGAGGAGGAGGAGAAAGGGTAGAAAAAATATCTGAAGAGGTACTGGCTAAAAACTCCAGATTTTGTGAAAGCCATGAATTTACCAATATTAAAAAACCAGCAAACACAAGCAGGATAACTATAACAAGAACCACCCTAGCTATGGACATCAAACTCAAACTTCTGATAGCCAAAGATAATGAGAAAATCTTGAAAGTACCCAGAAAATAAATAACACATTACATACATGGAAACAATGACAAGATTAATGGCTGACTTCTCAGAAACAATGAACAGCCATAAGACGCAAGAATGGCATCTTCAAAATTTGATAAAAAATCTGAAAACCAATAACCCTTCTTTATGTATTTTTTAAACAACAATATATCTGATGAAACTTTTCTTCAAAAGTGAAAGGGAAGTATTTTTGGATTGGCAAAAAATGAGATAATTTGTCACCAGCAAACCTGCTGTAAAAGAAATACTAGAAGAACATATTTAGGTTGCAGGGAATAGCTACAGAGGAAAAAACTAAAGGCATTGAAAATGGCAAATTATGTAGGTAGATATAAAGTACATCTGTCTGCCTATCCATGCATCTATCTGAATTTTTTCGCAAAAGGTAAGATGGTTAAAAAGATCTCTACCATTTTAAAGTTCCTATAATTTACTTGAAATACAATACTAACTCTAAGTAAATTGTAATCCCTAGAGCAGCCATGAGAAAAGAAACTAATATGAAGACAGACAACTAACATGTCTAAAGAGGACTCAAAATGAATACTAAAAATATTTGATTGCCATAACACACATACACAAAGCACAGGAAAGGAGTGAAAGGAACAGCAGGCAGCATGAGCTTCATCCATGCATCAGTGCCCCTTGCCTTTCACGTTTACACAAGGGTGACGCACAGCAGCCTGGGTGGACGCTGCACATGACACTGGCTTGTGTTACAGCCGAGGGAACCCTAATCTTTAAAAGGTGCTGCTAGGAAACATGCCCAATCTTTGTTCCAGAAGGAAACATCATTATTGTGGACAGCAAACAAACTAAAAACAAATGAAATCAAACAAACAAAAAACTGCCCATTGTCCTAAAAGATGATATTTTAGACACATCTTCCCAGGCTGTTCAATAAACATCCTTGAAAAAGACAGTAGGGAATAAAAATTGATATGATCAATAATTCCATTCATAGGCATCTACCAAGAAGAATATATAAAATGTTCATATAAAGACCTGGATATGAACTTTTTATTTTTTAATTTGAGACAGAGTCCCACTCTGTTGCCCAGGCTGGAGTGCAGTGGCGCAATCTTGGCTCACTGCAGCCTCTGCCTCCTGGGTTCAAGCGATTCTTGTGCCCCAGCTTCCTGAGTAGCTGGGATTACAGGTGTGAGCCACCAGGCCTGGCTAATTTATATATTTTTTAGTAGAGACAGAGTTTTGCCATGTTGCCCAGCTGGTCTTGAACTCCTGGCCTCAAGCAATCCTCCTGCCTTGGCCTCCCAGAGTGCTGGGATTAGAGGCGTGAGCCACCATGCCCGGCCTGAACGTGAATTTTCATAAGCAGTTTTACTTATGATCACTGAAAATTAGAGATAACACAAACATCCATAAACAGGAGAATAAACTATAGTATATTCATACAATGAAATACTACTCAGCAATATAAAGGATTGAACTAGTATACACAGAATACTTACTAATGAACCGCAAACACCATGCTGTACCAAAAAAAACTATACAGCAGAGTACATATTGCACATTTGCTTGTATAAAATTTAGAAGGGACAAAACTAATGTATACTGACAGCAACATATCAGTGGTTGCCTGGGGTCAGATGATGGCAAATGAATGGCTGCAAAGGGTCACTAGGAAAGTTTTGTGAGTAACGAAAAGTTGTATATCTTGATTGTGGCAGTGTCTGCACAGACGTATACATTTGTCAAAATACACTGAAATTTATACTTAAAATGGGTGTATTCTTCAGGTAAATTATGCCTCCAAAAAGTGGATACAAAGCAAAAACGAATGGAACGGAAGTATACAATTTCATTGTTTTGTTTGTTTTTGAGACATGGTCTCAGTCTATTGCCCAAGCTAAGTGCAGTGGTGTAATAATGGCTCATTGCAGCCTTGACCTCAAACAATTCTCCTGCCTCAGCCTCTCCAGTAGCTGAGACCACAGGTGCACACCACCATGAGCAGCTATTTTTAAATGTTTTATAGAGATGAGGTGTCACTACATAGCCCAGGATAGTCTTGAACTCCTAGACTCAAGCTATCTTCCTGCCTTGGCCTCCTGAAGTGCTGTGATTACAGGCATGTGTCATTGCACTTGGCCTGTTTTTTAAAAATGAGAATTGAGTGATGCATATGTTAACATCGGATTGAAATTTCGAGTGATTATTTTTTCCCATGAAAATTTTTCTATAATCAGAAAAAAGAAACTGTTTTATAAAGTGAATTTAACAAAAAGTTTTACTCACTAAAATTTTAAGAGAATGCACTATATATAGAGAAATACATCTGCAATAATATTTCATTGCTCTGTTCATTGAAATGCTTAGGAAACCAAAACTTTTTAAAAAATATGAAAGTATTTACTGGAGAGAAAAAGAGACAAGAAACAAAACATTTTATATCCTAGTTCTTAGTTTAACATATTCAACTAAAAGTTAAACAATGTTGAAATTTATTAGACTTGTGAAAGGGATATGGTTCAGAGAGACCCCTGTAATACAGTTTTGTAGTAATTACTTATTGATTGTTCACCAGCATATTTATTCCTCAATAACTTAACTGAAGAAAGTTTTACCTTTAGTTTAAGAGCAAAGAATGTGATTAACTTCACTCCAACCCTAGTGGTATTTCATGTGTTTATAATGAATCCGAAGCTTTGGGTAACACAAATGATCATAATGCAAATATCATGACATTGTGGTATTATTGACTTAGGGTTTTCTTTAATAATATATAGTGATAATTTTCAAAAATCTTAATAATTCTTTCACCAAATTTTTCACTGAGAAACTCAACCATCTAGACTTGCCATTCAAATATACATAATGGAATACGTTATTAGAACACAAAAGACCCTTGTAATTCAGAAAAAGAATTCTATGACTATACATCCTAAATTTTTATCACAAAATAGCTCAGACTCTTTTAGAAAACTATTTTTTTTAAAGAAAAACCCCTAATTTCTTAGCCACAATGATATGAAATTCAGAATAAATCTGAAGAACTTAAAAAAACAAATTTGGAAGGAAATGTTAGAATTTTTCTAAATAAAGATACAAATTATGTACCTATCCATAAATGAAAATAAATAGTTATAATTATAGTATGTCAATCTTATACTTTTTAAAAAATGACAAAATATAGGCATAAAAAGTGTGGGCCCTTATATAGCGGCCCATTGCAAAACTTCATATGTGTAACTCTGTGTGACCCTCCCTTGTTCTCACTACTTGGCCTCCCAGCGTTCAATTCTCTCATTGAGGGCAAACAGAAGCCTGCTTTTTTATTTTTATTAAAAAGAAGCATAAACACAGCAATAATGCTAATTTTCTGCAGTGGGTACTTTTTAAGATTTCATATAACACACCACAGAGTATTCTCATTAGTAACTAGTATACACGTGTAATAAATGACTTACCTCAAATTATTTTCAAATATATTTGAGGCAAGAACTTTATTACTAGGGTAATGATATTAAGATGACTATTTTGAAGGACATATAACAACAATTATCAGAATCAGTGACTATCAAACTGTGTTCTGAGACAAAAAAAAAAAAAACAAAAAATGCAGATCAGAAATACTAATAATTGTTTTGGATAAAAGAGGTTCCATGGTGAAAAAAGTTTGGGAAGCAGTGTTATAATAAAGCTCCATCCCAGAGATGAGCAATGTACATTGCACATTAGCCAGTTAATAGTTCTGAGAAGTTTACAGTAATGAAACCTTTTAAATCCAGTGTTGACAAACTTATTTATCTATAGAGCTGTTTTCTTTTCATAGATCATCAATTAATATTTCATGGACATAATATTCTGGGTAATGCAATTTGGGAAATATTACTTATCTATAAATTGTTATGTTAGCTTAAATATGTAGGTATATATTTCACAAATGCAGTTGAGCTTCAAGCATTTTTGACTGAAAATCAATGGCATCCACTTATGTCCTCTGAGTGTAAATACTTTAACAATACTAGCACAGAACATTTCATTTTTCATGAACCTTTCTCTTGGTTTCCTACAGTGCTAATCCCTCTGTCATGTTTTCAACTCAGGCAATCCCCTCTTCTCTGTTTTAAAAATAAAGAAAACAAACAGATAAAGATATGTACATATATCTGCCCGTTCTGACTTCAGTTTTTTGGTAACTGGACTCATTCTAAGCTGTAGCAATTGTGAACCTGAACCCATTTTACACGACATTCTCTTCTTCAAATTAAAGGAAGATTCTTTTTTTAAAGTTATTTTTGACTATCTGAAACAAGTGAACAGAACTAAAAAATACAAACTTGCTAGCTGTGTCAAATACCTGCTCTTTCTCACAAGTCAGGCCTTTGTTTTGGTAGCAGTTTCTAGTCAAATGATCTGATGACAGATGATCTCAAATGAAATCTTTACTGCTTGATGGTGAAACCAATTCCAGGAGACCAACCAGAGTTTAATACTATACCCAACATTTCAAGGGCCTATCCAGCTAGGAACCTGCATTGCAGGCTTGTGTTTTTGGGAAAAGGTAAACAAATATCAAAGAGGTAAAACATGACAATCTAAAACGATCGCTCCTGATAGCTGGCATGATTTGGTCATAATGCTTTATGGCTCTTGAGACAGGGATGAGCAGGAACCTGAATTAATTAAACACAAACACGACCATGTCCTCCTCAGGACCTTGAGTGCTTCCCACTGATGCCAAGACAAACCTGAGACCCCACCACAGAGTCTGTCAGTGTTCGCTCTCCAGCCTGCTGCTCTCTGCCCCAGGGGGCTTTGCCATCCTTCAGCCTCTTGGCCTTGTCCTGTTCCTTTTCAATACAGAGTTTTGACACTCCACATGCTCTGCTGCCTGGACCATCCACTCTCTTCTCTTCCCCTAGCTCTCATCTACACATCCCCTTGATCCCAGCTCAAAAATGACTTCTTCACATCCTGCAATTCGAAATGTTTTTGTGATTAACTAATGTTTGTCTCTTCCCTAGACTATAAACTCTGTGAGAGTCACCAAGAAAACGTTTACCACTTATCTCCTGCACCTGGTCCAGGATCTAGGAGAAGGGTGTTCACCTGATATTTCCTGAATATGAACATTTTTTTGTTTTAGGGGGAAAAAACCCCAAGTGAACATATTACTTTTTAATTCTCCCAAGAGCTTTCATTTTCTTGCCTTCAACACAGTTATGTATTAATGGAACTTTGTGGAGTCCCTCAACTCCATAGTATAGCTTATACTGGCAATGGGAAACCAAGTGTTATGAGAAGGAGGTGGTGATTACTTTTCCAAAGTGGGGAAGGGACAAGGATGAGAGAAAGAGATGATGACATCTTTCACAGATGAGATGACACAACTGAACCTTTAAAAATAGCAGGGTTTTGTTGGAGGTAAAGTCCTTCAAAGGGGCTACATGTGGATGAACATAGGGTTACAGAGTGCAGTGCCTACTTAAAGACAAGCCCTGAAGCTTTTGGAAAACTATTAAAGATTCTTGATTAAAGGGAAAAAGTATGAAAAGCAGAGTGCTAATATGTTTTGAGACAATGAATCTTGAATTATAATCACCATAATCCCCACGTCTCAAGGGTGGGTCCAGGCGGAGGTCACTGGATCATGGGGCAGTTTCCCCCATGCTGTTCTTGTGATAGTGAGTCTCATGAGATCTGATGGTTTTATAAGCATCTGGCATTTCCTCTGCTGCCACTCACTCCGTCCTGCCGCCCTGTGAAGAAGGTGCCTGCTTCTCCTTTGCCTTCCACCATGATTTTAAGTTTCCTGAGGCCTCCCCAGCAATGCGGAACTGTGAGTCAATTAAATCTCTTTCCTTTATAAATTCCCCAGTCTTGGGTTTTTCTTCATAGCGGTGTGAGAACAGACTAATACAATTACTGAGGAGCTTTCATCTAGAGAAGCCTCCTCAAGGCTGGAGGCTTGAGGAGTCAGGACAAGGTGGAGGGAAGAGCAAAGGTCTCCTCATTCCCTGAGGGCCTGGCCAAGGCACTGAAGGAAGGATGAAGCCCCTGGACTGGGGGGAAATGCTTTCACTCTTACCACTGAGGCTCTCACTGAATATAGTTTCACGTTTGATCACATGATCACAAAGACGGGGAGAAGACAGAAGAGCAGTGGAGTCAAAAAGATGGCATAAAGGAAGGAGAATCAGTTCTAACAAAACATGTTTAAAAGAATTCAGGTTCTATAATCCTAGCTTTCACATCCAGGCAAGAAAGGTGCTATGTATATAGTTGCCACTTTTAACTCTTTAGAGAAAGATTTTGAACTTTACATTTATTTTTTATCTTTAAATAGTGAGAATAAGCTTAATGAAAGGTGGTTGTATATATCAAACCCTAGGATTACTGGTGAAATATAGTTCTGGTAGGTACGTAGAATTCAACCTGACCCATGGAAAACTTTTAAAAATAACACTGGAGGCTGGGCGTGGTGGCTTACGCCTGTAATCCAGCACTTTGGGAGGCCGAGGCAGGCGGATCACGAGGTCAGGAGATCGAGACCATCCTGGCTAACACAGTGAAACCTCGTCTCTACTAAAAAATGCAAAAAATTAGCCGGGCGTGGTGGTGGGCACCTGTAGTCCCAGCTACTCGGGAGGCTGAGGCAAGAGAATGGAGTGAACCTGGGAGGTGTAGCTTGCAGTGAGCCAAGATTACACCACTGCACTCCAGCCTGGACGACAGAGCGAGACTCTGTCTCAAAAAAAAAAAAAAAAAAAAGAAAAACATTGGAATTACTTAATGATCAATATACTACAAATAGACAGAGTGATAGCCTACAATGCCAATGAGTGATAGCCTACAATGCCAATAAAATACTAAGATAATTTTATCTTCCCTGCCTTTGCCCTGAGTATTGGGAAGTTTAAAAGCATAAAATTATTTCTTTCGGTTCCAATAGTTCCAAACTATTTCAAAAGGAAATTCAAATTATAAAATTGGATATTCATGCTTGTACCAGATTAGATTAAATCAAATTAATGAGATTTCATATATACACATATATATGTGTGTGTGTGTGTGTGTGTGTGTGTGTGTGTGTGTGTATATTTGGAAATCCTTGTAGGCTATAGAAAATTACAGAAGCATAAGGCACTAATATTAGCTTATCTGGCTGCCTATAGCTTCTAAATTCATAATTTTCCTGACTCCTGCCTCTTCTCTTTTACTCTGTTTTCCTTTAGAATCAACACAATAATGTATTTTGTAACGTCTTCAGTTTGAAAAGGGACCTATTTTCCCTTCTTTAGAAAAACTTGAAAAGCAAATTTATAATTCTTAAGGATTATTCTATATAGTGCTTATGCTTACACCACAAATTCCATTTTTTGAAACTTCTTTATCAAACATAAATATGAAATTATCACTTTCTTGCTCACTAGACTCAGAAACTCAGATTAGTGAATTCTATAATTTGAATCCCTTTGAATCTAGCAAAAATTTTGGATACTAGCACCAAATATGTTGTTCATTTATCACTCTTTTAGTACAGATTGACACCCTCCACCACTTTATTGCTTACCCAACCAATATTAGAGAGTAATGTGTTTAAGTACTTTCCAAGCGATTTCACATGAAAACCACCTAAGAAAACCTCTTTATCTAATCAATAACCTCTCTGGGCACATGAACACAGTTTGGCCTACTTTAAAGTGGAGAAAATTAATACAAATAAGAGTGTGCCGCAAATTTAGTCTTGTAATATTTACATCTAGTTAAAAATAATTTAGAATTTTCCTTTAAGCCAATTAAAAAAATATTCTCAAGAGTAATCTAAAGAGGATCAAAGTCCACTTAATGTAATGAGACAATATGCCCATTATAAACTGTCAGATGATAAGAAACTGGTCTGGGCTTAAAGGTGAATGACATTTAGATATTTATTGTTTATGGCAGCAGCCTTTGAAGCCAAATGCAGGACTCTTAATTAGAGTGCAATAAGCACAGGGTACAAGAGGAAACTATCAAAGCTGCTAATTCTTAAATCTAAAAGCAAGAAAAAAGGCTTTCTTAAATCTTCAGACATACATTGCTCCCATCCCTTGGTGCTTCTGTGAAAGGTGACACACAAGAGATGCTAGAGATTCTTGCAGAGACTCCACAATAAGAAGTTGGCAATGGGACCCTCACTGTTCTACAGCTTTCAGAGGCTTTTGATGTATTGCGGATTATGAGTTATAGAGTGCCACCAATGCAATTAATTTTAAAATCCAAAACCTTTGCACAGTAGAATTATTACATTATCACAATACTTTGTAAAGAGCTGGACAGTGACCACAATAATATCTGCACCAAACAGATTTTTGGATTGTCTTGAGGCAAAGTATTTAATCAAGAGTTGTCATTTCACAAAATAGAAAGGTATCCCCACATTTGCTGATTTTTTTTCTGTGACAAGTGGTTGTCAGCAAGTATGCTTCCTACCAGATAATTTGAAAAGAAGAAAACAACACACTTGATCTCCCACTTCAAGATAAAGGAGGTGACAATTTAACAATAGAACAAATCTGCATTTTGAAAGAAACTCATTCTAAGAAAAGATTACTTGGAAACTAAATTTAATGAAAATATTTGTGAAAGTGGTTCACCTTTAAAATTCATGTTTGCATTTAACTTAAAAATTGAGTTTTTCTACCTTATTTTAAAATCTTCCAGAGGAAAAGTTTCAGGAGTTTCTGAACTCATTTTTAAGAATTGTGTTTGTATATGTGTGTGTGTATGTATGCAAAATAAACATTAAAAAAAATTTTTTTTTTTGAGAGACAGGGTCTCACTCTGTCACTTAGGCTGGAGTGCAGTCTTACAATCATGGCTCACTGCAGCCTTGATCTCCTGGACTCAAGCAATCTTTCCACCTCAGCCTCCCGAGTAGCTGAGACTACAGGCATGTGCCACCATGCCCGGCTAATTTTTGAAATTTTTTGTAGAGACGAGGTCTTGCTTTGTTGCCTAGGCTGCTGTTGACCTCCCAGGCTCAGGCAATCCTTTTGCCTCGGCCTCCAAAGTACTGAGATGACAGAGTATGAGTCACCACACCCAGCCACATAATTCTACATATTAAAAATTATACATTTAAAAAATTTACATACGGGGATACCTCATTTTACTGCACTTTGCTTTATTGCACTTCACAGATACTGTGTTTTTTACACATTGAAGGTCTGTGGCAACCCTGTGTCAAGTCTATTGGTGCCATTTTTCTAACAGCCTGTGCTCACGTTGTGTCTCTGTCAAGTTTTGGTAATTCTTCCAACATTACAGACTTTGTCATTATGATGATATCTGTTATGGTGATCTGTGATCAGATGGTACAATTCTAAGTGTTTTAGGGTGCCACCAACCACGTCCACATAAAATGATGAACTTAACTTGTAAGCATGTGTGTTCTGAGCTGCTCCACTGACCAGCTGTTTCGCATTTCTCTTCCTCTCCTCAGGACCTTCCATTCCTTGAGATACTACAATATTGGAATCAGGCCAATTAATAACCCAACAATGGACTCTGAGTGTTCACATGAAAGTGAGAATCGCATGCCTCTCACCTTAAATCAAAAGCCTAGAAATGATTAAGTTTAGTGAGGAAGGCATATCAAAAGTGAAAACAGAACAAAAGCTATGCCTCTTGTGCCAAACAGTTAAAGGAAATTAAAAGCTCCAGCGAAATCATGAATGATAAGAACGCAAAACAGCCTTATGGCTATATGGAGAAAGTTTTAGGTGGTGTGGACAGAAGATCACACCAACCACAACATTCTCTTAAGCCAAAACCTACTCCAGAGTAAGGCCCTAACTCTCTTTAATTCTACGAAGACTGACAGAAGTGAAGAATCTGTACAACAAAAGTTTGAAGCTAGCAGAGGTTGGTTCATGAAGGTGAAGAGAAGAAGCTGTCTCTGTAACATAGAAGTGCAAGGTGAAGCAGCAAGTGCTAGAAGTGCAGAAGACTTGGCTAAGACTACCGCACTAAAATGTGTTAGTGGCCACACTAACACATTTTCAATGTAGATGAAACAGCCTTCTGCTGGAAGAAGATGCCATCTAGGATTTTCATAGCTAGAGAGGAGAAATCATTGCCTAGCTTCAAAGCTTCAAAGGACAGGCTGACTCTCCTGTTAGGGTCTAAATGCAGCTGGTGACTTTATGATTCCAGAAATCCTAGGGCCCTTAGGAATTACACTAAATCTGGCTGGGTGTGATGGCTCACGCCTGTAATTCCAGCACTTTGGGAGACCAAGGTGGGCGGATCACTTGAGGTCAGGAGTTTGAGACCAGCCTGGCCAACATGGCAAAACCCCATCTCTACTAAAAATACAAAAAATTAACCAGGTGTGGTGGTGTGCTCCTGTAATCCCTGCTACTCAGGAGGCTGAGTCAGGAGAATTGCTTGAACCAGGGAGGTGGAGCAGTAAGCTGAGGTTGTACCACTGCACTCCAGCCTGGATGATAGAGCAAGACTCCGTCTAAAAAAAAAAAAAAAAAAGAATTATGCTAAATCTGTTCTGCCTGTGCTCTATAAATGGAAGACAAAAGCCTGGATGATAGCACATATATTTATAACATGGCTTACTGAATATTTAAAGCCCACTGTTGAGACCTACTGCTCAGACAAAAAGAATCTTTTCAAAATATTACTGCTCATTGACAATGCACCTGGTCACCCAAAAGCTTGGATGGAGATGTACAAGGAGATTAACGTTTTCATGCCTGCTAACATAATGTCTGTTCTGCAACTCATGGATTGAGGAGTAATTTTGAGCTGGGTGTGGTGGCTCACGCCTGTAATCCCAGCACATAGGAAGGCTGAGGCAGGTGGATCACTTGCTGGTGTCGAACTCCTGACCTCCTGGCCAACAAGGTGAAACCCCATCTCTATTAAAAACACAGAAATTAGCTAGGCGGGGTGGTGGGTGCCTATAATCCCAGCTACTCGGGAGGTTGAGGCAGAAGAATGGCTTACACCTGAGAGGTGGAGGTTGCAGTGAGTCAAGATCGTGACACTGCACTCCAGCCTGGGCGAGAAAGTGAGACTTTGTCTCAAAAAAAAAAAAAAAAAAAAGGAATTTTGACTTTCAAGTGTTATTATTTAAAAAGTACATTTCATTAGGCTATAGCTGCCATAGACAGTGATTCCTCTGATGGATCTAGGCAAAGCAAATTGAAAGCCTTCTGGAAAAGATTTGCCATTATAGATGCCATTAAGAACATTTGTAATTTATGGGAGGAAGTAAAAAAAAAATCAACATTAACAGGAGTTTGGAAGAAGTTGATTCTAACCATTCTAACCCTCCTGGATGACTTTGAGGGGTTCAAGACTTCAGTGGAGGAAGTAACTGCAGATGTGGTAAAATAGCAAGAGAACTAGAATTAGAAGTGGGGCCTGAAGACATGACTGAATTGCTACCATCTCATGATAAAACTTTCATGGATGAGGAGTTGCTTCTTATGGAGGAGTAAAGAAAATGGTTTATTGAGATGGGATCTGGTGAAGACACTGTGCACACTGTTGAAATGACAACAAAGGATTAAGAATGTTACATAAACACAGTGATAAAGCAGCAGCAGGGTTTGAGAAGACTGACTCCAAATTGGAAAGAAGTTTTACCGTGTGGAAAATGCCATAAAAGAGTATCACATGTTACAGAGAAATCTTTCATGAAGGGAAGAATTAAAGCAGTAAACTTCATTATTGGCTAGGTGTGGTGGTGGCTCACACCTGTAATCCCTGGACCACACGGAACTCCCTCTCCTACATTTTTTTCAGCCCCACTGCGAGTTTGCGTCCGTGGTACTTTTAAGAGGGAGTCACTGCTGCCGTCAGTCAGTAATACTTCCTCCTTTTTTGCTTTTTGGTTTTGTCTTGCGTTTCTTTTCTTCTCCTCTCCCTCTCCCTCTCCCTCTCTGGCTAAGGTCTAAATCAAACATAGTGTGGATGGCCCCTTGATGATTTCAGGAAATCTGGATGGGCACTATGCTGGCAGCAACCTGTATGAAGTCCTGAAATTCCATAATGATCCATTCTCTTGGGTGTAAAATATTGCTCAGCTCCTCAACTTTCTAGGTCCTGTCATAAATGTGATCTTTGTAAAACTGATACTACTTATTAGTCCTACTTTAACAAATAAGAAAATCCATGCTTAAACAAGGTATGTTGACTAATGGCTGGGTAGCATGCTACATTTTTTTTAAATAAAAAAAGATATGTGATCACACTTAAAAAGATAGAGTTATATTCAATAAAGCACAGCACTTTAAATACACACAGTTAGATGGACCTAGGCAAATATATGTAACTGTCACATTATTCTTAAAGTGATGGAAGCAAGACTTACATCCCTGCTCTTTCTGCCTTTTCTTTTCTGCTGATTTTTCTTAAACACAGTCAGCACAGTTATAGGAATTGGCACTGTCAGATATTAAAAATTATGGCAAATATGTAATTCATAATTGATTCATTTTTCAATGTATAAAAAGGTACCATGCTGACTTTGTCCCCAAAGGGGACAAAGAGACAATAAGACAAGATATTCTATAGTTCTCAGTGAAGAGATAACACCAAGGACACAGGACATAATAAAAGTAGAGATGAGAGAACACATAAGAACATGTAATTGTTTTGTCCATGGCATACGGAAGACCTCTTGTAAAATTATATGCTCTAAGGGCTTTGCAAGTAGATTAATTGACCTTTGAAATAAACAAATGTAATCATATTTTAAAAGAAAGAAACATACAAATTCATACTACTTGTATAATGAACTCGAACACAGCTATTTGAAATGATACCCATCTTAAAATGGCATATATAGTTTTTAATGTACTTTGGGGGGTTAGAATAGATTTATGCTTAAATTTTGAAAAACTGTTCACCATTATAGTAATTGCACAGGGTCTGTTTATTAATTTGTCACAATTAAGTCAATAAGAGCTTTACTAATGTCCTATTACTTGATCAGTTTTGAAAGTGATTATCTTAAGAACTTGACTTAATTGGAAGCCTCTCAATTTACAAGGTACATTAAACTCTCAGTAGCATCTTAAGATTATTCAACATATGCAGTAATCACTGTTTTGTACAAATGTTCCATAAAAACTATAGCATGACATGACAAAGAGGGGAAGCAAGATTTAATTTATAATGTTAAACTCCCACTCACATTTTCAGGATAAAAGGGCAACATGAGCATTCACATAAAGTCTTCCTGAAACTGGGTCTATTATTATTATTATTATTATTTTTGAGACGGAGTGTTGTTCTGTCGCCCAGGCTGGAGTGCAGTGGCGGGATCTCGGCTCACTGCAAGTTCCGCCTCCCGGGTTCATGCCATTCTCCTGCCTCAGCCTGCAGAGTAGCTGGGACTACAGGTACCTGCCACCGCGCCTGGCTAATTTTTTATATTTTTAGTAGAGACGGGGTTTCACCGTGGTCTCGATCTCCTGACCTCGTGATCCGCCCGCCTCAGCCTCCCAAAGTGCTGGGATTACAGGCGTGAGCCACCGCACCCGGCCTGAAACTGGGTCTATTATTAAAAGATGAATAAAGGAATCCTAACAATTCTCCACCTTATAGATGAAGATAATTTGTCATGATTGCTAAATCACCAAATTGCACTGCCTGTACTTACGCGCAGCTGCACATTAATTTCCAGATTTGTAAATTACAATTAATTCTCAGTATTGCTCCATCACTTTTTTTCTCTAGTTAATAAAAAGAACTGCAATTAATAATTCTTCATCCCATTTTTCAGAACATATCAACTATAACTATTACTGCACAAGCAGGAAACATGGAGTAGTTAATGTATCCACTGAGACTGTGAGGCCTTTAAAACTATTGGCTGTAGCCTAAATATTTTATATTGACCCTCCAATTCCCAAAGATTCAATGTAGTTAGTTGAATATTTACAATGATTAACAATTATGAGGGCTGATAAAGTGCCTTGATACCTGCGCTGATTTTCAACCATGTATTCAAACTATTTCATAAATTTTAAAATTAAACTTTACTAATTAGATATTTGAAAGGTTTGTCCCACAATAACAACGTAAGACCAGTTTTGAGATTAATCACAGGAAAATTGATTGCTGGGTCATTAAAAACCTGGGGAATTCAATTCCTTGAAAAGATTATTCCATTGTTAGCTTGTGAGGGAGGTATATGAATTTACGCATTCTGACTTGTTCCCAATCTAAGTTCTGTACACAGCATAAATTTCAAATTGCTGAGGCTGATTCGCAACCAATTGTGTGAACAGAGTGAACAAAGCTGAATCTGTAAAACACTAGTTCTGTGCATTTGAAAAACTTGAGATGAAAGCCACTTTGAAATTGTTGCATTAAAATAACTATAATTGTCCTTACATGAAATTTTCCTGGTGAGTTAACTGCTTAAACTGTGGTAGATGCTATGGGAAAAGTAGTGGTCATATTTAACAATCCAGTCCCATCTGCTTTGAACCAAGGTTCTATTTGCCCAAAATTGAAGGGTGAGGAAGCCCTCTTAACAGACTTCCCACATACAAGTCATTTAAAAAGGGATTTAAGCAACTCTCGGGATAAACTGCCTCTAAATTCTCTACACATCACCTTGGATAAATTTTTCCACTTTAATTATTCATATGCTACAATTTACCCTTAAATTGTAGAACTTTCTGAAAGTATAGAAAAATATTTTAAAATATCTAATTTATTGTTGAGTAAAACGTGAACCTGGTCATTCCATTCATGTCAATTTCCTGCTCTTGCCCTATCAGAAACACAGCAGGAGCCTGAGCAGATGGAAATTCAAGGAAAAGGCGGGAGGGTGGGGTGCAGAAGAAATGAGGACCGCTACAGCCTGTGTTCAGAGGCAGATATGGTCTGCTCCTGCCTTCAGAGAATAAAAAACACTTAAAAAACCCATTTACCTGAGTGTTAACTTCAATTATGACCAGAGAAGTGGGAAGAAAGGAAACTGTTCAGGCATCCTGAGGTTCAGGCATCCTGAGGTTCTTCAAATTCCTACCGCCTCACAATGCATGACTAAGAACATCCTTTGTTCAGACTTCCTTGTCCGTAATGTCTCCATAAAGGTGGCTATACACAAAGTACATTTAAATTAAGTGTTGCTATCCTGTTATAACTGTCCACTTGCAATAAATAAATGTCCTTAGTTTGGTCAAGGTATTGAGTGCCTGGCAGAGCTGTAGTGATCCAAAGTTTGGTGACAGGATTAAATGATCACAGAAGTGACCTCTGTTCCCTCCTGCTCATCTGGTGGGAGGGTAATCCCTGATTCTGCTTCATTCTTCACAGTACCCTTAGGTACAGGGCCAGGTTACCAGCTGTTTATAGTAAAGCCATTTTGCCTGAAGCTACAAAGTGTGACTTTATGGAAATAGCTTTACTTTTAAACAGTAACCCAGAAGTTTCTAATTAAAAATGCTTATTTTTTCCCCTCTATGCTAAAAATGCCTAAAGTTTACTTTCTAGTCTCACTGGATTAAAAAAAAAGTACAAGGGGAAAAAGGACATGCAAACTCTGTTTGGGTAATTACTGCTTGGAATTGGCTGCTTTCCAGAAGAAGCAACAAACTGCTTAGAGTTAAGTGGAAACTTTGTGTAACTATTAATGAAAGTAAACAAATGATAGAAACAGAACACAGGCCCTACTCCTGCTTCCCCAACAGTGGACCTGGCTGCCTCACTGAACGGCTCTGAGATTTAACTACATGGCTCTGATGGCTCAGTCATTTCTTATTACAGTGGTTCTCAAAGTGTGGTCGTTGGGCAAGCAGCAGCAGCAGTAGCTTCCCCATCAGCTGGAATCTGGTTAGAAAAGCAAATTATCAATTCTTAGTAAATACCTACAGAATCAGGCTCTCTGCTTATGATCCAGCAATGTTATGTTTTAATGATCTCTCCTGGCAATTGTTATATATTCTAAAGTTTGAGAAGCACTGTTCTATTAAAGCTGGGTATTTTCAAAGTAATTTTCTAGGATTTTAAAATTTCAATAATTAAATTGACCATCAGTGAATAGGGAAACGTTTTAAACCCAATGTTTTCAAATGCAACTGAGATGAGAAATAAAGCTAACCTCAGCATATAAATGCTGGATTTAAAACAATGATTCTTGACCCTAGCTGAATATTAGAATGTCCTGGGAGGTTTTTAAAAAATGCCAGAATTTTATCCCCAAACCAATTGAAACAGACTGGGGGAAGGGAAAGATGAAGGCAGCAATTATATGTGTGTGTGTGTGTGTGTGTGTGTTTGTGTATGTGTGTGTGTGTATGTATGTGTGTGTGTGTGTGTGTGTGTGTATATGTGTGTGTATATATATATTAGAATCCCAGTTATTCTGAGGCATGGGAAAGTTGAGAGTCACTGATACAAAGCAACCAGAACAGTCAGACCCTTAGCAGAACAGTCCAAGAACTAGGAAACAGGGCTATGTGGCTATTTATAACAGACAGACAGACAGACACACACACTTTCATAGACTGGGTTTGTACCACATTAATTAGGCACTAGCTAGCATGTAAGACTTAGGATAAGAACATAACTCTGGATTGCCTCGCATCCTTTTAAAACCTAATCGGCTGAACAGTTCTAGTTTTTAGTACATAATTCACTAATAAATATAATTTTAGGGAGCAAATTTAGTTTTGATCCTATAGGTTGGATCCCAAATAATTTAAAAAATAATAAAAGCTTGAGCACGGAGCCACCACTATCCTACATAAACCACATTGAGACATTCTCTCCACACATCCAATTGGTTCCATCATCTCTTTTCTGCCAGAGGAAAATACAACTCCAGCTTGAACAGGTCAGGAGCACTGATAGCTTAAAAATGAAATGATGTCCACGAAAGGACATCAGAACCAAGTTAGTCAGTTCTAGATATATACTATTTTATCATATACCATATTCATATATACTCTTTCATAATGAAATATTGAGAATAGAACCATAAATTAAGAAAAATTCCAATGTCCATCTGTTTCATAGCACTCTGCAAGGTTTAACCTTCTGCACATTAACCAGATTTCCATAAAAGCCTTATGAGGTCAAGATAGGCATTATTATTGCTATTATTTTAGTTTTACTTATGAAAAGTTAAGTGAATTTTCCAGAGACAGACTGCTAATAGCAGCTTTAACTATGGTAATAATATTCTAATGTTTGACATTAATAACTACATACCACTATTAAAATCTTAAAGTATTGTTGATTACTAGTTCCAGAAGACTACAAATGGCCAAATGAATTAAAATAGATAAAAGAGGGAAGTGGGGAACCCAATATTTAAAAAAAATCCAACTGGGGGAAGAAAAAGAAACCATAAAGAAGGTTAACTTAAAATACTTAGAAAGATGTAACTTCTTTTTAAAAAACTTTTCTACAGTTTCTAAACTTGTCTCTGACTTCTTAATAGATCCATAAAGTATATAAATAAAACATAAAGTGTAAGATGGAGCTCTGATTTTATACTCAGGCTTATATCACTGCTACAGAACATTTTTAGGATAATTAAGCAATATTTTTGCCTCATAGAATACTAGCACCATTAAATCAATTTGATCTTATGTTCAGAAAATTTGTTTATTGATATTTTCATATTATTTCTATTATATTAAAGTATGGAATTGTATTCTGCTTCATTTGAAAATATAATATACTTCTTTCAAATCTGAAACCAGGAACTTTAAAAAACTGTTAGCAAATTTAATAATGCAGAAATTTATGCTTTAACTGTCAAGTAAAAACATAGGGAGATATAGGAAAACACTTTAACAATATTTAACCTATCAGATCATCTTTCATAGTTTGTGTTTATTAAAATTAACCAACTATAATGTAATATTTAAACATTTTATACCACCAAAGTATTAATAAACCCAACAAGGGGGCTATCACCTTTTCTTAAAATATACACATTATATGCTTCCCTAGGATAATCTTTCACTATTAGAAGACAGGCAGCTATGTACTATTCTTAATTAAAGCCCTATTTCAGTCAAAGTAGAGCAACCTGCAATTTAATTATAATAATATAAACTGTAATGTAACCAATGACATCGTATGTATTTTCATCAGATAATTAGAATAGTCAGTAAATAAAGCTTTACAAAGCAGGAAATAAAACAGGTGAGGGGTTGTGCCTCATTCATCACCTCACTGACTAATGAGAGTCTGAATGAAGATCAGTCATTTCCTATACACACCTTCATGGTGTGCAATAAAAGCACACACTGTAGACAGCTCTACTAAATGTAACACCAAGCAGGCGTCAGAAAAATCCATACAGAGAAGTGATAAAATAGTGTATAGCTAAAACTAACTCATTTATCAAGAAAGACAGAAAAATTATTAGGAATGCCCAGACTGTATGCCCTGTGATAGAAATGAATAATGGGAACATTAACTACATTATTTTAAGAACACACTTTAAAAAACCCAAAATCTAAGTCTACTCTACCTAGACTTGAATTACCTTTGCAAATACAGAAATGGTGAAATGCCTGATTTTACAAATCACAGAGGTAATTTTTCTGCTTCAAGTTCGAGAAAAAAAAGCATAGGCCTCTTGCTAATAGTAATAACAAGAATAGACACCAAACTTTGACATTTTCACATTAGAGAAATTGAGTTCTACCAAAACCTAATATTAGAAAGGCAATGATTTTCTTTTAGCAGAGGTGTGTAACTTATGCATTCTCATTCTATGATCATATTGGTGAAGGAAACATGTTAGTCTAGTGAGGAACTGTATAGCATCTAGGTTATTAAATGAGTACTTTCCATTAAATCACAATTTCAGAATCTATTGAATTAAGAATTCTTATTGGATTAACAATTTAAATAGATGTGGCAGAAAAGACAATTAAAATTTTTTTTTCTGAACCGCTTTTGGGATAGAGTTCCTCATGTAGTATATGAGTGAATTATTTAGGTTCTCTGCATATATTCAGCTTGCACAAATACTGAAATACAACTTGACTTATTGATGTTTTGTCTCCAAATACATAAACCTCCCCAATTCAAAATGCTGCTTGCTTCAAATTCAACCTGGTGAGTACTTATTATCTCTCCTTGGTCCATCTTAGGTTTGTCAATTACATGTGTGAGTGTGTAACACACAAAAATAAATTCTGCTTTACCAACCAGGCTGTGAGTCCCCTGAGGGAAAGAACATGTCTGTTATCTTCTTGAATAAAGTGAAGAGAAGTAGAAACTCTTCCCAGGACTTAGTAAGAAATCTTTATCACAGGAGAGACTCAAATAAATGCTTAGTTTTGACAAAGAAAAGGTAAAGAAACCAATTATCTTTAGGCAATAACCAGAATACCAGAGGAATGTGAACAGATAATACCAATAAGTTCACACTGTTGTTAACATAGAGATGTTGACAAAGAGACACATTCAAAATTGAGAGGGAAGAGCAGAATTATGATATTACAGCCAGCACATTCAGTGTCTCTCCAGTGGTAATTCTTGCCAAGAGTTTCAAAGCCAGTCAACAATGAATGCACAGCTAGTCTAAAAAGCATCTTTAAGCCCTCCTTTTTTCTTCTCCTGGGCAGCTTTCTACATTCTCTTATTCTGAGAAGGTAATTAAGAAAATATGATTTTGCCAGATATATGTTTCCCCACTCCTTTGAAACTTTTGCTGGTGACAGCCTTCCAAAACTACGAAAGCAGCTCTAGGCCAGCTGTTCCCTATACCTTGGACCATACTGTGAAAATAAAGTGATTCGCAAAACAGTATATATGTACAAATGACACCAACAGCACATTTTGAAAAGTAATCTTGTAGATAAATATGAAATGTCGCTTCTTGCCCTACAGGAAAACTTAAGATGATAAATCAGTCTCACAGCTGGAAGTACAGCTGATTCAAGGAGTGTACTTGATTAGGCAAAGGAACAGGGGGAATTTTAGTGAACTAATATCACTATTAATTTTGCCAGTGCTTATTGTGTGAATTTGGGTAAGTCACTGGTATTTAGTAAATGGGATTGAGAGTGGATACAATATATAATTAAAAATTCATGCATGTTGCCAAGAAGAAATTATTATCAGCTGCCAAATGGTTGCTCAATTTCATCCAGTTTAACTTCAAAACATCAGTGAATACATAAATGAAAATGACACATTATTTTTCACCACATGCAATTTTTCTGTAATCTCTGAAATTAAATAAATTCTAATGCAAAATACTGCGCAAAATGAAGTCTTATAAAAAATTTGAATGCCCTGGTTAATAAATTCTTGACAGACATAGGTATGAAAGATACTAGAGGATTTAGTAATTTAATAAATTAAGTATTTATGTACTGAAAAATATCTCCATGGTACACTAAGGATAGATTTAACTAAGGAAAAATCTACTTGGCAGTTGGAAATAAACAGTAAAGTTAAATATATTTCAAAATAGTATATTTTGAATTCCAATTTCTTATGCTTATTTCAAGGGAGGCCAGTACTAATTAAGCAATATCAGCATCTCATAAAAATGGACTCGACTTTTGCAAAGATGTAGCCCACACCTCTATTAGATTTAGTAGGCCTTTCTCCAATTTCATTACCTTCCAGGAAACGAGAGAAACTAGCTTCACAGAATTTAAGAGAAGGCTGGAGTGATCATCTGCTCTAGGATTGTAAACTGGCGGTCATTGGTGGTCTTCCATTGTACTGTTAGCTTTTGGAAATTGTGTAAAAATCCATGTAGTCAGGAATATGCACTTTATGAGAGGCATATGTTCATCGGAATCTGAAAGTGGTCTGTGAACCCCAAAATGTTCACAAAGTAACTACTGAGTTCACCTACCTTCCTGGTTACAAATTAGCCAAGAGAGTTTAAATGACTGCTGCAAGACAAACCTCGAGTAGCTGTAAAGACCTAGATTCAGGTCTTTTGATAACCAATTAGTTTAGTGTACTACTATGCCCATAACACTTTTCTCAGTAGGGAAAAAAATGAGTTAATTGTGCACGGTGCTTTTGTGACCAGATCTTGTTTTAGGTAAGAGAGTAGTATCTTGGTCAGAATACTACCTATAAATACAAATTCTGAAGATATAAAAGGTAAGAAAGAAGGTCTACAGGAGTCAAATACTCATGGGCCTCCAAACACAAACCAAGCTGCTTCCAAGCCAAGCTCAGAGCCACCCCTGCATTAAGGCCCTACAGTACATGTATGATCTTCAAGCTGACAGAGAAAGCCTGAGGACCCTTAAAGGAAGAACAGATCCTGAGGCATCACATTCTGCAATAGAGAACGATTAATATCTCAGTTTAACATGGCCCAGAGGTGTGAACTCTCCCCACCCCACTCCCCACACCTATAGATAGGTACAGGATGATTTCAAGGTGTAGATATATAATATACAAATGAAACTAAAGCATGGCATCTCACAAATTTGTTAAAGGAAAAATAAAATAAACTGATTAATTTCATGGTTTTATGATTAATATTTGGACAGAATGTCACTAAAATAAATAATTAGGAAGAAATGTGCATTAATCTTGCCAAACCATGCTATGCATTCTCTTGGTGTTTCTAAACCAGAAAGCTGTTTCATTTGTACATATGCATCGATGTGCGTATAGACATCTAAGTACATATTCTAGCTCTACCATTTACTTACTGTATGATATTAGGTAAATTAATTAATCTCTCTGTGACTAGAGCTTCCTATTGGTAAAATGGAGATAACAGCATTGACCTTACTGGGTTGTTGTGAGGATAATATGTGGTAAGAGGACTAAAGAGCCCATCACATTTTATAGTGACAATAATAGCTATCATCACTGTCTCATCATTATCACAGAGAGGTACAGGCAATTAATAACTTATGGGCAGGAAGGCGTTAAGAAGGAAGCTTAAGACAAAATCGTTTATTAATGAAATGCTTAAGTTATGAAAACTCCAACTACTCTCTGGGAGAACACCAGAAAGTCTGTTCAGCCTGGGATGTGTGTGTGTGTGTGTCTTTTCCAATTGGAGCCACATTCTCAAGAACTTGGCATATCAGGGTTCTCCACCAAAGAGGATGAGAAGGTTGGATTGATCTGGGTGAGTGCATTGGCTGCCTTCCCTTCTTACAACTGGGGGCTGGGTAACCACAGGTGCTCCCAGTCTCCGTTATACCAGCTGCTTTTATGGGGGATCTGATTAGGCCAAATATTGTATTTCTGCCATATTTCTGACCAGTAGCTGAACTTAAATAAAGGTTCTTAGGAATTTGCTTCTTTGGAAGTGAAATGCTTTGATGACAATTAAAAGATAACGGGACTCTTTTGGTATTTATGGAGACAGTATCATTGATGCAAAGTCACTATGAAACAGTGTAAACCTCCAATCGTGTCTGGCCTGAATGACTCTGTTGAGGTCACGCCATCCCACAATGGGGACATATCTGAGGCTATGGAACACTGAAAAGCTAATAGCTGCCAACAAAAAGACAGATCTCAAGACTCCCAGTGGAGTCTGTTAGTCACCAGTATCATATAAGTAATTATCTATCTAATGTATACTTATTAGGCAACAATCTGGAATATTTCACCTTAAAACATGTTGTTGAAAATGAAGAGTTTTACCTTTTCATATTCAGCAATGCCCAAGGTATTCCAGAGGGAGTATGAAATGCAGGTAGCAATTTTACCCCAAGTTCCACTGCTTTCTTTCGAAAAATCTGAAAAGTCAAACAGTTAACTGTAAGCTACTGTTGCAAGCAAAACAAGATGAACTATACTATTATCTAATAGTTACCACTTTTCTACTTTAATATTTTAGTATTTTCTACTTTTAATATCTGACAAAAAGTTTACCAAATTAACAGAATTACCCAGTAAAGCAACAATGGTCCAGGGGCCATCATACTGGGGGATATTTATTCCCAATCTTGGTTGCTCATTAGAATCATGTGGGGAGATTTGGATGCTACTGATGTGAACGTCTTACTCTTGAGATTCTAATTTCTATGGTTGTAAGCTTCTGGATCAGGATTTTAAAAGCATCACAGGCGACGCCAGGTGATTTCAATGTGCAAGCCAGTGGGAGAACCACTGTTGTTGGAGGATAAGACCCGGACTGAGAACCAGGAGATCTGGTCTATCCTACCTTCAGCACTATTATTTACTAGAGCACAGAGAAAGAAGTTTGAAAAAGACATTATCACAGGTCTGTGTGTCTCCTCAGCCCTTGCAGCTTTAACTTTCTCTGATGTTAAGTGTAAGTGATATAAAAAATACTAAGTTAAATTAGGTACAGAGTCTGCCCAGAGTTTACTAGGGAAGATAATTATATGCACATAAATATCTAGAACACAGATATAATGAGAGCTGGAGATAAAATACTAGGTGAGTTCAGTGAGACTGTATGCTGGAGATGGCATTTAGATGAGAACTGTACGCAGCATTGAACTGGGGCCGATAATACCACAGACCGGAGTGAAGATTGAAAAGTAAAGAGGGAATCCCTGAGGGATCAGCCTCCTCCCGACAGAAGGCGGCAAGTGGGGCCCTACAGAATAAACAGGGAATGGGGCAGCCTCCCTGACAAAAAGGGGATACTGGTAAATGAGGTCAGGCATCCACAGCTCAGGCCAAAACATGGAGGGCCACAAATGCGAGGCTAAAACTTTCATTCTGGTTAGAATGGAAAAATAATGAAAGTCTAGTGTGCAGAACTGTGTTTTAGGAAGATTAATTAGATGAGGCCCATCCTCAGTTTTAGGTCCAAAGAAAAGCTCTAGCTTATTTACTGAAGAAAGGCCTGCTATAGTTGTGGCACCAAGCAGGTACCTGTTCCCCTCTCCTTTAAGCCGTATGACTGAGCATGGTGGACTGGAAGCGTACCATTTCCTCCTCAAACAAGGAAGAAGTGAGAGAGGCTGGAGGAGCCCTGAAGAGCATGGAAAATGGAGGCAAAGTTCTCTGTCAGCCACTGGGGAAGCATTCACTAAAGCAATCGACAAAGAAGTCACGTGTGGCTTCTCCAGAGGGAAGGGCTTCAGTGTCTAACTCCTGCTCTAAGTCCTGAGCCTCTCCACTGAGACATCCAGGCACTTGGGCTCCCAGACTGAAGGTAATCCAGTAATACCAATGTTGAGGCTACTTCCCAAGCCCTATCTTTTGGAATCTTAAAAAAAAATTTTTTTTAAATTTAAAATTTTCCTCATGCATACCACAGATCTTTTGGAATCTAACTCTCATTTAGTAGTGGAAGTCAATAAAGAAATGACTTTGGTTGACAGTCAATTTAGATAAATTGACATTCCTTGTATACAAATAAGGAAATACATTTGTAGTATATAGAAAATGCTAAAAAACAGAGGTGCCATTTTCTCCACAAATTATTGTAACTCTTGTCAAAGGGGACAATTCCCTGTATCAATAACTTGTAGTGTATGGAGAGGAGAAAAAAAAGTAGAGCAAAGGGTATATTCTTCTTTCCCTTTCTCTGCCTTACCCCAGAGAAATTTCATGTTGTCTTCTGCTACAAGGATTTATCCAATCACTGCCCAGCCATCTGTTGACTTTCTGGTTTCTACCCAACTTGTAAAAACTGTTAATTAACTCCTTTTCAAGAAACTTACATAAGATCGAAGTCAAACCACGTAATTAAAACACCAAGTTGGATATAACCATATGGCACAGTTGAGGGCTTTGAAGCACAATGCCTGTGCTTGAATCTCAGCTCAGCTTCTCCAAACTGGGCAATCTTGTACAACTTGCCTAATTTCTCTGTCCTAACCTTCCTCATCTGTACAATGGAGATAACAACAGCATTTACTTTTTTAAAGGCTGTGGAAAGAAATAATAAGTTATTATATTTAAAGACTTTAAGACACGTAGTAAACACTAACAGGTAGTTGTAGTTTTTATGGTGATAATGATAATGGTATTTCCTCAAGAAGGTGGCTTTTATCCAACTGTTGTTTTGGTGCCTTCTACTTATTCAGACTCCTCTCTCTTGTTCTCTCTCTGTGTGTGTGTGTGTGTGTGTGTGTGTGCGTGTCAGTTACTCCCCACCTGCCTCTTCCCCGACATACACACTTTTAATCATGTGTGTGCATTCTCAAGAGCTAAGGCTTCAGTTCTCACCACCTATTTGCATTCTCAAATTCAACCTTCTATTTTAGCTCTAGTTCAGTACTTCTACCTGTGTACACACATCACAAAATGGGTGTCTTGTTATTTTCTGAAACTTAACATGTCCAACATGGAATTAATCATTTAATATTCTGGGCAAACTTCCCCAGCTCTATCACTGACATTATTTTCTGGTCAGTCCCTTGGACTCAAGTGAACAGGCATTTTGATTTTTGATTTACCGCCTCCATCAGTCACTAAGTATCACTGTTAACTCATTTGAAATGTCTTGTATGCAGTTCATTCTCTGATAGGAGCATAGGCCATGTTCTCATTGCCAGGTACTATGAAATGCACGATTTAAAAAAAAGAAGGTCCTCCTATTTAGCCTGCTTGTTTCCTTATTTCCATTAATAATTTTTCCTCATTTCCATTAATCTGTATTTACGTTACCAACTTTCTACCACACAATTTTCTTGTTCAAGAAATGATAATGACTTCCTGTGTTGTCTAACATCGGGTCAAATCTGCTCTACTAACGGTTCAACCACCTCTATGAATCAGACCCTTCAATTATTTTCTGTCCATCTGGCTCTGGCTCCAGCTCCAGCTTTTGAGTCTTCATGGTCTTAAGTTCTCATTCATGTTCAGTCCATCTTAGCAACTTTATTTACACATTCTCTCATTTTAAATCACTCTCTTCTGCCTCCTTTTGGCTGATCCAAATTTACCCATTCTTTAAGGCCAAAGTCAAGTCCAGGCCAAGACTCCAGGTCAAGATCTTTGCCTTCTGTGAACTCCCACACTGATAACTAGTACCATACAATGCAGTCTTTGATACAGATCTCTAAATCAAGATACAGAAGGCAAGAGAGAGATCTCTGAACGTTTTATTGTGTTTTCTCTCATATCCCCCAATAATTTTTCTTCCTAGAAGTAGAGAAAAAGACCCCAATTTCTCCTTCACTGCCTATTATACAGATCTAACCCAGATTAAGTCATTTTTTATTTAAATTTACTGATATCACCACAGGGCTCCTATGAGTAGTAGGCAGGAAGATATTAATATTCTCAGTTAACAGACAGGAACAGCGGCCCCTTCCCATATCGGGGTTTTTGCACTTGCAGTTTCCTCTGCCTGCAATGCTCTTTCCTGAGCCCTCTGTATGCCTTGCTCATTCTTACCTTCAGGAATCTGTGTAAATGTCCCCTCGAGAGGTCTTTT
The DNA here is from genome assembly GCF_000001405.40 of Homo sapiens. Classification (NCBI taxonomy): domain Eukaryota; kingdom Metazoa; phylum Chordata; class Mammalia; order Primates; family Hominidae; genus Homo; species Homo sapiens. Next base: position 119,251,981 of record NC_000006.12, read on the forward strand.
CCTAACCACCCCACACAAAGTTGGCCATCCTTATTTATTATATCACCTTGTTTCTTTTCCATTATTTATCATGTCTTAATTATTTTATTTGCTTGTTTATTGTTTGATAACTCCACTAGATACGATCTCAACGAGGGCATGGAAGCAGCTGGCACTCAATAGATGTTCATTTAATAAATAAATGAATCAATTTAAGATTAATGATTAGGTGGGCACAAAAGTAATTGTGGTTTTTGCATTGTTGGAATTGGCCGTTTGATACTGGAATACATTCTTAAATGTGGTTATGTTACATATAATTTTAATGGGCATTTCTCGCTTTATTAATTTTTTCCTAATGAATTATTGTTTATTTTATGTTGATTTTAGACTATGGAAAGGATGTTAGACAAAAAGCAAATTTGAGTGATTTTCTTATTTGAGTTCAAAATGGGTGGTAAGGCAGCGGAGACAACCTACAACATCAACAACACATTTGGCCCAGGAACTGCTAACAAACATACAGTGCAGTCTTGATTCAAGAAGTTTTGTGGCTGGGCACGGGGGCTCATGCCTGTAATCCCAGCACTTTGGGAGGTGGAGGCGGGTGGATCACGAAGTCAAGAGATCGAGATTATCCTGGCCAACATGGTGAAACCCCGTCTCTACTAAAAATACAAAAATTAGCTGGGCGTGGTGGTACATGGCTGCAGTCCCAGATACTTGGGAGGCTGAGGCAGCAAAATCACTTGAACCCGGGAGGCGGCAGTTGCAGTGAGCCGAGACTGCGTCACAGCTCTCCAGCCTGGTGACAAAGTGAGACTCTTGTCTCAAAAAAAAATAAAAAAAATAAGTTTTGCAAAGGAGACGAGAGCCTTGAACATGAGGATCATAGTGGCCAGCCATGGGAAGTTGGTAATGACCAATTGAGACCAACCATTGAAGCTGATCCTCTTACAACTACATCGGAAGTTGCCACAGAACTGGATGTTGATCATTCTATGGTCATTTTGCATTTGAGGCAAGTTGGAAAGGTGAAAAAACTGGCTAAGTGGGTGCCTCATGAGCTGAGTGAACATAAAAAAAAAATCGTCGTTTTGAAGTGTCTTCTTCTCTTATTCTACACAATAATAATGAACAATTTCTCGGATTGTGATGTGCGACAAAAAGTGGATTTTATATGACAACCAGTGATGACCAGCTCAGTGGATGGACCGAGAAGAACCTCCAAAGCACTTCCCAAAGCCAAATCTGCACCAAAAAAAGGTAATGGTCACTGTTTGGTGGTCTGCTGCCGGTGAGATACACTACAGCTTTCTGAACCCTGGTGAAACCATTATATCTGAGAAGTACACTCAGCAAATAGATAAGATGCACAGAAAACTGCAATGCCTGTAGCTGGCATTAGTCAACAGAAAGGGCCCAATTCTCCATGACAACGCCCGACTGCACGTTGCAAAACCGCTTCAAAAGTTGAACAAATTGGGCTATGAAGTTTTGTCTCATCTGCCACATTCACTTGACCTCTTGCCAACCCATTACCACTTATTCAAGCATCGCGACAACTTTTTGCAGGGAAAACATTTCCACAATCAGAAGGATGCAGAAAATGCTTTCCAAGAGTTTGTCGAATCCCAAAGCACAGATTTGTACACTACAGGAATAAACAAACTTATTTCTTGTTGGCAAAAATGTGTTGATTGTAATGGTTCCTATTTGATTAATAAAGATGTGTTTGAGCCTAGTTATAATGATTTAAAATTCATGGTCCAAAACAACAACTACTTTTGCATCAACCTAATAACATACCTGGGGCATTGTAATAAGAAGCCATTGATATTACATTGTTTGCAAAGTGCTCCATCCCGTTCCACTAGTTGCTACTGTCTGAAAATAATTATCTCCAGTATTCTAGAGTCTCAACCTTTGGCACAATTACAAAATATTTTTAGATAAAAATATTAATTAGCTCATTGATACTTGAGTCAAATCATACACGAGACTGAATCAACTTCAATCTCAATGTTTGATTTGTTATCTCCTCCTGAGCTCTGATGAGGTTACTAGAGGAAGAATCCAGATTCTGAAAGAGAACATCCTTCTACCTAAACTGGTGAGCTTATAATAAAACTAGCTTGTAAAATTAAAATTGTTGAGAGAATGAAGGAGGCATATCACAAATCATTCTAAAGGGCAATTAAGTTTTAAGTAGCACATATTAGATGATGTGCTGAAAAGCAAATTTTTACAAAAAGTACACTAAATGGCACTTTAGTGCTACTTCAAATGGGGATAGGCATGATGGAGAGAGCCCCGGACCCAGGTCCTTGGACTGGCTGTACTACTGTTTCCATGTGAGGCCTGAGCGGGTCAGTTAACTCTTCTGGTTCTCAATTTCCCCAGAAAAAAGAGGGAGAGTAAGGCTGATCATTTCTGTTTTTGATTTATCACTGGAAAAATAAGTACTCAGAAGCTACAAAACTAGTACTAAAATGTGACTGGGAAAAAAGCAAGACAAATATCATCTTTTGAAGATAGGAAATGTTAATTTGCCAACCAATTGTTCACCAATCTTGGTTTCTGGTGTTTGTTGGTACCTCTATTTGGTGGGGAGGATTTTATAAAGTTAAGAGAGTCAGGTGAAAAATTACAGTTCATAAAATGTAATCCTTGCTAATAGAAGATATTTTTAAATGTCCACTAAAAGAAAATATGGTTTTTGTACAACTAGCAATCAGTTTGGGATGGGCAGACATCTAATGATCCAACAAGAATTTTCTAAAAGATTTTGCATTCTAAGGATTCTGATTACATTCATAACAAAAGTCAAAACAATGTAACTTGCTGAAAGAAGGGTGGTAAAATACGATGCAACAGTTCTTTCGAGCATGTAACTAACAAATAACTTTAAATAAAAACTTTTATAGCCTAAAGTTAAGAATTTCAAAATAACTACATGAAAACTGTATCTTTTCTTTACACGTAAGTAACATCATCAGTCTTATTGCTGTTTTTGATCAACGTTTTAAAAACTTCAAAATTTAAAATCTATCAAATAAACACATTTATCTTTTTACTTTACCCTGACAGATAGTATCAGACAAGGCTGTAAACAAGACATATGGTTTTCTTTGCCTTCCTAGTTTGCAGTTCCCTAAAGAACTATGTAGGAATATATACATGCCAGAGCAAAGAATAAGGAAAAAAGAAATGAATAAGAACAGATGGCTTTGGAAGGAAATATTTTCAGTTCAGACATGCTTCAGTTTGAAATACACAATCAATATCAAAGCTTTTCTTCAAATGCTCATGTTGAAAACTTCACCATTAAAAGATCAAACACTAGTTCACCATTTGTACAAGTACAGTTTACCTATTACTCATTTTCACTACATAAAGCTTTCAGCACAAGATGCCATAGACACAACAAATATCTTTGGCTGCAAATAACTAAACCCATATACTGTTAGTTGAGTTGATAAACTTGCACATAATATGGGCCAAAATCAATCACTAAACCAGTAAGTACTTATTAAGCTATTCTGGCTTTTTAGAGTAGACCCTTGAAAGATTTAAATATCAGAATAAAGGTATGTAAAAATAACTAATCCAGCAGAAACTTAGAGCTGGAAGGGACATCAAAGGTCATCTAGTTCCATAATCTGATACACAGATGAGGAAACTGAAGTTCAGAGAGGGCCTATTCTCCTAGTTAAATGCTCTGATGTGGGATGGTTTACTGCCAGCTACACCCAAGTGAATACCAGCTTCCTGTCATCTCAGAGACGGGTGATCCTTTTGATCCAGAGGGACTCTCCCCTGTGGGCACACATCTTTCTTTCACCGTCTCTTTCTTTCTTCTCATTCTGTTTCTGTAATTGATCAAAACCTAAAACCGAAGTTTTAAATTAAAAAAAATTATGTGTTGTATTTGTCAAATTTCATTACAAACTTCATTTTTTAAAAAAAATATATTTAATTAGATGACTGCTTTTGTCAATTACTTTGTTTTTCTCCCCTGTGATTCAATACAATTCAATTTTTAGCCTTCAGGCAATTAGATGAGAAGAGTGTTGCTTATTTTCCTGAAATATTAAAGCACAGAGATCTTCCCAACTTGTTTTTTTTCAAAATAAAAAGGCTACACATGCTATCCTGCCAATAACCATCAATTATAACCAAGAAGAATCAAGGTAGCTGTCCTTTAGTCTTGAGTTTACTAATATATAAAAGCATAAAATTTAAACAAAGGAAAACACTTCCAATTGTAAGCATAGTTTAAAAATCTAAATGTAGAATGTTCTAGTGAATAGGCACTTTAGATTTATCTAGCTTTTTAAAGATATTTATTCTCATGAAAAAATAAGAGGTAGTGAAGAGAAGTGGCTTTTATGCTATCTCCTAGTCAAAATGAGTAAATGTTGATAAATGAATGAATAAAATTGTATCTCATTATTTTTTTTTTTTTCATGAGAGAGGACTCTCATTCATTCCCTAGTTCCTGAATAGAGAGGGTTTTATAAAGTTAAGGAGGCAAGATGAAAAATGGGGAATGCTGGGAAGAACTTCAGGCTGTTGTTCAGGGCATGGATATCACCACTGTCCACGTGAGCAGCAGTAAATGCCATGTTCTCGTGGCAGTGTTTCCCTGAGCATCAGCGTGGTCAAGGCTGCCTGGGAACAGGCACACTGAACTAAGAGTCAGGAGCCCTAGGTTCTGGTTCAGGGCTTGCTACTCACCAGTTATGTCATAAAGAAAATGGGTCACTTCACTGTTCCAATTTTCTCTTTTGTAAAATGGGAACACTCGATAAGACACTTCCTGAGGAACGTTTCTGCTCCACAGGACAGGCTTATTTTAAGACTTAATAAGCATTTACTACATATTTACCAACGTGGTAAGGGCTATACGAGAGATACATGAGAAAAAATTAAATCCCTGATCTCAAGAAGCTTACAACCAGGAAGGTAAGTCAGCCATATAAAACCATATAAGCATAAGATATACAACACAAAACAATACAAACCATAGGTAGAGAATAAATTAAGTGATACATGCTGTAACTGTGGGAATTTTTTTTAAAAAGTGAGTTAGGTCTAGGGGGAGAGGTAAGGTTGAAGACGTGACACTTATATAGATGCAGGTATGTACTTATTTGGGAGAAGGTATGTACATGTTTGTGTATGTGCTCTGGATTAATGTGGAGGAAGACAAGAGATAAAGCAAAAGGGAAGAGGAAGTGCTTTTCATGATAGCGAGCAGGTGGAGAGCTAGATTACTAGGGTCTAGAAAATGGTGAGAGAGAGACAGATTAAATAAGATAAGCTCATGGCCTTAAATACCAGGAAGAGAAGTTTAAAAGATGGTTAAAAGAGCACATCAGATGTCTTAAGGAAGTCCTAACACTACTTTAGTGCCTCCCATTTATGGTAAGTGGAGAGATTTCTGGGTCATCAAGGTTATGAGAAATAGGGCAGGAAGAAAGGCAGTAGCTCTCATTGGTTATGGGACTTTTCTGAGTGTAAGAGGCAAACATATATGAACGACAACATCAAAAAAAATACTGTATTGGCTACCTGATAGAAGGAAAATAAATCTTAAGAAATAATTAGGGTCCTTTAAAAAAATTTTCCTCAAGAAGAAAGTATATGCTTTTGTACACATAAATAAGTAGCGGGCTGGGAGCAAGGAAATAGTATGATAAAAGTTACATGTCCTTCTAATATGCATTCAATATGGAAGTTAAAAAAGGGAGAGGAAACCCAATGGCTATACAGCTCTAGTGCTTCAAACTATTCTTAAGTGTACCACATGTGTTATTGTAGGCTTTCTAATTACTAAAATACCTGCCCAAGAATGATAAATAATAATAAATTACAGCAAGAACACCACAGTAATCCAAGTCATTATACAGTGCCTAAAGCTACTCATTCTATCTCAATTTTAGGTTTAAAAAATGGGCAAATCGCCAACATGACATTTAGAAAAATATGCAGTATATAGTGAATAATGTTTACACTAAATATGACAAATAATTTCTGAAAATACATTTCACATCAAAAGGAAGACATATTTTAAAAAATATAATGCCTACTAAAGAGATGGGAATTATGAAAGCACACATACTCTATCTGGCTATGATTTCTAACTGAATTTATGGACTCCACTACATAGATGTTAATATGTGACATCATAGGGTTAAAATTGGGGATGTTCTATTTACTACTGCTTTCAGACATCAGAAATCATTAAAATATACAAAATCCAGGATTGGTGATCTTTGTTCAAGAAAAAGACAAAAGAAAAAATGATAGCCTCATCTGTGCATATACAGTTGGACCTTTGTATCTGTGGGTTCCACATCTGTGGTATCAACCAGTTGCAGATCAAAAATATTTGGAAAAAAATGTATGGTTGCATCTGTACTGAACACGTATAGACTTGTCATTATTCCTAAACTACACAGTATAACAACTATTTACATAGCAATGACATTATATTAGGTATTATAAGTAATCTAGAGATGATTTAAAGAATACAGGAGGATGTACTCATGTTATATGCAAATACTGTACCATTTTATATAAGGTACTTGAGCATCTGTGGATTTTGGTATCCTCAGGGGGTCCTGAAACCTACCCCCACAGATACCTAGGCATGACTGCATATCATAATTCCCTGACATATTTTAGTTATGAAGCATTCTACACTAGTGAATTTTTTTCCTGTTAACTGAACCTCATCTCTGAAGAGCATCAAAATATTTATAGTTTAATAATTTATATAAGTTTTAAAGACATGTTTATCTTTTTTTTATGATTCGGTGAAATGTAGAATGATCCTGCCTTTACTCAGCATCACCATCATATGCATACAGAGCTGGGACTAGGTGATGGAGTTTTCCATTATCACTTGAACAGTCTGTACGATCTTGAACGCTCACTTAACCTCCTTTCTGTGCCTCAGTTTCTAAATAAGTGAATAGAGAATAATCTTCCCAAATCACAAGATGGTTATAATTAAAGGAACAAGTGTTTTTTAAAAGAGCAACAATAGTTATTATTCTTGGCTATAAGATAGTGGTTTCCTCAGGAATAATAGAAGGATACTAGGCCTTTTGTCCACACACTAAATGGTCCAAAAGCTGCTGAGCTTTCATGTCTGCTTTCTATAGTCCTACTGCTTCTTTGAGTTACTAGCTATCAGTTCATTACAATGAGACTTCTCACTGTTGTATTCATTCTCCTTCTGAGTTGCTGACTCATTTTGTAAACAGTTACCTGCACAAGGATCTGATAAGTCAAATGTCCTTCCTCTATCTTACGGTGAAGGGCACAAGCTTCAGGACATGGTCCCTTTTTGTGTCACATGCCTGAATTTGAACAATTAAACTCTATAGGTATGAAAGAGCAATTAATTACCATATTATGTAGTAGTAATAGTTTGCAAATTTACAAAGTCAACTGAATACCTATGTATACAGGTTTTGTTTCTTTTAAAAAATGTAAAATGTAAGCTACTCATTTTTTCATTCTATTTAAGCAAATGTAAACCTATCCAGTACACACCTAATACCATTAGGCAGGTGGTTTGTTATTTCTGCATAATCCTCCTTTATCATATATTATACACTGATACCTTTAAATTGCCTTTGGGTACAGAGTATATAGTTTTATTTCAGCTGACAGATGAGCATTTTAAATTATCAAATGGTGACACTGCTGGACAGAAAATTTGGCATCAATGCAATTTTTGTCTTATGTTTGTGTCCCTCCAGGCAAGTTAATTAAACTCTTAGTCTCAGTTTCCTCATCTACAAAATGGAAAAACATATTTGTACACCTTGAAACTTAGAGAAGTTCTCTTTTTCCCCATGCCAATATTAAATTTTTATTTTCTTAAACAATGAATACATTCTCATTATTGAAAAATCACAAAATTAGACATAAAATATAGAATCTTATTAATCTTGTCTACCCAGAAATAACTATTAACATCTTAAGTGTCTAAATGGTATTGATTGCATTTTTTTAAAAAAAGATATTGTTCTATATATACTATTTCATAATGTTTTAAACCCATCCCTACCAATTTAATCTACATTGTATACAACATTCTATATCAGGGGTCAGCAAACATTTTCTATAGAGGGTTAGATAGTAAATATTTTAAGCTTTACTAGTCACATACTCTGTCTCACGTTTATTTTTAATAATCCTTTAAAATTTAACAACCCACTCACAGCTCTGGTAGTATAAAAACAGGTCTTGAGCCAATTTGGCCAAAGGGCTGTAGTTTGCTGACCCTTGTTTCCTATCACTGGATACATTTCTGTAACATCTTTTTAAAAATAGCTGTATCATACACTAGTTCTGGTATAATAAGGATACACCAGAACTTATTTAGCCAGTCTTCTATTAGTCAATATTTAGGTTTCCCTTGTTTTGATATTACAAACAGCTTAGAATGAACATCCCTGTACATACTTATTTGTATATATAACTATTTCCTCAGGTTAAATGTTTGAAAGTGCAATTTCTGGTCAGCATTCATTCAATTCATTCACTCACTCACTAACTATAGCTGTAGGGTCAAAGTAGCCATAGACAAAATGTGAATGAATGGGCTTGGCTATACTTTGCTAATCCCTGAATTTTGCTAATTTACTTGAAAGCATCTTTATCTTTTTTTCATTTAGAGGCTTTAACATATTTTCATATATCCCATTTCATGACAACACTGCATCTGTTTTTAATAGATCAGTGTTATATTCTTACAGTACTATAAACAACTCAATGAAACAATGCCCTGCCTTAATAACGATCATCATCAGAACATCAAAATGTCACATAACTCAGTATCTTTTTTATTAGAAGAGTTTTGAAAATATCAGACTGAAATAGTTTGGCAGGCAAATGCCTCTTTAGAATACAAACACAAATAATAACAAGAAACATAATTTATGTTGTCCATTGTAGCTACTCATGCACTATCTAAATGTCTTGTTTTTTTATTGTTTTTTTTTTTTTTTTTTTTGAGATGGAGTCTCGCTCTGTTGCCCAGGCTGGAGTGCAGTGGTGCGATCTCGGCTCACTGCAAGCTCCGCCTCCCAGGTTCATGCCATTCTTCTGCCTCAGCCACCTGAGCAGCTGGGACTACAGGCGCCTGCCACCATGCCCGGCTAATTTTTTTGTATTTTTAGTAGAGACGGGGTTTCACCGTGTTGGCCAGGATGGTCTCGATCTCCTGACCTCGTGATCCACCCGCCTCCACCTCCTAAAGTGCTGGGATTACAGGCGTGAGCCACTGCGCCCCGCCTATTGCTTTTTAAAGCTATTGCACACACGCACATATTTCAACATAGTTGAAACTTTCTAAATTACAAACTTTCAAAAAGGAATTGCTTGCATAATTGACCTTTTAAAAATGTTAATCCATTTATTCAACAAATATTTATTTAGTGCCTATGTACTTAGGCACCAAGTTGCACAAACACTTGGGATACGTAAGTAAACATGACAGCTGTGGTCAATGACTCATAATAACACTTGTTTTTGAAGTGTAACACTGGAAAAATGTGATACATAGGAAAAGGATCAAGTAATAACTTCCACTCCTCTTCAAAAAGAAAATGAAGACAAATACTATGAATACTCCACAAGGTAATCAGATAAATCCTCACCATCAACCTTACCACATACAATTGGCAAATTTAGAAAGAGAATAGCACAAAACTGTAAAGAAAGTTCATGGAAGTGTTTTTGAAGATCTTAAACTCAGTTTTAGATAAAACTGACTTTACCCAATATGATTTATGTACATTACATGTATATGTTTTCTTCTGAGACTGGCCAACATCCTGAAGGTTATTGTTCAGACAAGAATCATCCTAAGTAGTGAAGTAACTGATCTATTAGATTTGTTGAAAAGGACTAGTTCTAAAAGAAAGAGTGAGATAGCAGCATGTGTGTTTAAAAAAGATCCAAAGCTCTAAGTGGAAAAAACATAGGCGGGCAAGGGTTAAAAGGGAAATAACAGAAGTGATGGTGGATGGCAAGGCAAGGGTAAAAGGGAGTAACAGAAGTGATGGCAGATGGGTGGCAGTGCAGAGTCCCGTCCTGGGGCCAGGCACCAAACACCGGCTGTCTATAAAACCCACAGAATCAAGGTGCAAAAGAAATGGAGTCAAGCTGTTTCAGCACTAAACAAATACAGCAACACACTGTTTAAAAACTTAATGTCAATACTGAACATTTCATTTGCTATAAAATAGAGTAAAAGTGAGGTACTGTTACTCTGGCCCTAATTTTAGTCACTCCAAACCAGTACCATTGAGGGCAAATGGCTGATAACCATGGGAAAAAGAAACTATCTTATTTTACGCAGTGATAATAAAAACAAATAAACAATTCTGGTAAAGGTCAACATGGATCTTTAAGGAAATAAGATTTCAAAAGCCTGTTTAAAAAACTTCATTATATGGCTATTATAAAAAGTAAAAAAAAAAATAAATAAATAACAGAAGCTGGTGGGGTTGTGGAGAAAAAGGAATACTTACTCACTGCTGGTGGGAATGTAAATTTAGTTCAGCCATTGTGGAAAGTAGTTTGGTGATTTCTCAAAGAATTTAAAACAGAATTACCACTCAACCCAGCAATCCCAGTATTGGGTATATACCCAAAGGAATATAAATTGTTCTACCATAAGGACACATGCATGTATCTATTGTGCACTGTTCATAATAGCAAAGATACAGAATCAACCTAAATGCTCATCAGCAGTAGACTAGATAAAGAAAAGGTGGTACATAAACCATGGAATACTACACAGCCATAAAAAATGAGACCATGTCTGTGAAGGTTAATACTGAGTGTCAACTTGATTGGACTGAGGGATACAAAGTATAAATCCTGGGTGTGTCTGTGTGGGTGTTGCCAAAAGAGATTAACGTTTGAATCAGTGGGCTGGGGAAGGCAGATTCACCCTTACTCTGATGGGCACAATCTAATCAGCTTCCAGTGAATATAAAGTAGGCAGAAAAACGTGAAAAGGAGAGATGGGCTTAGCCTCCCAGCCTACATCTTTTTCCCGTGCTGGATGCTTCCTGCCCTCAAACATCAGACTTCAAGTTCTTCAGTTTGGGGACTTGGACTGGTTCTCCTTGCTCCTTATCTTGCAGACAGCCTATTGTGGGACCTTGTGATCGTGTAAGTTTTATATGTAAAAGGGGAGTTTATTAAGTATTAAGTTAATACTTATAGTTTATTAAATATTAACTTAATAATTATATTTTATTAAGTATTAATTTAATACTTACAGGATATATGTAGATCTACAGATATATAGTTCTGTCCCTCTAAGAGCGCCCTAACTAATACAATGTCCTTGCATCAACATGAATAAAGCTGGAGGCCATTATCCTAAGCAAACTAACACAGGAATAGAAAACCAAACACCGCATGTTCTCACTTGTAAGTGGGAGCTAAACATTGAGTACATATGGACACAAAGAAAGGAACCACAGACACCGGGGCCTTCTTGAGAGTGGTGGGTGTAAGAAGGGTGAGGACTGAAAAGTTACCTATTGGGTACTATGCTTATTACTTGTGTGAAAAAATAATCTGTTTACCTAACTTCCATGACACGCCATGTACCTACCTATATACCAAACCTGCACATGTATCTCTGAACCTAAAGTAAAAGTTAAAAATAAAGGTAACTCAATTATGCAGCCAGGGAGATTAAGCAAAATATAATACAGGAAAAAACAACAACAAACAAAATACAAAAAAAAGAATCTTTATTATATATTAATGATAGAAATTTGTGTCATACATTCTTCAGGGATTTTAAGAGGGCTCTTCTACCTGTTTTATTTAACAAGAGTTTTCCCAAATATAAATGAAACCTCGAATAGTTTAACACTCCATTTGATAAATACAACATTTGTAAGACTTCAAGAAGAAGCTTTACTATGATCTCCTATAGAAGAAATGTTTCCTTCAGTTCTTGACCCAGTAAATTAGAACATGCTTTCCTAAAGAGTGGTGACAGCCAAATCATGAGGTCTATTTTTTGTTTTTAGCTAACTTTTTAAAAAAGAATTCTGCTCATTGTAGAGAGAATGGTTTCATGGTAATAGGTCAGTGGTTCCCAAAATGTGGTCCTCAAGACAGGCAGCATCAGCATTATGGAGAAACTAAGAAATGCCAATTAACAGGCCCAACCCAGATTTACTGAATCAGAAGCTCTGAGAGCAGGGCTTATACATTTGTATTTTAACAAGCTCTCCTTGGGATTCTGATGTACACTACATTTGAGAACCACTGAACTAGGTTAACTCAGGTAATTCGAAAGGAATGGGAAATAAATTGATTGGAAACAATACTTTAATCAAAATATTTGTATAATACAAGTACTGTATTGTTCCTGCAGTGAACAAAGCAAAAATTGTTAATAATCTTTAGTCTGGCAAATAGCACATGAGATATTAAACCATGAGGTCCTGAATGTGCAGTTTAACAATCAACTCTCCATTTGCTGTTATATTTAAGAGTAAATAGGACAGCCAATTCCTGAACAAATGGCATGCCATCACTGCATAATTTTGTTTTTTATGTGCTTGCGGTTGTTGTTTAGGAGCTTATTTTACTGTTAAGTCATGTCTCTAAGTCATTTAAGAGCATTAGAATGAAAAGATATGGTCAAATTTATGAGGCCAAGAATGAACCTTGTGTGAGTACTTTACACCACATTGAGAATCTAATTATTGGTCCATAACACAGCATTTATTACTGTTTTCTCTTTTCATACAGACTATGTTGCAAATTGGCATACAATAGTATCCAGTTTTAAAGGGCCATTTATATGTAAAGTAGCTATTTTTATCTATTTGTGGTAGTTTATGGGTAAAATACCCTGTTTTAGCATAGGACTGGTGATAGGAGGTTAAAAACATTTTTAAGAAATGAAAACACCTTTCAACAGTGAAAGCTATGCCAATACTGTAGATTTGGAATAACATAATTGAGAAACATCTGTAAAATGAGGCCTGTCTTATTTTATGTACAACTTTCCTGAGATACATTTTGTACAACTTTCCTGAGATACATTTTGGACTTCTTTTAAGTGCCTTTTTTAAATTTTTTTTTTTTTTTTAAGACAAGGTCTCACTCTGTCACCCAGGCTAAAGTGCAGTGACACAATCATAGCTCACTGTAGCCTTGAAAGCCTAGGCTCCAGTGATCCTCCTACCTCAGCCTCTCAAGTAGCTGGGACTACAGGCATGCACCAATACACCCAGCTAATTTTTAATTTTTTTTGAGACATGGTCTTGTTTTGTTACCCAGGCTGGTCTCAAACTCCTGAGCCCAAGTGATCTTCCTGCCTTGGCCTCCAAAAGTTCTGGGATCATAGGCATGAGCCACTGAGCCTGGCCTCATTAAAATTCTTAATAGGGAAATCAACAGGATGGAAATATAAACTAGAGATGTATGTAAATATTTCTTGATGTCTAAACACTTCAGGAAACTTGAACATTTTAATAAAGTTTAATAAAAATTTTAAATAAATAAACATTTAAAAAAATTTCCTAAGGTCTTTCCAAACTCTTCACACAGCCTAAACTTCCTCTACCAATGATTAATTAGAATCCAGAAGGCAGGGGAAAATAAACATATTGGTTTTGTGCTGGTTCAGCTTTTACATTTGAAAAATCATAATACGGTGAGAAATAGAAGATTTCCCACTAACATCAAGAACAAGGCAGGGATGTCCCCTCTTACCACTGCTTTTCAATATTGTACTAGATGTCCTATAAGAAAAAATAAAAAAGGAAATAAAAGGTATACTGATTAGGAAAGAAGAAAAATAAAATTTTGTCTGCAGATGACATATTTTCTATGCAGAAAATCTGAATCAACAAAAGAAATCTGAAACTAATAAGTGAGTATTGCAAGATTTCAGGATAAAAGGTTAATATAGAAAATCAATGTTTTCCTATATATCAGCAATGGACAAGTGGAATTTGAAATTAAAAACACAATACCATTGTGAGCACACACCTAAAAAATGAAATACTTAGATATAAACGTAACAAAATATGTACAAGATCCATATGAAGAAAACTACAAAATTCTGATGAAAAAAATCAAAGAACAGATGGAGATATTCCATGTTTATAGATAGAAGATTGAATACCAAGACGTCAGTTCTTCCCAACTTGGAATAATAGATTACTGCAATCCCAATAAAAATTCTAGCAAGTTATTTTGTAGACACAAACTGATTATGAAGTTTATGTGGAGAAGCAAAAGGTTCAAAATAGCCAATTTCTGACAATGATTGACACTACCCAACTTCAAGACTTTCTATAGAGATACAGAAATGAAGATAATCTTGTCTCGATTTGTGGTACTGGTGAAAGAATAAATCAATGGAACAGAATAGAGAGCCTAGAAATTGATCCACATAAATACAGTCAATTGATCTTTGACAAAGGAACAAAGACAATTAAATGAAGAAAAGATAGCCTTTTTAACAAATGGTGCTGGAAAAACTAGATATCCATATACACATACAAAAAAAAATGAATGTAGACACAGACCTTATACCTTTCACAAAAATTAACTCAAAATGGATCATAGACCTAAATGTAAAATGCAATACTATAAAACTCCTAGAAGATAATACAGGATAAAATCTAGATGACCCTGGGTTTGGAGATGACTTTTTAGGTATGACACTAAAAGCATGATCCATGAAAGAAAAAATTTGACAAGCTGAGCTTCATTAAAATGAAAAACTGCTCTGCAAAAGACACTGTCAAGAGAATGAGAAGACAAGCCAAGGCCTAAGAGAAAATTTGCAAAACATGTATCTAATAAAGAACTGTTAATGAAAATTATACAAAGAACTCTTCAAAATAATGAGAAAGCAAAGATTCCAACTTTAAAAATGGGACAAAGATCTTAATAGACACCTCACTAAAGAAGACAAACAGATGGTAAATAAGTATATGGAAAGATGTTCCACATCGCAAATCATCAAGTAAATGCAAATGAAAACAACAAGATACTAATTAGTACCTACTGATTAGAATGGTCAAAATCCAGAACACTAACACCACCAAATGTTGGTGAGGGTGTGAAACAACGGGAACTTTCATTCATTTCAGGTGGAAATGCAAAATAGTACAGATAGTTTGGAAGACAGTTTGGCAGTTACAAAACTAAACACACTCTTACCATATGATACAGCAATAGCACTCCTTAGTATTTAAACTAACGAACTGAAAATTTATGACCATACAAAAAACTGGACAGATGTTTACAGCAGCACTTTCAGACATGTATTATAGAATATTTACATGTACATGTTTGAATTATGCTTGTTTTATGTTGAAATATAATCTGTAATTTACATACATCAAGATAACTCAGTACATTAAGTATTATTTACAGAGAGAGATCCAAAATATATCTCAAGATGTAAGGCAGATTCCACTAAGCTTGACTTTCTAAATAACCTTTTAAAAATTATGTAGTTATTTCAAAATATTTTTAATTAAAAAGACACACACAGATATGAACTCTCCAACACAAACATACAGCTGTATAGCCTAGTGTAACATTATAAGACACATGCCATAGTAAGCAGCATCCAGATCAAGAAACAGGACTTTGCCAGCCACCCTAGAAACCCTATGTGGGCCTTGTCCCAATCATACTTCCTTCTCTCTCCCCCAAAGTAACCACATCCTGGCATTTACTATCTTATATGGTTTTAGCAACCAAATCTACATCATTAGACACTATAGACAGTCATGATCATTTCAAAAAAGGATGACTTTGAAGCCTCTTATTTTAAACCACAGGCATCTCATTTTTTCTTTTCTTTTCCTTATAATTTATGTGGACAAATCTGGGTTATTTGAACTGTGGGAGACTTATTCTATGGGTTCCTGACTGCATATGTATGGTGGAGTTTGGCACATTCTTCCTTCTGTATTTATGACAAATTGGAAGCTGGATGTGGAGACTTGATGCCTTTGGCAAGACTATAGGTGATATGTTATCAGGAGGCACTATGTGGTTTGCTCTCCTTTTGAGAAGCAAGCAGCTGTTGGTGACCATGGTCCAGATCCATTAATTCATCAGGAGTTGTAAAAATGGTGATTTTCTACTTTTATCATTTCACTTTCATTTGTAAGCAGGTATAATTTTAAGAGAAACATTGCTTATCTACTATTTAGTTACCAGTGATATAGTTCATACAGGAGGGGCAAGATAAATGCCTGATTCTTTTCCTTTATTTACCAGACTTCTTCTTCTTTAAAAGCAATTTATTTGATTCGGACCACAAAATACAGGGAAGGAGCAAGGGCTACCCTGTAACGCCCTGGTCACACATCTTCCCAGTCTATGCTTCTATACATACTCTTTGTAAAACAGCAAGCTCATACTGTCCCCAAGTGTTTTTTTTTTCCACATTATCACAGCTGCAGAGTATAGGATAAGGTGGGAAGTTAAAACAGATGGCCCACTCAGAAGGTAGGGCTCCCTCCAATGCATGTTCCAGCTCCCTTTTGCTAATCTTGAAACCAAGGTAACTGGCTCTTCTTACTATTGTTTTACTTTTTTTTTTGAGACAGGGTCTCACTCTGTCACCCAGGTTGAAGTGTAGTGGTGCAATTTTGGCTCACTGCAGCCTTGACCTCCCGGGCTTAGGTGACCTTCCCACCTCAGCCTCCCAAGTAGCTGGGAGTACAGGCATGTGCCACCATGCCTAGCTAATTTCTGCATTTTTGTTAGAGATGGGGTTTCATAATGTTGCCCAGGATGGTCTCAAATTCCTGGACTCAAGCGATCTCTTGGCTTCTCAAAGTGCTCGGATTACAGGTGTAAGCCAATGTGCCCGGCCCTCATTTTTCTAAAACAACTCTCTCATGAACGAGTAGGCCATAGACAAACTACGCCTGAACAATTCTTAGAGTCATTTAAAGTAACAATATAGAAAGGCAGTTGAATAATGCCGTTTCCTTACCCCCAGCTTCCTAAGTACCAGGCTGTCTGTGGCACCTGGATTGCCACCCTTGGGTCCTCTACACCCCACGGCAGCAACGGTGGAAGGGCAGGCCAGGCAATCATAAGGAATAAACAGTCTTTAGTGGGCTCAAACCAGGAGTCCATAGGTCTTGAGGACCTCTGTGTAATTGTTTTCTCCTCCACATTCTTTTGGGCCTGTTTACATAGCCTCATAAGCTGCTTTTCTTCCAATAGCAGATATTGGCCTTCTTCCTCTTCTCCTGGGTGGCTGTCACTGCCTGGTACTTCCAGCCAAACTCGTGAACCAGGCACCCCAGATAGGCAAATTTTCTCACAGGCTTCAGACACACAACCTTGGGAGCAGCAGGAAGCATCATCCACTTTTTCTTGTCATAGGGCAGTGGGATCCCATTAAACACCTTGGGGTGGTCAGGGACGTCCTGGCCTCGCTTGGTCTTGCGAAGCAGCATGCCTCAAGCGGTCTGCCAAAAGATGCAGATGGGGGGCCTCAGGAAGGGTTGGTGTTCATCTACTTGTGAAGGAAGGCCAGGTACTCCAACCTGTTTCTGTGGAAAGTGCCAAAAATGTTGATGCCTTTGCAGTGCACGACCACCACCTTCTGGCCCAGCAGTACCTGCCTATCCAGGACGGCTGTCAGGCAGACCAGAAGGTGGCCTTGGCCAGTGAGCACCAGGACCTGCCCCTCCATCTTTGGCAGCTGCCTGGGAAAATACCAGTTTTCAAGATAACTGCTTTCCTGTCATTCTTTGAAGGTGACCAATTATTTTTGCTTTTCATTATGATGAACTTATCCATTTATTGATTTTTATTTTTAATTAGAGATAGGGTCTTGCTATGCTGTCCAGGCTGGTTTTGAACTCCTGGGTTCAAGCTATCCTCCTGCCTCAGCCTCTCAAGTAGCTGTGATTACATGCATGCTTCACTGCCCATGGCTTGAACTTATCAATTTAAACGTACTTAGTGGATTTTAATCTATTATAGTTCTTATTTTTACTGAAACTCAAAATTCTCATTTTTGGCCAATGGAAGCCTCTTCCAGTTGGCTCCTGAGTCCTTTGACCTTACTCTAGCAGTCTTTGTTAGCTTCTTTGTTACCTGGTTTGATATTTCAGACTAATCTTGTACATTTCCAATTTCAGTCTCTTCTCCAAGAAGCCCTGGTTAGTGGAAAATATTAATTCAAGCCCGCACTCTGTGTGTTAGAGATGCTCATAGCTACTGGTTTCATACTGTTTCTAGGTCTTTTCA
The DNA here is from genome assembly GCF_000001405.40 of Homo sapiens. Lineage (NCBI taxonomy): Eukaryota > Metazoa > Chordata > Mammalia > Primates > Hominidae > Homo > Homo sapiens. The sequence goes on from NC_000006.12 coordinate 119,270,275, forward strand.
GGGGACATACATATATATGCATATTTATGTATATTTAAAATACAATATATCATATGCTCATATTAATATTTTCAATTAAAACTCAGAACTATAGTGTTTTTCTTTTTAACATATCATACAATTCACCCATTTAAAGTATACACTTTAGTGGCTTTAGTATACTCACACTGAGTTGATTCACAATTTTAGAACATTATCATCATCTCAAAAAAGAAGTGCTGTGTGCATCAGCAGTCACTCCCCATTTCCCTCCAACCCCTCTTGTCCTAGGCAACCACTGATCTACTTTCTGTCTCTATGAATATGCCTATTTTGGACATCATACAGTATTTATTTGGTGGTCTGAAGTTTGTTCCCAGGTATATTCATCAGGAAAGGGTCCTGGAAACAATATTCCCAAGTTCTTGCATGCTGACAATAGCCCGCTTGTGTCATTTACACCTGAAAGTCAGTTTTGCTGGGTATAAAAATCTTTGTTTCTCATTCTCACCACGGCTGCCAGAATATCCCTTGAGTTGGTCATTAAAATGAGAGATCTATTTATAATACAATAGAATGCAATCTGCGAATTTGGGGTAAGAAATGAGTTAAAACTATGGTCATCCCCTAAGTAAAGAATCAGTACATATTCCCAACTGTTTCTGTGAATATTGCAGTTTACTGTTTTCCTTGAACGACTTCTCTACTTCTTAGCATCTTCTTTCCACTATCCACCAACTACTTTCTCTTCCATAGAACACAATATTTTTCCAGGGGAAAAAGATGCCCAACTTTTCTACTTCTTTTTCATTCCCACATATACATATCTGGACTACCTAAGCATTGTATGGCAAGAAACACAACTCTACATTTCACTGGAAGGAGTCATTGTGTTTAGATACAAAAATGGGTTAAGAAGTTTTGAGTTACAGGAAGGAAATTTATCCCACTATACCCCTCCCCTAATTTATAATATTCTGTGAACTTGAATGTTAGTGTATCATAGTTCTAGAAAAATGGATTTAAAGGAATGCTTAAAAGACATTTATTTCATATTCCATTACTTAAATCAATTAAAAAAAAACAATGTGATAAAGGGTTTGCTCTAGGTAATACCTAATAACCAAACAGAGCCTGAGAAACCAGAATTCTAGATTCTAAAGGTAATGTTCTTTCCACCCTATAAGAGCTACTTCTTAAGTTCATTAGCTGGATGTCTCCAATACAATGATTATTTCAAGTAGCCCCATCTTTTTTTTTTTTTGAGGCAGAATCTCACTCTGTTGCCCAGGCTGGAGTGCAGTGGCGTGATCTCAGCTCACTGCAACCTCCGCCTCCTGGGTTCAAGCAATTCTCCTGCCTCAGCCTCCCGAGTAGCTGGGGTTACAGGCATGCACCACTACACCTAGCTATTTTTTTTTTGTATTTTTAGTAGAGACAGGGTCTCACCATGTTTGCCAGCCTGGTTTCCAACTCCTGACCTCAGGTGATCTGCCTGCCTCGGCCTCCCAAAATGCTGGGATTACAGGCATGAGCCACCACGCCCAGCCAACCCCCGGTTTACAAATGATTTACCTATAGGCTCAAAATTTGGTGATTTCCCTTAGAAAGAAAGAGATCTAGTAAGGGCCTCAGATCACTACATAAAAGTCTACTCCAGTTACATGTTCTCAGACAAGTACCTCGTATCCTATTACTGGAAGGAGAAACACAGTCTTAGGGTGACAAGGAAGTAAAGTGACAGAATACATTATTAGCTTTTTGTCACATCTATAGATTCCATGAAACAGCTTTAAAAAATTAAGTATTTCAAATTTACACATGGCTTCAATATCGGTGTAGTCATAACCAAACTATCAATTCCTATCATGAATAGTCTTATATTTGCTTTGGATAATTAAAAATAAAGTAAAATATTACAAAATTGTAAACATATACTTTCTAATTGTCTTCAGTTTCCATGGTAAAGTGAGTCTAGATTTTGATTTGTAAAGCCTCACGAGTTTCTGGTAGACTGTGTCCTTCCGTTTTAATAGTCACCTCTTTTATCTCTCAGACCAGGTTTTCTTTTTTCTCCTGCTCATTACTGAAAAGCTTTTCTCTTACTCCCTTCTTTCTCAAGCAAGCATTCATTCTTTTTGAAGTTTCTTAAGGGCCATTTACTGCTTGTAACAACAGGAAAAAGGCTCTTTGCTATGCCTTTCCTAACACCTTTCAATTAGATCCTGTAGGAATAGACAAAGTCACTGACTGTGCCAGGTATCTCAGTAGCCCAAAATTTCCATGTATGTTAGTAATAAATATAAACTTTATTATATGCTTATCTATAGCAATAATATATTAATAGAGCGTATACACTTATCACAAATAATTCAACTTTTGACTTCTAAATGGTTAAGGAAAATGAAGAGATTAGAAATGCTCAATTTTTTTTAAAGAATACAAAATACATACTATTTTGTACCACACTTTCGATTGATTTATGAATGTGTGTGTGTTTTCAACGGAGAAATCTTGTTACTATCAGCAGCCTTTGTCTTTTTGAACTGCTTTGGATAATATAAAGACAAAGTAGTTGGATCTGAGACTGTGCAAGGATTTATGACCAATCTTTATTTAAGCTTTATGTCACCTCCATTTCCATGTGAACTGAGGATAATATTAACAGCTAATAGATGTTGTTGTAAATAAACAACCTTCTAAGATGGAAATCTATAAATTGACTATAAAGAAGGAAATCCAGTTACCACTAAGTCATTTTCTTTATGAAACAGATGTCAGAAAGGGAAAAAGGTGACTTTCAAGACTTTATAAGCTGAATTCTAGTATGAAAAGTTAAAAAAATTTAAATCTTTAGAGGTTGGAAAAACTGAATCCTGAGTAAGACTGGGGCAGAAATTTAGTTAATGATTGTTTTCCAAATCTGTTGTGATTTTCCTTTAATATTTTCTGATCAAAAGAATATTACAAGTTCAGTATGGAAATTCAGATGAGTACAGAAAAACAGGCAGAGGGAAGGATCACATACCAACCGGAAGCAAATATTTAGGAATATTAGGTTTATAGTTTAGAAATAGCTCCACATCATTTTTCTCTATATTTTCCATAGCTGAAATCATATCATACATGAAAGTATCCTGCATTATTTACCATATCCATACTTGCCCATGCCCTTGAATAAACAAGCATAAATTTTAATGGCTGCATATTACTCTGTTATGTGAGCATTCCATGATCTGCTGCACTCCCTTACTGCTGAATATTTGAGATGTTTCTTCTTATTTACTAAATATATAAAATATTTCCAAGACCTGCTTCTGGCATAATATAATTACATTTTTGGATTATTTCCTTTGGATAGATTCCCCAATGCAGGATAAGAGTAACTGGAGCTAAAAGGATCTACTCATATATACAGCACTTGTTTTTTTTCTTTTCCAGAACACTTTTATCATATTACATTCCCAACAGCAATGCCTGAGAGTAAATTTTTGCCCCACTCTTACCAAACTAGGTATTAACATGATTTTCTGTCTTTGTTAATTTGATAGGAAAAAAAGGTTGGGGGAGAGGAGTCTAAGTGTTGGTATTTTATTCTGAGTATTCATAAAGTGGGTAAATGCTGATTCAGCAACTATCTGGACACAGGGGAAAGTATTGAATGGATAAGGAAAAGTAGTGGGAATTGCAACACCAAGTAGTGGGGTTGCATGAGATTGAGAACATCTGTTAGTGTGGAAAACTGCCCATTTATGAGTAATAATTAAACTCCATTATTTGAGAGGACCTCCTGAGATTTCACTATGGGTTGGATCCCTATGAAAAACTCCTGAGAGATGCCAGGCCACTGGATCTAATCTTAGTTTAATCTTAGAAGCACTGGTTTTGAGTGTTCTCATTTGTGAACAATTAACATAATTAAGAGAAAACATACTATAAAATGTTCACTGTAAATCTTTAACTATAATGAGTAGATATTTTGTAGTTACTTTTATGATATATGACAATAAATCTGAGCAATCCTGTCTTACTTTTTCTAAGTGAATAAAATATAAAGAGCACTGGAGTCCAAATTTTTATTCACAGTCTAGAGAAATTCATTAAAGTGCTGTCAACATATGGTAGATTTACGAGCTATTTCTAAGTGCTTTTTGGAGTTCTCTAATTACATAAAAGCATACCAATTGTATTGGTAAGCCTTCAAAATTTATGTCTGTTGATAAAGCCAAAATATTTTAGTTTCATCTGAAATGACAAGGTATTACCTTTTCCCTTCATTTATATCAGATATGATTTGAAAATTGAAAATAATATTTTTTTCTAAATCGTGAACATCTACCTCATTCAGTGTCTCAACTACCTCAACTACTACCATTTTCAATATGCCTGAGAAAAGGCTGAATGTATACCTTAACTGTCACAATGTCACACCAAAATATATACATTTTACCAACATTTTGAAGTGTATCTGACTTTAGTTCAGAATAAAAAGAGAGATTAAAGCTGAAATCACATGGCTGTCTTTATATATATTGAAAGTTTTTGTTATATGTACTCACTGGATAATGAAAACCATTTTACTCTATTGATGAAAAGAGTCAGAGATTGAAGAATAAAAACATGGGAAAGAAAATGAGAATTTTTTCAATTTAATGAACTATATTAAAAATTCAAGGACAGCTTTGTGTTTTGAGAAAGACTTAAGTGCAATGAATAAATGTTTTCAAACACAACTTGTGCAAAAATCTATTATTAACTCATAAGCATTACGAGTGTGATTATGGTTTAGTTTTCATAACTTAATTATTCTTTGTTGCCCAAGAAGTGGAAGATTTCATGGGCTAGAAGGTTGCTGCTAGTTCATTTTTTTTTTTTGAGACAGAGTCTCACCCTGTTGCCCAGGCTGGAGTGCAGTGGCATGATCCTGGCTCACTGCAACCTCTGCCTCCCGGGTTCAAGCAATTCTCCTGCCTCAGCCTCCTGAGTAGCTGGGATTGCAGGCATGCACCACCATACCCAGCTAATTTTTTTTTTTTTTTTTTTTTTTTTTTTTTTTTTTTTTTTTTTTTTTGAGACGGAGTCTCGCTCTGTCGCCCAGGCTGGAGTGCAGTGGCGGGATCTCGGCTCACTGCAAGCTCCGCCTCCCGGGTTCACGCCATTCTCCTGCCTCAGCCTCCCAAGTAGCTGGGACTACAGGCGCCCGCCACTACGCCCGGCTAATTTTTTGTATTTTTAGTAGAGACGGGGTTTCACCGTTTTAGCCGGGATGGTCTTGATCTCCTGACCTCGTGATCCGCCCGCCTCGGCCTCCCAAAGTGCTGGGATTACAGGCGTGAGCCACCGCGCCCGGCCTAATTTTTTTATTTTTAGTAGAGACGGGGTTTCACCATGTTGGCCAGGCTCGTCTCAAACTCTTGACCTCAGGTGATTCGCTCGCCTTGGCCTCCCAAAGTGCTGGGATTACAGGCGTGAGCCACTGTGCCCGGCAACTGCTATTTCATTTTTATGAGATTTAGGTATGTAACTGATAAGCAAGTAAACAGAAAAGGAAGAAAAGTTGTGGTACCAACCCTGGCAACACTGGTTTTGGGAATAATATGTGGACACGGTCATGTGCTTTGCTACAGACAGCAGAGTGTAATCCCATTTCTGTCATGTCCTATATGGCTAAGGAATTAGCTTCTCAGAGCTTCAGTGTATCTACAATATGGAGATGACGTAATTACCCCAGTACTGATACTGTGTACTTGGCACACAATAAACCATAAAAAAAGTTTTATCACCATTGCTGCCCTCCTTCTCTTCTTCTTCATTCCAAAGGAAAGAAAGAAATGAACCATCAATACAGAACTCTTAAGTTCCTCTCTTTAGAATGTTATTTCCTCCAAATCTTCCATGGTTGACCCTTCTATGTTATTCAGACTGTGGCTCCGATTTGGCCTAAAGTAGTCCTCATCATCTCCCTTTCCCACCCTCCATCACTTTATCACATGGTTATATTGTATTTTCTTCAGAGCTCTTATTGCCATCTAAAATGATCCTGTGAACTTGTTTAACATTTTACCCCCTTATCATGTAAATCTTACGAAAGCAGAAACTTTGTCTAATTTGTTCACTGCTGAATCCTCCAGAGACTAGAACATGGCATGGAACATAACAGATGCTTAACACATTTGCTGAATAAAGGAGTGAATCATAAGGGACTAGACATGTTAAAAATTGGAAGCCTGACCAGATGATAGAGAGAAGTCTACTATAACTAGTCATTCAGGGCTCAATTCTAAATTAGTATTATTCCAAGTTTAGTTATAAAGCATTAGACGGCAGAAACTCATAAATGCTGGAGTTATTTGCCTTAATAGCTAAACCTAAACTGTATTATACAGTGTTCTTTCTACCTGACTATAGTAACCACATCAGAGAAAACTAAGGAAGTCACTATTTAATAATCATAATATCAAGTTAGACTTAAGAACTGAAACACATAAGTTAGCAGTAATTTATAAATTAGAGCAACTGTGGGTATTGTTTTGTCAATAACTAAAAATAACATAAAATATGATTACACAAGTAAATGCATCAACCTAAATGGTATTTATAAAACTAAGATGACAATCTCTTCTGCTTATCTTTTCTAACCCTAGCCTTCTACCTAATGTCAAGAATGAAAAACAAAAGTGTTTAGAATAAAGAGCCACGAAAAAAATTCTTCTGTTCTATGCCTATCCTATTAAAGCTCTGGAATTTCCTTGTTTTTGAAGGACCTTAGAATCTCTATTTGTACTACTTCAGAGGAATCGGATACTTCAAATTATTATAAAATAAATATCAATTGTTAAGTTAAAAACAAACATTGCCCTCAAGGCTTATGTTTATTTTATTATCAATTTAAATGAATTTTCAGCTAAATTACAAGACTGGAGCTGTTTGCTTTCAAATGCAAACAAATTGTGGCATACTCAGATATATGACCTCTCTTGGGAAAACATTTCATCATGTAGCAGAAGTGACTTCGTTATTATTATTAAAATGGTTAACCCTATGATCTGTCAGTGAACTATTTTCTAAAATGTTTTAAAGAAAAAAACTTAAAAAAATACATAAACCATAAATCTACATCATAAAGTGATATCACAAGAAAGTCTGGCAAATGAAATCTTTAGAGGACTTCCTTTAGAAGGCACCTAATTCCCAGACCATAAAAATTTTTAACAAAAACAAATTTTTTTATGAATCAAATGATAGTTTCATACATTAGGTAAGACTTAATTTATAGAATAAATCCAGGCCAGGGGCAGTGGCTCACATCTATAGTCCTAGCACTTTGGGAGGTAGAGGCAGGAGGGTAACTTTAGGTCAGGAGTTCAAGACCAGTGTGGGCAAAATGGTGAGGCCTTATCTCTACAAAAAAATAAAAAGTAGCCTGTAATCCCGGCACTTTGGGAGGCCGAGGTGGGTGAATCACGAGGTCAGGAGATGGAGACCATCCTGGTTAACACGGGGAAAACCCGTCTCTACTAAAAAATACAACAAATTAGCCGGGCGTGGTGGCGGGCGCCTGTAGTCCCAGCTACTCGGGAGGCTGAGGCGGGAGAATGGCATGAACCTGGGAGGCGGAGCTTGCAGTGAGCCGAGACTGCACAACTGCACTCCAGCCTGGGCGACAGAGCAAGACTCCATCTCAAAAAAAAAAAAAAAAAAAAAAGTAAAAATAAATAAATAAATAAATAAATAAAAAAAAAGTAATTAGCCAGGCATGGTGGTGTGCATATATAGTCCCAGCTATTCAGAGAGCTGAGGCAGGATTCCTTGAGCCCAGGAGTTCAAGGATGCAGTGAACTATGATCGTGCCACTGTGCTCCAGCCTGAGTGACAGAGAGACCCTCAATTCTGAAAAAACAAAACAAAACAAAAACCAATGACAAAAATCCAAAACAAATTCACAGCACCACAATCAAACTGTCTACATTTATCTATGCAGATAAAATTCCAGTATATTTTAGAAGAAACAGCTCTGTACAGGTATAGATGCATTAAAATCCAGCTAATTAGCTGATATTCATTTTGTTTACATTTCTACTGCCAACTCTAATTATCTGACTTACTTCTTAAGGCTCTAGAGTCATAATGTTTGTTCAACAATCACATATTTAAACTTCATTCTGCATGAATATTTCCCTCTGCTTTTTGTTTAAGCAGCAACCTTTACTCAGTACATATTTTAGTATGGATTTATGAATTTTATAGAAAGTGTTTATATTTTAGCAGTATTAAAGATCACTTCACCGGTACTTAGTTTTTTTTTAAACAGCAATTTTTACATCTTATTATTTTTAAAATTGAAATATGTTGCATCGTCAGTGATAATAGATATCTGTCCCCTCAAAATCTCATCTTGAAATGTGCCCCCCCCAGTGTTGGAAGGTGGGGCCTAGTAGGAGGTGTTTGGATCATGGGGGTGGATCCCTCATGAATGGCTTGGTGGCGTTCCCTTGGTGATGAATGAGTTCTTGCTCTGCAAGTTCACATGAGATCTGGTTGTTTAGAGTATGGCACCTCCCTTCTCTCTCTTGGTCCCTTCTCTGACCATGTCACATGCCTGCTCCCCCACTGCCTTCTGCCATGAGTGGAAAGCTTCCTGAGGCTTCATGAGAAGCCAAGCAGATGCTGGAGCCTTGCTTATACAGACTGCAGAACCGTGAGCCAAATAAATCTCTCTTCTTTATAAATTACCCAGCCTCAGTATTCTTTTATAGCAATACAAAATGGACTAACACAGCCATGCAGATAGACTCTGGCAAAATCCCCCCTCAACCATTCAATCTCATGTTATCCTAGATTATGACATCACTTAAAACTGCTCCATTAAAAAAAACTCTTTTAATTCATACATCCCACCATATAGCCTTAACTTTAAAAGCTTCCAATAACCTATTAAATTATGGCTACTACTCCTACGCTACTTCAGCTAAACCTCAAGCAATTCAATCAGTCCATTTTCTCTCTAACCACTACTCACCTGCCTTTTTCCTACTGCCTTATATTCATCTTGGACTGCATGGTCTATACATTCAATAAATTCTGCCAATACTTTAAAATCCATGCCTTTCTCTCTGTGTTACCTGGCTACCAAACCTTAACTAAAACCAACTAACTGCCTTCTCCATGCTTGTACCTAAAGTGCCGAACACTGTTGGAAAAAGCATCATACGTTTATAAGGATTGAGGCTACCATAAATTCATGGCTACCAGCCTAGACACTGTCCAGAACCTCTACCATGTTTCTGTACTCAACCCTTTAGAATGACAATTTTAAAATGTACACGTTCACATCAAACATCTCTCCTCTTCCCCTGAGTCTCAGCAGAAATCCTTGTCTTGTATTTAACAGGATCCACCAGAGAATAACTATCTCATTTATTTGCCACCAAGTCTAATAAGTTACCTACTTGTATTCCTACCTTCTCCTCCGCTTTCTCATATTGCAAAGGATGCCTCCCCAAAGGCCATCTGTCTTCGTGAATGCCACCTTCCCCTAACTGCTTAAAGACCTTGAACTAATCTTTATTTCCTTACCACCTTCTCTTCTTCAATCAAAAACAATTTGGATTCTATCCTATTACTCTACTGAAGTACCCTCCATAAAGTCATCCATGACCTCCATGTTGTAAGATGCTAAAGAGAGTCCATATACAACTTCTAGCAGCAGCACTTGACAGAACTGAACATCTGTTTTCAAAATAGTATTTTCTCTTGGACTCTGTGATGTCACATTCTACTAGTTTCCCTCCTACTTCCCAGACCACGACTTCTGAGTCTCCTTTTCTAGCTCTTTCTTCTCAACAACACTTAAATATTAAGGCCTATTTTCTCAGTGTATAATGCCCTGGACAATCTTACTCCTGTCCATTCTTTCAATTATCATTTAGTTGTTGATGACTCATGGGTTCAGGCCTATCAATATCTTATCTTCTGTGCTTGAGATCTCTAATGTCTAGCTGCTACTCAGTAGCTGGGAGCCAGAATGCCCAAGTTTGAAGCCTAGCTCTGCTACTTTGCATGTCCTTGGGCAAATAACACTCTGTGCCTCTGTTTCTTCCTCCATAAAATGAGAATAAAAACAGTTCCTACTCCTACTTTATAGGGTTGTTGTGAAATTAATATTTGAATTAACATTTGTCAATGGGGACTGTGTTTCTCTTATTCACTGTTGTTTCTGCGGCACCAACTGCAGTGCCTCAAAGCAGGTATTCAATAAGCATCTGCTGATTCACTTAATGAATGAAATTACCAGATGGTATATTATCACAATTCTGAGGCATTTTCTGCTAGCCCTATTAAATTTTAAATTTCTTGCTACAGCTATCTTATATACCCTTCTAAAGGAGATCACAATTTGAAAGAAAAATAATTTGCAAGAACATTCCTGAAAAAAATAACTTTTGTTGAAAAACATTCACTCACAGGCAAAAATCTGTGTTAGAAATCCATGTCAATATGACTCAGGCAATAAAAATGATTTGAAGTATTGGTTTCAACAGTCATTATGAATTATAAAGTGATTCAATATAAATCAAAATAGAACATATTACCTCATCTCTTTCATTAGGCTTTTGAAAAATGAGAAGTGACTGACCTAGTGAGCACTGAAATCAAAGAAAAAGTGGTGGAAGGAAAAGCACCAGGTCTTTAACATCCAGGCAACACGGCAGGCCGCTGCCAAACAGCAACTGGCTCCCACCACAGACAACAGCAGTGGTGGTATAGAGGGCAGTATATGTCTGTCTGTCAACTTTACTGTTTCAAATCTGGAAGGCCGGGGAGAAGCCTACAGAGTAGAAGGTATTTTCAGGAGAGGGGAAACTTTGTAAACAAGTGCTTTTTACTTGAAAATTTAGTGAAGATGTGTGTTAGTGAAGATTCATATCCCAAGTCACACTCGTCACCCTACTTTGGTGCCACTTTATTGAAGGGTTTTTCCAGTGAGACTGGCTGGCTCCAGTTTGGGGACTCTTGACAAAGTTATCTTCTCAGTAATTCTTATCTTCTGCTACTCTGGGCAGTTAAGAGGGCTACACAGTCTAACCCAAGTCAGTGGTCGCTGTGGTGGTCATGAATGCTGTTCATCACCACCTCTTCACCCCTTTAAGTTGTAGTGGCCCTATGACTTGCTCTGGCCAATGACATGTAAGCTGAAGTAACATGGGTCTTTCAGACAAGTGCATTAAAAGCCAGTGTGGGATTTGCCAGAATCTCTTTTGCCACCACTCCCTCTTCCCCATGACAACTAGAAATGACCTAGATGGCAGCTGCCCCAGCAGGTTGGACTCTGAAGGAAGGATGATGAGAAGCAGAGTCAAGGTAGAACATGCTGTCTTAATCCACTGAGATTTCAGGCTGTTGCTGAATGATAACACAGGTCTATTTCTCACTGATGTGAATTTGTAGTTTGCTGCTATGTGTAGGGAACTATGCTAAACTAAAAGGGATAAAAATATTTCGTTAAAAAACAACTGAATTTGGCCAGGTGCGGTGGCTCATACCTCTAATCCCAGCACTTTGAGAGGCCAAGGTGGGTGGATCATGAGGTCAAGAGATAAGAGACCAGCCTGGCCAACATGGTGAAACCCCATCTCTACTAAAAATACAAAAAAAAAAATTAGCCGGGCATGGTGGCGGGAGTCTGTAATCCCAGCTACTCGGGAGGCTGAGGCAGGAGAATTGCCTGAACCTGAGAGGAGGAGTATGCAGTGAAGTGAGCCAAGATCGCACCACTGCACTCCAGCCTGGGCGGCAGAGCAAGACTCCGTCTCAGAAAACAAACAAAACAAAACAAAACAAAACAACTGAATTTTCTGACTTTCCCTTTCCGTTAGGTTTCAAGCACTCACTTGGCAATGAGATCAAGGGCTAGGCCAGCTTCTACCATTTACACATTAAGTATAAATAAGTTTCAGGGCTGGGATTACTAGTGAAATGTAGAAATGTGCTCATGAATTGTGGAGATAAAATTTTTACAGCTTATAAAACTATGCTTTCAAAAACAATTATCAGTACAAGATAGGGCTTATGCAGAGGGACAAACAGAACAGATCTGAGTTAAGGGGTAGGTATGATTTCTGTAATTCACTCTAGGACAAGAAAAAGCAGTAATTTCTTTTGACTAAAGTATGTGTTGTTTTTGAATCAACTCTGTACACTCCTATATTCCTTTTAAAGTACAAATTAAATTTACCAATCATAATGGAATAGTCAATGTGTAACAGCTATAACTCATTAACCATGGAAATTTAATTATAAACATAATAAGCAAAATTACAATTCTCTGTTTTACTGAATTAAACTTTTAAATGAAAATATTAGCTATTCAGTATTTTACATTCCTTTCTTATAAAAATTTCAATAATGCCAAATAGTAAATTAACATTTAAAATATATGTAAGGCTAAATCTAAACCTCTAAGAAATCAAAGGGCCAAACATATTAATATACAACAATTACATAATTATATAATTACATTAATATAACAATCAGTATCACCTGATAAATATAATTAAAATTGTTCCTTTCTAGGAAATTGGCATAAATGTGTCATTAAGTTTTAGTTAGTTTCCTCAAATTAAGGACCATATATGTACCTTGTAGAATCACTTTCACATTTACTTCTTATAATTTCTTCTTAGGTTTATAATTTCAGAATGCTCTATGTTAAATCTATTTTAAAGGTCTACAATAAATGACCTACTGTATTTAGTAATGATATAATCTACAAATAGTCTCCAGCTGATTTTCAAAACTTTCTTTTTCAGAGAATCAGGATGTACAGAACAGATAAAAAGGATGATGTTTTGCTAGCTGGGGTGGGGGTTGAAGGTGGAGCCACAGAGGCTATTTGTGGTTAGAGATCATGCATATTGTCCATCACCTTACTACATTACATTTTCTCCTTCTCATCTCCTACCCCAAGCCTTCCAGGCTAGTTGCTTATTTATATTATCCATGTACAGATTTTACTTTAAAAGTCACTGGAAGAATTTTCTGTTGCAGTTTTAAAAAGTAAAGGTCTCAGAAAACCTGTTGAAGAGTTTTAGTCAATGACTAAATGACTAAACATTTACTAAATGTTTTCTAGTGCCAGGCATACAGTGTTAAGCATGAGGATATGAAAACAGCAGAAACGTCATTTTTGAGTTGTACAAATCCTACTGGGGAAAAGGGAGTGAGTAGGTGAGAGGGCTCACAGAGCCATAAACAATGAACTATAATAATATCGTATGCAGAGAATGCAGAAAAGGAAGTGAAGGTGGGGAGGGGGTGTCTTAGTGTTGTGCAGCCAGGGAAGGCCTCGGAGGGGCTGTATCTATCTTGGTGGGTGGAAGGAGCAGGGTGAAAGACATTCTAGGTAGAAGGAATGCAGATTTAAGAAGCACACAGATGGGCTTGGTGCGTTTTTTGGAAGAAAAAGGGTCTGTTATACAGTGGAAGGTCCATGAGGACTGTTATGAAGGAAACCAGAAAAGGTAGGCTGAGGCTGAATTACAAAGGCTTTGTAGGCCAAATCAAAACGACTCAACTTTTAAGGCCACATGGACCAGTGGTGGTTTGCAAGAAGACTGTGTGGAGTGATGACAACTTTCCTTAGTGCCACAGTGGGGAAGAGACTGAAGAGGGGAGACGCTGGCAGTACGAAGGTCAGTTGGATGAACATTACTGTCGGTTTTCTCCCTGTGTACTGGCCTGTCATTCCAATAACAAAACCGACCAACCAGAACATCAACTTTTTTTCTTACAGGTCTCATCAAGTTTTCCAGTTTTGGTTTATGAGCTACATTTAATCACTAAAATGTAAGCTCCACAAGGCCAGGGATTGGGGGCTATTTTATCTCAGGCATATCTCGAGGCCATGAGCAGTGTCTGACATATAGTTGGCACTCATCCAATATCTGCTGAAGGGATACTTGATTTCTTCCAAATAGTGATTGTGATCTGGAGCACATCTCTCACGGTTTTTTCCCAATCACCGCCCAATCTGATAAGCACCATTTCCATGTGCCACTCTGTACAGGTGAGGACACTATATAAAAACATGCCTAGAAGGGTCTTCCTGCTGAGGGGGCCACTCAAACTCACGGTCATCAAAACTTTCTGTCTCTTAATAAGTGAAAAACATGGTTCTTACTGCTCTCAAGGTCTTTCCCAGAAGACTGTCTCAATAAGGACGCTGTTGAGAAGGGGCAGAGAAAGCTTTATCAGCTTTTCTTTCATTTTGCAATCTATTTATATTCTTATTTTTGTTACGTCTTTTTGTTTTTTTTCCCCTAAATTACTGAAATATAGACTTAACCACATATTTATTTTTTCTTAATGCAGACCTTTGGAATTATGTATTTTTTTAAGTATAACTCTGGCTGCTTTCCAACAAATTTAATGTGATGCTTATACTGTAGTTGTTAAGTTGTCTAATATTGTATACTCATTCCTTGATCTAGTTATTTGAGAGATTTTTAAATTTTCAAGTAGTTTTACCATTTTAAATATGTGTACATTTCTAATGTTATATTTTGATTGGAGGTATGATGTACATATTTTCCTAAAATTTTCATTGTCTACAGCATATGAAAAATATTGTAAAGAATTTAATTACTATATTAGTCTGTTTTGTGTCGCTATAAAGGAATACCTGAGGCTGGGTAATTTATAAAGAAAAGAGGTTTATTTTGGCTCATGGTTCTGCAGATGATAGAAGCAGCATAATACCAGCATCTGCTTCTGGTGGGGCCCTCAGGAAACTTACAATCATGGCAGAAGGTGAAGAGGGAGCAGGTGTCACACATGGCCAGAGGGGGAGCAGGAGAGACAGGGGAAGGGAAAGGAGGTAGCAGACTTTTTTTTTTTTTTTTAAAGTAGAGACAGAATCTGGCTTTTATTGCCTGGACTTGTCTCAAATTCCTGAGGCTCAAGTGATCCCCCTCCCTCAGTCTCCCCAAGTGTTGGGATTACAGGCATGAGCCACCATGTCCGGCCAGATTCTTTTTAACAACCAGACCTTGCTGTAACTAATAGAGTGAGAACTCACTCATTACCCTGGAGGAAGGCAC
This sequence comes from Homo sapiens, assembly GCF_000001405.40. Classification (NCBI taxonomy): domain Eukaryota; kingdom Metazoa; phylum Chordata; class Mammalia; order Primates; family Hominidae; genus Homo; species Homo sapiens. The sequence goes on from NC_000006.12 coordinate 119,285,352, forward strand.
CAAGCCATTCATAAGGGATCTGGCCCCATGACCCAAACATCTCTCATGAGACCCCATCTTTAACATTGGGGATCACATTTCAATATGAGATTTGGAGGGGACACACATCCGAACTATATCGATTACCTGATTTTTAATTTCACTGTATCACTATTTCAATTCTTCCTTTTAACTATATTGCATAGCTGTTATTTCTTCACTGTATGGGATTAACATATATTTTTATTTTAAGGTATTGTGATCACTGTTTTCAATTCTTTTTTTTTTTTTCCAATTAGGCCTTTTGTTGATATCTCTACTTTCTGGATTTAAATCTACCTAATTAGAGATCATAATTAAAGTTCTTTCCATATATAAGAAAGCAGGATAAATGTGAGCTCAATTTTTATAATTTAGTATTTAGGCAGGATTTGGGAGGGTGCTAATGTATTTCTGGTGGATCCAAATGTATTGTTGGATTTTTCTTGTTTATACCACATATTTCTACCTTTTATGGAAAATTCAATATAAGCAATATATGTGGGTTATTTTATGGTATCAAATTTTTTGTATTCATAAAAATAGCAAAACCAGATTGCTGTTAATGCTCTTCCATTCTTTGCTCTGGTCACTAGGAAACCGGAAGATACATTTCCATCCAAAGCCCAGATGATTTACAAACTGGCAGAATACACTGCTATGTGCTAACCTTATCTGAAACTTTAATATGCCCTAACTTTATTCTCTGTTTTTCCACAGCTCTGTTTGAATCATACACATTTTCTGGCACTCTGATTTTTTTGCAGAATCAGGCAGGAGACAGATGGGTAGTCTGGGAGATGACTCACTTTCTAATGAATTGTGGCAGACATTGAGTTTGAAAGGTAACCAGTCATATATCCTAATTTTCTAGAGAATTTCTAAACATTTTTACGATTATCCATAACTAAACAAACTCTAAAAAATCAATTTCTAACCCCCAAATACTCCGAATGTCTTAACCCTATTATGAAAAAACAACTACATCTTCCCACCAGTTAACTGACATTCTTAATCTTCTCTCTCTCCTCCCTACTCCACAATCCTACTCCCCTCTGTGTTTCCTCCTTGTTAGTCTTAAAATTTGGCAGTATTATATTTATTGAGTAAATCTCTTTCAGCAGTATTTCATACTGGTGTTTGCAGCAGTGGATAACTTTTAGGGGGAATCTGAAGAAAAATCCTTTTGCTGCCTTCAAAATGAGAGGTTATCATAGTAAACTCATCTACTGTAAAAATCCATTCTGTGTCTTTTACCAGTCTTGGATAAGATGTCTTCCGCATCTTTTTTCTTTGAAAGCTAGTTCTTAATCATTTTGGCTTCCAGGAGTTGGCTACTGTTTTTCTATTTTACAAAGTTAAAATGTACTGGCAGAATATTTTCTTTGAGGATTAAAAACTCTGGTCTATTCTAAATGTCGTCTCTTAGCTTACAAAATATTTTTGCAAATCAGATTACATTTTTTCAGGTATCTTATTCAACTGTCAGTTTCCATGTGGTTTGTCTATTTTCTCTGCCATATTTATATTCACCATAGTGGGCGAAATCTTATTGTTGGCTCCTACACGTCCTATCTCCCTACTCTTCTCACAGGGCCTCGATTTCCTGTTCAGGAATTATCTATACTTCCTTATACTACTCAGTCTTCACGGGATATGAATCCAAACTTTGAGGAAGACTTCTAGCATATCCTTTTTCATTCTCCAAGATCCCCAAAGAGGCTGCATGTAACTGAAACTCTGACAATTAGCCTCTTTCTTCAGGGACTTTGTGTCTTGAGTAGAGTAACAGAAGGGTGGAAGAAATAGTCCATGTTACTAATTGCAGGGTGTCCCAAGGTGATAGTACAGCTATAGAGATCCCCTATGCCAACTTGACACTTTTTGTTCCAAGTTGCTCTTCAGCCCTCTCTCTGATTCTGTAACATTTCTATGTCCTATTACATTCACTTTCTGCTCAATATAGCTATTGGTTTCTGTTGTAAAACAAATAATGTTACATGGTATAGTCACATAAATTCTTTTCTACATGTGTCATCTTCTCTTGCAATGTCATATTTTACACGTTTTGCACTTGTCAATTTCAATATCATCTTTGCTTTACTCTTATTCTGTAGTAGTATTTCCAAAATTTGTTCTGAAAAATAATTCTAATTTACTGTTAACAGATGTCACTTTTTTTTTTAATAGAGGAAGGCTATTGTTAAGTAAGTGTGGAAAATGCAAGGATAAATAAAAGTTAATTCACTTCTTTTTTTGTGCATTCTGAATTTCCAAGAAAGAATACAGGATGTAGCTCTTCCCAAACTTATTTTTAGTATGTATACAGATACAGATTTATCCTGCCATATCAAAAGAAACTAGTGGTCTTTAGAACATATTTTGGGTAATCATATTCTAGATGCTGCTATATTTACTATCTCCAGTGAGAATTTTAGCTCCCTTCCAGCTTATAATAGAGCAGTGCTACCTTTTAAATTTATTTTTAATACTGATTCTTCCTATTTAATATTCATCTTATCCCCATCCTATCTGTTTGTAATTCTTGTGGTTGAGCTTCTTATATAGCATTTGAAAATACTGATGCTTGACTTTTTTATGGTGCTACAAAATATTTTAACTGAGCTACGAGGTTTCAAATTTTTGAATATGTGCCTGTAATCAAAGTTTACTACAGGTACTTCATGTTTCTATTATTTTTTTGGTAGCTTAGACTTCTGCTGGGATTCTTAACTATTGTCCAGTGTTTCTAACTGTAACTTTCCTGAAACACATATCACAAATCAGTAGTACTTCTTCTCCTGCTTTTGCATACAAATTTAACAATCTTGAGCTGATATCAATGTGGGGTCTATCTACTTCTGATGGTGATTTGTTCTTAAAATACTCCTGAGCCTCAGTGATGAAATCAGAATGTTAAATTATGGTGGTTTAAAAGTCCCTCTATGAGATACATAGAAAGACAAATTGTCCTAGACACCTTAGTAAATTGTCTGATCTATGTAAAAAGTGTGTGGTATAAAACTTTATCAACTATTTAAAACCAACTTATTCATAATTTGCTATGTTGGTGTTCTATTAAATGAATGCTCATTTAAAAAAATTTTGATATGAATACAAATAGCTCAAGAACAGACCTGGGGTAAAAAATTTTCCGGATCACATTCCTAATGGCCAATTCCCCTGAATGCATTCATCAAATGAAAATCAATTGTCAGGGTCTAAGTAACTGGGAGAAATAGGCAAGTGATGATGTTAAAACAATCCAGTATTAATCACTTCTCACTTGCCAACACCACTTCAGAGAATAAATATTCATTGATTATAGCAATATTATTCAAAATAAAAAGATACTGAAAATAATCTAACTGTTCAACATTCTGGAAACTATAAGAAAAAACATGCTAAGAATATGGGTCCCTATAACTAAAGCACTCTACAGATAGAAAAATAAAAGAAAAAATCTTAAATTTTTATCATAAAATTTAAAATACAGAAAACCTACATGTAATAAAAACATGTTTGTGTAGTGATAATGGCAAAACAGACTGAAAGAATAGTTATTTGCAATGGAAGTGTTCTTTGTAGCCATTTGTTTACTAAAGTTCACTATACAGAATTAAAAAATATCCTTACAAAGTCTTAGGCAAATTATTTTATCTATAGGCAAACTATAATATCTGTGGGTATTATAATTATATATATATATATACATATCAAGTATACACATATATAGAAACACATATATGTATGTAAACTTAAAACACTGAGTGAAAACGTATCCTAATCAAACATGATGTATATTTAGAATAGATACATATGTGTTTTTCTTTGTATGCTTTATTATCCTAATTGAGCCCAGACACAAAAGGATGCAATCCTTATTTCCTCCAAATTGTCTCACCTCCACATAGATTATGGAAAAAGTTAAAACCAAGGTCATCTTAGCATATCATGTCCAAAGCAATGAGAACATCCTGGCATTGGATACTCAAAGACAAGTATTCTAAAAGCAGAAACCTGTTAACTAAAATAACATTAGTTAATTTTAAACATAACTTTTTAAAAATATAGGGTTTTAGGGTTTTTTGGTTTTGGCTTAATCCTTAGTATACCCTAAACTGAACTGAACACATGAAGTTATCTGGTAGTGGAAAAACAGAAAAAAGGGAGGAAGAGGCATAACAGACCAGGGGATCACATTACCCTGGCTGAGAAGGTAACAGAGTTCACAATGAACAACATTTAACACTAAAACAGGAGAGATATAGATGAATACAGAAGTCATCTATATACTTTGAAAAGATCTAAGGTAGAATAAAATCTAAACAGAGAGGAAATGTAAGATTGTGAAGGTTGTATGTTTTGGTTAAGAAAGTACTTGAGAGACAGGAACAAAGTCAAGCAGCTTTTCTCATTAAACATTTATTGCTGTGCTTAAATCTGTTTGAAGGAGCATAGCAATACATGAAATACTGGTTTGGGTAAGATCTACTCTTTCCCCAGCCGGAATGCTGAGGCTAACTCAAATCTGACTGACGTGCAACTGAAATATGTGACAGTTTTTCCATAATGTCAACATTTAACACTGTCAACATTAAAGATGAGGCCCATTCCAACAACCCTTAGTGGACACTCAAACGATATTCATAAAGTTGTCCAAAACCTTTCAAGAAAATAGCATCAGTGACCTTTATGAGGATGATACAAAAATCCTTTCTTAATCTATCAATAAAAGGCAGCTAAATTTAAAATTCCTGCTTTGCTCCAAGCAGTGGATAATTAATGAAGCCTTGACTCAGGAAGAGCTCCAAAGCACTTGATACAGGGATGCTGGCCTTTAGGACTGTTTACTTGGTAGCTAAGTGTCTCACCCCCTTAATTACATAAAAACTACAATTTTTATATCTTACTTGCCAGGCTTTATTCATTTAAAAAAGTTTTTATTTGTATTAACATTAAAATAATTCTCAAAGAAAAAAATTCATCCACAAGCCCGCCACTACACTAAACTTCTTTAATTTGTCCATAGGCACATATAATTTGTAGCTATAATCACACCATACATAACATAATAGAGCCAGTTTCTAAAGGCATTACTTAACATTCCCTGACAATATGTTCTGCCAAACTTTCCCAGCTTGCTCATTTCATTAGTACATATTGTAAGAAACTCAGTGTAAGCTACAGCTTCATTGAAATATAAAAATTCCATAGATTCCTTCTAAATATATGTCACGAATGGCATATTTTACCAAAAATGTAGTTTAAGACACTTTATAATTCACATTTATATACCACTTTTCATCTTACCTCTTCTCCAGACAGATAGTAGGCTGAGAGTAGTCCACCAACAAAGCGTATATTTACTTCAAAGACAGAAATTTCAGCATTCTATGGAAAAAAAAAATTCAAACATGATGATAGTACACAATTCAGAAAACCATTATTGTGATAAATTATACTAAATACTTAAATTTTGTTCAAATCTTATGCTTGCCCAGAGAAGTTTATATACAGGGGGAAATGTTCTCCCTTTTAAAATTAAGGTATTAAATATCACTGTGCATTATACGTATCGAAACATCACTAACGGACCCCCAAAATACGTACAATCATTATATGACAATTTTTAAAAATAAAGGAAAAAACATACTTAAAATAAATGATACGGTTTGTCTCTGTGTCCCCACCCAAATCTCATCTTGTAGCTCACATAATTCACACATGTTGTGGGATGGACCCGGTGGGAGATAACTGAATCATGGGGAGGGGTCTTTCCTGTGCTGTTCTTGTGATAGTGAATAAGTCTCACAAGATCTGATGGTTTTAAAAAGGGAGTTTCCCTGCACAAGCTCTTTCTCTCTTTGCCTGTTGCCATCCATGTAAGTTATGACTTGCTCCTAGCCTTCCGCCATGATTGTGAGGCCTCCCCAGCCATGTGAAACTGTTAAATCCATTAAACCTCTTTTTCTTCCCAGTCTCAGGTATGTCTTTATCAGCAGTGTGAAAACGGACTAATGCAAGAGATAAAAATAATTTTGACTCCTAAACAAAATTACAAAAATATTTGTCAAATAAAGTTCTTTCCTCTCTCTTCAACAGCAGATACAATATTTGATATTCTCTATTTGTGTAAACATAATGGGGCCAGGGCATTTTTTTTTTCTGCTCTGCATTCTCCTTTATTTTATTCATTTGTCTGCTTTTTCTTCCTGAAAGGCTATTCAGCCTATACTTAGGCTGGTACTTCAACATTAGTCTAGGAATCTTTTCATCATGATGCACAACTGGACTGCAAATAGGATTTGAAGTCTGAGGACCTGGGTTCTAGTGCTGGTTTCCAACTTTTTGCCTTTGGCTTGGGATTGTTCTTCTCATCTCTGAGAAGATATTTCATCTTCGCATAAAGGACATGATAATAATCATGTATGTTATACCATGCTGAAATAGCCCTTATTTACACCAATAATAGCTTGCTTTTATTATTTACAACGTGCCAGGTCCTGTGCTAATGTCTTTATATAGACTCTTTTAGTCCTCACAATGACCTTATGAATTAATTACTATTCTTATATCCATTTTAAAATGTTGAAGCTGAGACTTATAGTGGTTAATGTGACTTTTTGAAGTTCAGACAACTAATAATTGGTAGAAGCAGGATTTGAACTTGAGTACTGTGGCTCCTGATTCAGGGCTCTGCTATTCTGACTTCTATATACCTCACAGGATAATGCACCAAGTCTCTTTATTCATGGTCATATAATTAGTAATTACTGCTAATATTTTATACTTGATTAGTAAATAGATCTGTCTTACATTCTGTTACTAGGTAAGTTAGAATAGCTAACCTACTATTTAGATTATAAAGCACATTTCAAGCTTTAGTTAGCTTCTTTTCATGTTCATTGGGCCTACTGCACTTTTGCCTAACATCAAACCATTCACTAATAATCATGGGACTCACAGCAATTTATAATATATGGAGTCAATATCTGGCAAATAAACTTAGTCAAAATCATGGGATATTATTTCCTTTAACAAGCATTTATTAAGCAACTACTATGTGCCAGACCCTGTCCTAGGTGATAGGGAAATGGCAATAAGGACTGATAAGGTCCTCAAGCTCACTTGAGTCTACATTTTAGTGGGATAAAATATTTCCAGAAAAAAAAGGAGGTATGTATTAATTTTATCCTTACATGCTCTCTGTAAAAAGGTTTAAGAATCTAACAATTAAAGTCAAGTAATTGCTTAAGTTAAAAAAATTCAAAAAAATTCCTATAAAAGGACAATTATGAAAACAAGTTAGGAGACAGAATTACTAAGTCAAAGTTAGGCAAAAACATCACAAAATAAGACTGGTGTGTTTAACTGTATTTTATAATTTGTAATGTGCACCTGATATAATCTGATTAAAAGTACTATATATAGGTGTAATTTAACTTTGAGGTCTATCACTCTGAATGAATTTTACATAAATATTGGCAAAGGCTTTAATATTCTACAAAATTACTGATAAGGAAAAGCGAAGCTAACCCATGTATTTAGTTTGGTTCACGTGACTACGTTTCCTATGTTTAAGAGTAATAATATCTAATAATAAAATCTAATAAACTTAAACCCTCAAATCATATTCCTCTCAATTAGTACTTGTGTTTTTCAGTTTTTAAACCTGGTAACAGTTTCCCACATTTCTGCCTATTGAAGACTGTTAAGATGATCTTATATTCTTATTCTGGCTATAGGTTCTTGACATAATGCATTTTCTCTTCCTGCCGTGAAAATTTTGGATAATCAAGACCTTTATGTAGACATCCGATAAAAATTATTCCAAGGTGAAGGTCTGAGTCATGTCAAACACTGCCAGAAATATATCTTCAGCTAGACATCAATCAACTGTTGGATGCAGTTATTCAACCAGTTATTGATCCAATTACATATTCTAAAACCTAAATTCTATTTATCTTGTACTGTACGATATTGAGAAATGACCCTGCAAGGTGCCATACTCAAGGTCACTTGCTATGGCTTTGGATTTCATGGATCTAATAGTCTGTCCAGTGAGCCTGTTTAAGAAGCAAATCTGGTTTGTTAGTTAATCCATGAAGGATACCAGTGACTGCTATGTCCTTGTCTTTAATAAATCTTGCTCTGGAACATCACACCACCACCATCACTAGTTCTCAAGTCACCATCTTCTCTGTTTGAAAACCAGAACCACATTCGAATTTCCAACATATAATTCTTTCTCTCTCCTTTTCAAAGTTAAGTTTAAATAATTTAGAAACCTTAATTTGAGGTCTCTTTCAGTATTCTAGGTTGTATTATGTTTTTAGGCCAAAAGATTGAAATTTAGACCCTTTAGTTAACTCTTTATAGATTCGTAGATGAAAAGGACTAAGAAGATAAAAATTCTCCCACCACACCAAATTGGTTGGCTATCCTGCAGAAATCAGAAAGACCTGGGATTGAAGGCTGATTTGGAAGCCATCTGAGTTTGAGGTCCCAGATAACTAATTTATTCTGAGTCTTGGTTTTGTCATACGTAGAAAGGGACAATGAATTCCTCCATGATGTAAAGCAATGTACACAATAGCTGGTAACGCACTCATCAGACACTCAATAGACAGCTGTTGCCACTACCACTGTGCAGCTCAGCCTAAACGAACTAAAACCTACCTTCCCAGGGTCACTGGAAAATCAGAAACTTTAGAATCATAAATACTCATCTTCTTTGGCCCATATGAGGTCTTATTTCTCAAGGGCTTAAAAATCCTCTTTTGAAATATAGAAGTTGACCAACTTCCTTTGGGGCTTGATATATTTTGTATGAAATCTGGATTTTCAAAAGTGAATTTCTACAAATGAGGGTCTCAGGCCATTTTTATAAACTTCTGATTCTAATTTCCATTAAATAATAAATTTAAATGAATACATTCTTATTAATAGTCATAATGTTCTAAAAGTTTTCTACCGACTTACCCTAATGACAGAGGGGGTATTTGCAGCAGGGGGAAGACAGTAGGCAGACAAAGCAGCCTGTAACACTAAATCTTGTGAGATTTATCCTAACAATTAATGTGAATTTTGCAGTCTACCTATCTGAGTTTGTTTTAAAATAAAAGTAACTTCCCTTTTAAATCTTTAGGATTGCATTCCAGTATGCCCCATGTATTCAGTGGCTTCTAGTACACAGTCTTACATCAGTGGCAGTTTAAGAAGTACATCCCGTCTTTTATTTAAATTCCATGTACCTATTAGTTAATGTCAACTGATAAGCAAGAGGAGATTGGAAGTTTTTGGTTAAGACCAACCAATAAAAAAATCAGAATTGGAGAAATTGTTCTTTCATTTTGATTTACTTATAGCAATGACCACTTAATCAAAGAACACACTGAACCAGATTCATCTAAATTGAATTCATATAAATTGAATAAAATACATGGTATGCCTAAATTTACACCTAAAATCAAGAGATGAGTATTACAAATCATGAAAAAATTATGCCTCAGTACTAATCTCTATTATTGTCTTGGGTGTTTGAGATTGATAACTTCCACCTTAGATCTATCCCTTTTCCATATGTTTTTGTCTACTCATTTACTATACATGTATGTAAATTTACGAGATAAAGTGACAAAGACTGCTAACATGAAAAAGAGAGTCTAATATATAAATTATTTTGTATGCTTCCCTCCTTCAATCCTAACATCATGCTCCATCTCTCTGCAAAGAAAGGCTTTTTCTAAACCAACATACCATGAGATCATGGACAGGAAGTATCTAACCCCATCTAGGCAACAGAGAAAATGAACACGTCAAAATCTGTTTCCAAATGAGTACCTGAAAGACCAACCTCTTCACACTAGACAAGACAGCACTTTAAACAACTCTGAAATTTGATATTTTTATAGGCAACTTATTCACCAAAATTAGCTATACGATGACGTATTTTAATAGATTTCACTAAGTGAAATAACAGGCTTGACAATGAAAATAACAAATTTTAGTTTTGGAGCAGATTCAGCCAGTTTCCTTTTGCTTGAGGAGCTATATCGAGATGCAAGCTCGAGGAACAGATAATAAATTGTTTCTTTGGATCTTCAAGCCTTATGATGTTTATTTAGAGTCACACTTATATTAGAATTCTCCTTATTATCTTATGATTCCATACAGCATGACAGATCTGATTGATTGCATTAAATGGAAAAATATTTCTTGGAAAAGAACTTATCAGACATATTTAAATTCTATTCTGAGTGTTTGATTTTCAGAGTGAACTAAAAGTGTAATAGTTTTTGTTTTTAAAAGGACAATTCTCCGATCTCTACAATCAGAGACTACTCTTTTGCTAGCTATTCCTCCAAACTCTGTATCAGCTTTCTACTTAGTGAATTATGAGCCTGGGGTACGGGACTATTATCATACATGAGAATCAAGCAAGCTTTAATAACTGCCCACTACATACCAATGCAATATTTCTGTTTAATATTAACTGTTTCACCAAAATCCAATGTAAATAACAACTGCTCCATTACTAACACATGATAACGATACTTTAATCAATGGCTTTGTTAGAAGCAACATGAGACTTTTCAAAACCATTGATTAAAGACTGGTAACTACCAATAAGCCTTGCCTATGTTTAGGCTTAGCATACACCTTTATTTATAAATGATACTTCAAAGTGTGTGCTGGATTAACACTTTGAGGATTAAAAGTATACAACTCCTTTAAACGATTAAATTGCAATATTTCACAGTGTAAGTCAGTCTGTCACAGTGTGTCCTGGCAGCCTTTGGTTTCCTATTTAAGCAACGTGACAAATCTCTTAAGACTGCTAACAAAGTCCAAGTTCTGTGGGCCACAAAGATATGCAAATACCTCTCTTCTCTATGTTAATAGACTGGTTTTACCATGCAGGTCCAGAGGCTCTCAAGCAGCAGTCCTAATTACCATCAGAGAGAACAGCACAGTATCCTCTGAAAACCAAAACCCAAATCATCACTCTTGGTAGGTATTCCCTAGCATTCAGATGGAACACACTCAATAACTTCATTTAACAGGATAATTAACTTAGTTATCTGCGCCCATCAGGATGTAATGTGGCTCTAAAACAGACCTTTCTCAGGAGCAACACTAAGGCAAAAGTAACTTCTTTCATACTCTATGGCATGGAACTCTGGACCTAAGCCAGTACTCAGTCATGCATTTGAGAAGATCCAAAGTTGCTTCTTGAAGTCAACATATATCCTCCTGACAGGGAACCCTACAACTTACTTTCTTGAAAAGTAGGAGGGCATTCCAACTGGGTATGCAAACAATCTGGATCTTAACATTAAAGAAAAAAAAAAAGTCACTGTTGCCACCAGAACTTCTGTTCTCCAAAACACAAAGTGTTCATTACAACTAAAGGCATGATCCAGATGCTTGCCAAAGATCACAATTACAGGGTGTTGCTAGTTAGTGTCCACAGCAGGCTGATCATCTATCCTTTGCCATTCTCAAGGCTCTGCCTCTCATACTGAGATATCGCTTTACTGCAGTCCAGAAATACAGCTTTAAGGAAAATTTTAACACAGCTTTAGCTTTTACAGAGGGTTAATATAAGAAATTGTTATCTGGAGAAAAATTCTACATATTCCATAAAATTCATTACAGAAGATAGTTTTCAATATTTCTCATGTGAGGTTCTAGGTAACCAATAATGTTTTAAGTGCCAGTAAAAGAACACAATTGAAATTAGAAATGCCCAAATAGGAAACCCTTGATCATTTGTTCTTATGCAACTGATCTTCCTGTTATCAGGGGCCACTACAAATCTGTTCTGGAAATAGGTTAGGTAATAACAGGTAGACCAAGTGACTTGAACTCCAGATCATCTGTAACTATATAAACAGATGACACAATACAGCTACCCTTGCACCTGAGCTTTTCTTCCAGCTGAGTATAGCACAGACTGTCAGGAAGTAGGATAAGATGGCTTAACTTCTCATTCATTTAACAAATATTTATCAAATCACTATTGAACAATAAACTCTAATTAGTAATCTAATATTAAGATGACATGCCTAACCTCAGAGGACTCAAATTCTCTGACTGCGTATATATTTCTCAACTCTTTGCATTTCTTCTCCAATTAAAAAAACACAAGGTCATTGAGTTAGGCAGACTGTGTTCAAACCAGAGATCTTGCTGCATAATTTGGGACAGCCTAATTAACCACCTATTCATCTATAAATATAGGGAAAAATACCAGTTACTACTCTGTATGCTTGTCACAAAGATTAAACACGATACACCCATGAAAAAAATCACCTATCATAATACTTGGTATGTATCACATATTACTAAATAGTTTCCTTTTTTTTTTTTTTTTTTTTTTGAGATGGAGTCTCGCTCTGTCGCCCAGGCTGGAGTTTTTTTGTTTTGTTTTGTTTTTTAAATAGAGATGGCGGCGGTGGGGAGGGTTTTACTCTGTTGCCCAGGCTGCTCTTGAACTTCTGGGTTCAAGAAATCCACCAGCCTGGGCCTCCCAAAGTGTTGGGATTACAGGTGTGAGCCACCACGCCTGGCCAAATAGTAGTTGACCTCTTTTCATTTCTTCCCTCCTGAGATAGCCTGGCTTAGCTAGGGTTCTCTGACTACTTTTCCTGCTAGACTAAATGCTCCATAAGGGTAAATGCCTGATCCTTAGAAGATACTTAGTAAATAACACATGAGTGAATGAAGAGTGACTAACCAAGAATCAGTTTTAGATCCTTTGTCCTAAGATTACTTTGAGTTAAAATTAGAAAATGCATTCATGGAGTCAATACTTAGGGTTTTCTGCTAATATCTATGTGCCTCTACAGATACTTGAACTGAATACAAGCTCCTTCTGTGAAGTCCTTGTTCCTTACTCCCCAGAACATATTATCCCAACTTATTTTAAGCCAGATATTAAAGTCATTTGAACTTTGTGCTACCAAGTATGCAAAATGAATCGACTTCCTATGCCCTAATGAAAAGGAAATGAGTTTTAGTTAATTACAGTATAAACCAATACAAAACATTTATTTTATACTTTTCAGTGATATAAATTGGATATTTCACATTAACAAATTTATTCTTGAGTGTAAAATTTGTTTATACTTAGGAGCACCATAGGATAAACAAACTCTCAACAATAATGTTTGTTTCATTTTTATTTTCCCTTTGCAATAAATTTAGATGCATTAACTTTTCTTTTTTTTTTTTTTTGAGTCTGAGTCTCACTCTGTTGCCCAAGCTGGAGTGCAGTGGTGCAATCTCAGCTCACTGCAACCCCTGCCTCCCAGGTTCAAGCTATTCTCCTGCCTCAGCCCCCCAAGTAGCTGGGACTACAGGCGTGTGCCACCATGCCTGGGAAATTTTTTGTATTTTCAGTAGAGACGGGGTTTCGCCATGTTAGCCAGGATGGTCTTAATCTCCTGACCTCATGATCCACCCGCCTCGGCCTCCCAAAATGCTGGGATTACAGGAGTGAGCCACTGCGCCTGGCCAACTTTTTAAATAATACCCTTACACTGTCAATTAGAATACCTTATCAGGAAAAAGTGTTAACTAAAATATAAGTAATAATATTTATAAGCTAGAATGATACTACATGTTATTTAGTATAATTTTTCTTTTTTTTTTGCTAAGGCTTTTTCAATTTCTCCTTTCTTCATATAAATGAGAAAAATTTCTCAATGTTTTTTGAAGAAAAATCCTGTAATTTTAAAAATAATCATTTGGATTTCTGGATAGAATGGGTGAATATAAGACAAATTCTAATGTGACATATTAAAACCAACTAGAATACAGTAAGCTGGAAAACTTCACAATGTAATGATTAGAAAAGTAAGTCAATATACCTCTCCAGAATTTGTATGTTACTATTTTTAATATGGGAAACATTATTGTTTGGATATTGTTGACAACATATTTTTTAAAAGGAAAACATGGTAATACCCAAAGAGACCTGCAACAAATATTTTTCAAGACCTCTTATATTAAGAAAATAGTATAATAAAGACATTTGAGAAATATGGCTGTAATTTTTTGAAATATGTATATTTAATTTTTATGAATACATAACAGTTGTATATATTTTAAAATTATATCTTGAAAGGTATAACCCAAAACTATCATTAACAGGCCTAAAATATATATGCAAAAGTCTGCATACTAATTGAGTAAAATTTTATTAAAAACTAAAATAAAAATTTAAATAAAGAAAACTTCAAAGTTCAGTATCTTAGCAATAACTCAATGTTAGTCTAATCCTTTCACCTTACAAGTAAGGAAGCCCAGTAAATTCTTCTCTTCTACATAGTCTGATATCCCCTACTAAATTCATCTTTCCTTCTCCCAAGTCTCCAGGACCCATGGAACACATTCAAGGCATCCTGTGGTGGTCTGAGGACAGCCAACTGCCTTCTGTTACAGTAACATCTTGTCTGTTACCTTTGCACTTAGTCATTTTAAATAAAACTGCTCCTCATCCTCCACCAACCCCAACCTCTGGCCCCAAGTCCAGAGCTCCTCAGACTACCACAGGTTGCACAGGTCGTGAAAAGAAAAAAACCGCTATTATATTTGAGGAGGTTTGGGGCAACAATGCTACAATTACCAGATGGACCAACCCAAGATTCAGTAAGAAACTTGGACACTATTCATAAGTCAAGTGTTACTAAAGTATGCTTTCCAGTTTTCCATCATTAGTGTTTCAGAGGAATTTAGTTATTATTCCCCTACCCTTTCTTGAAAAGACAGATATCAGTCGGTTTCATACATAGCTAAAGAAAAGCCTGCAGGTTTTTGAAGGTAGGAGCTGATTTTAATAAGAAGGTAGAACTGAAGTTTTTTTGTTTTGTTTTGTTTTTGTTTTTTTTTTTTGAGACGGCGTCTTGCTCTACTGCCCAGGCTGGAGTGCAGTGGTGCAATCACGGCTCACTGCAACATCCGCCTCCTGGGTTCAAGCGATCCTCCTGCCTCAGCCTCCTGAGTAGCTGGGATTACAGGCACACACCACCATGCCTGGCTATTTTTTGTATTTTTAGTAGAGACGGGGTTTCACCATGTTGGCCAGGCTGGTCTCAAACTCCTGACATCGTGATCCAACTGCCTCGACCTCCCAAAGTGCTGGGATTACAGGTGTGAGCCACCACGCCCGGTCCACAGAAGTATTATTAAGAAAGCAAGCCTCCAAAATGAAACCGTTTTTTTCCAGTGCTTTAATTTTTCATATTTAGCTCTATCAATATCAGCACTACCACAGGTCATTCTAATCAAATAGCTCCATAACCTTGAGCAAATCACTAGCTCCTTATGCCTGCTCTCTCATGTTTAAAATAGAAGGGTTTAACACATTGATCCCCAAGGTCCCTTAATATTGATCGGAATATTCTCTCCTTTATATTCTAGATTCAATTATTAGGCAAATTAAACACAGACTCATCTGCCTGTCTTTTAGGTCTCCCAAATGCGGTATATATAGCAATTAATTAGGGGAGTAGAAACAAAATATTAAACTTTTAATTTATATAAGTTTTTAATTGAAATAGATGGGGGAAAGACTTAGCTTTACTGATCCTTAATATTCTACCTAACACTGGTGTCCTCATTTGGTCTCTGAGAGAACAAGAGTGCCACAAAGCAGAGGCAACAGCAGGGAAATTCTCTTTGTCCACTTTCAACACACAGCATGTTACTTGTGCGTGGTGACTGGGATTTACAGAAACTATCAAATGCTTACCCGAAAGACAAGAGACTTTACGAGAATTTCTGCAAAGTAGTCTCAGATTAGAAATAATACTGATAACACACACTGAAGTGAACGACTAAAAACTTCCATGGCCTACATGCTTTCTTCTCTTAGTATAAGTTCTTTGTCAATATCATTATAAAGTAAAACAATGACTATCAAATTAGAGCTGATAAGACGTAGTCCTCCCCAGTCAAAATTATCAAGAAGTATTAGAAGTATTCACTATCCTTAATTCTGATTCTTTCCCTCAGTATACAATGGGCCATGAAATATTTGCTAAGAATGATAGCATACAGAATTTAAAAAATATATCACATATATAATCAATTTATTTTTACTGAGAGATGAATAAGATCCACAAAATTTGAATCTTTCTTTACGGGAAAATGAATGCTGCTGCTACTGCTGGATACACCATGACACAGTGTAAAAGCATAAGCACTGGAGCCCCATGGACCTACATCAGAATCACAGCTCTTGACACACAACCAGCTGTGCAATCTGGAGTAAGCCTCTGAGGTTAAGATGTTTAATATACAAAGGTGTGAAATTAATGCCCATCTCATAGAGTTGCAGTGGGACTGAACAAGAATACTAGGCACATGTAGGTCTCAATAAATACTAACTTCTTTTCTCTTACTCTTCATTTGCCAAAAAACAAAGACACACATTTGTGTAGTGAGGACAATTTAAGAATATAGTATAAGATAATAGTATTTGTACTACCTAAAGTTGCAATATTTTTGTTAGGGTACATTATAATACAATAATAGGGCCCACTACAGAATTTATCCATGTTAACTGAAATTTAAGGACTGAATTAGAAATTCTTATTTAACTTACCACATTAAAATCTAAATTTTCTTCAACCCATGATTTTGCTTCTTCAAATTCATGTTTCATTTCCATAATAAAAAGTGTATCCAGGGCATCTACTATAGTTGCTCCTTTGATGTTACCTGAAAAGATCAGAAAAATATTTGATAAAATACTTTGCCTAGATAAAATATATGTAAATTGACCATAACTAAGAAAGGGAGAGGGTAATGCTGGATTTATTAATAAGCAATAATATTAAACATAGTCTAAAATTCTTTCAATGAAAGTATAAAACAGCACCAAACTAAAAATTATCACGGGCTATCGACTGATATACTAATCTTTAAAGTTTCTTCTGAGTTATAAAAATAAATGTCTCAGAAACTTCTCTTAGAAATTTCATTAGTGATTGCATTCTCTCTCTTTTTTTTTTTTTGAGATGGAGTCTCATTCTGTTGCCCAGGCTGGAGTGCAGTGGCGCGATCTCAGCAAATTGCAACCTCCACCTCCCGGGTTCAAGTGATTCTCCTACCTTAGCCTCCTGAGTAGCTGGGACTATAGGCGCATGCCACCACGCCTGGCTAATTTTTGTGTTTTTAGTAGAGACGGGGTTTCACCATGTTGGCCAGAATGGTCTCAATCTCTCGACCTCATAATCCACCCACCTAGGCCTCCCAAAGTGCTGAGATTACAGGTGTGAGCCACCATACCCGGCCTGTGATTGCATTCTCTAGCAAGAAAAGAATAGGCCTAAAACCAAGGAGCAACAGACTTTTTAAGACTGATGTAATTACATCAAAGTGCACCTGTGCAAAACTTTAAATATAATTAGATCTAAAATTGTTTAGTGATAGTTCTAAGAAGACATTACTCTAAAATGAAATTTCACCCCCGTATGAATTCTGACTGATGCTAACTACCCTCCATCCCCTACAAGTCCTGACCTCTGTGGTTTATTTCCTCTGAATTCCAATGACATGGAGACTTCCTGTTGCCCTGGCATTCAACACCTTCTATCTTGTATTAAAATTACACGTGTGCATCTTTTAGTCTATAAACTTTTTTTTTCTTTTGAGACAGGGTCTTGCTCTGTCCCCCAGGGTGGAGTACAGTGGTGCAATCATAGCTCACTGCAGCCCCAAACTCCTAGGCACAAGTGATTCTCCTGCCTCAGCTTCCTGTGTAGCTGGGATTATACGTGTGTGCCACCATGCCTGGCTAATTTTAAAATTTTTTTTGTACAGATGAGTCTTGCTATGTGGCTCAGGCTGGTCTCAAACTCCTGGCCTCAAGCAATCCTCCCACTTTGGCCTTCCAGAGTACTAGAATTAGAGTCATGAGGCATGCACTTAGCCTATAAACTTAGAACAAACAAGTCATGTCTTATCTCCAGATTCCTTATGGTGTCCTGTGGAATTGTGACAATGATGCCCAATTGTAATTGAGTAGTTTAGCTTCAAAACGCAGTTTAAAATGTTTTTCTTTGTCCTTTCTTCCAGTCTCAAGATGTAACCTTGAAACAAACTGTAGAAACCTTTTTCCTTAGTCTTAAAATATCCCCTTGAAACATGCTTTGAAACTTCACTCCCCTTTCCCACTATGCACTCCTTCACCCCATGAACATTTACGTAACTGTATACTTGGATCTAATATGTGCTTACTAAGAAGTTCCAGGGGCTAATCTTGTGACAGATCAAGCATGGAGACCCAGCTGCAAAACTTCAGAGACTACCTCAAGGCAGTTAGTCAGCAACCCAGCTATTGTTGATATGTCAGCCGCACTCCAGGTAGACTACAGCTAGATACAGCCACCAGAACAAGACATGCAGATCTTATACTCAGGCACCCTTCCCATATGCCTCCCAGTCCAAGTCCCATTTTTAAGACCCTCTTCCCAGCCTCAAGTCTGAAGCAGTTTCTAGAGGAGTAAGCCTGCCACTCCTAGCTTTGGAAATAAAAGTCATTTTCCTTTCACTGAACTTCATCCTTGTTATTGGCTGTGCAAGTGGCAGGCAGCCGATCCTGCACTCAGGAGCACAATGAATTGCTGCTGAAAGACTGGGCACTACACTTCCTATATGTAATTAGCACTCTGGACGATCCAAGACCAAATCTATAAATATAAGTGAAAATTATTTCACTGGCACATGCCTTTCAAATGCCAAGTTAAGAAGTTATCATTAGGAAACTATAAATAATAGAATATTAAAACACTTGATTTTCAAAAAAGATAAAAGTTGTAAATCTTATCTAATAATAATGAGAAAGAAACCTGAAGACCCTTGCATTTTGTGAAATGTTTTACTGTAATCCAATTTCCTTTAAATTTTTTGAAGCTAGAACTATGGATTCAGAGAGACACTGGAGGGAATATTTTAAAGTGGGCATTTTGAAATATATCAGCTTCATATTTTCATTGACATTTCATTTCTAAGTTATTAAGAGCCTTAAGTTAATATTTGTATTTCTTGTATTTTAGCTTTAAATGAGTATAATTGGTCAAGCACAAAATACCTCTCTTTGAGGTACAGTTTAACTTGAAATCTTTTGTACCACTGAAATCTTGAAATAAATAGTTCTAGTTTCCTGCTTAAGATGGAATTGGGAGATCATGAATACTTAAGATTTTTTTTATATTCATTAAAGTTGTTTAGGAAGGAACCAGTCTTACTCTGTCTAGGAAAAAGATGGATGCTTCAACATAGCTGGTGAGAAACAACCATGAGAAGGAAGCAGACCTGAAGAGCTCCCCAACGGCTAATAACTGGGAAAAGATTCATAATGCCTAATACTTTCTCCAAAAAGGTTGTTTTTAGGGTCAAGACTCAAAATAACTTAGCTCAAACTAAAAACTATTTCCTAAGAAGCCAGGTGGTAAAGAACTTACATTTTCCTATCCTCTCCCTGGTTTGCTGAGCGAATATACGGGACTACATATTACACAGATAAGAAATTTGGCTGAGAAGTGGGCTAAAGAAATCATTTCTCATCCATAAAAATGAAAACTTTGTATGTCTTTGTAACAAGTTCCATTGTATTGGTATTTCTATAATAAGAAAATCATTATGTATCTTATTTTAATTTGAAGATGGAATGAGATTAAATACCATTTGAATTATTAATATTTCATTTCCTTATGCTAATACCTGAAGCTCTTTTTCTAAGAGCAAGTTCTTGATTATGAAAAGTGTTTTTTACCGAAAAAGCCAATGAAAACCAAAAAGCAAACGTCAGGCCTAAGAGACCTAGTATATTTTTAATGTTCAATAACAAATTTTAAAATCATAAATGTTTTAACAGAGAACCAAATAGTCCCTCTGATAAAGATTATGGCAATTTAACACATTAACTGATTTCTTAATGGTACCAAAGACTTTTATAGAGATAAAAGCAAAATGGAGTTATAATTTTTTCAAAAAATGTTGTAATAAACAATGAAAAAATAAAGGCCTCTGGCTCTGCATGAGGTTTCAGAGTTTCTCTCTTCAATTCATACCTCCCCTTACCCATGTTAACTGGTAGCTGGGTCCTAAAAACACTACTTTAGAAGTGTCTGGAATTACTTCTACTGCCTCTACTTCAGGTATAGGTGCTCTTCATCTCAAAACTGTGTCACTCTGATAGACCAACAGTCTCTTTTCTTCTACTTTTCCCAGCTCTTTCTACCTGTTCTTGCAAACCCTGCAATGCCTTTCTCCCAACCTGAGGTCCTACTGGTTCCTCAGAATTTCATGGAAGTATATATTGAACCACCTGGCGCATTGATAAATCACTATTTACATATTATATGCTGTGTACTAGGCAAAGACTTGTGTAAAGACCTGTGCAAAGACTCGTATTATTTTCATTATCACCAGTGCTACAAGTAAAGCCAAACACATGGAAGGTTCTAAATAAATGGAAAAGCAAAATGTCAGAATTAAGAGCATGGACTCTAATGTTAGCCACACCAGGGTTCAAGTCCCAGCTCTGCCAGTTAGTAGGTGGCTATCTCTGGGAAAACTATTCTCTGGGCCTCATTTTTCTCACCTATAAAATGTATATTTTAATGAGGCTAAATAAGATAATGCATGAATGGCACTTGGCACACAGTAAGTGCTCAATAAATGTGTGCTGAAACTGTTATTATGTGAATTGCTATTATTTAACATTTTCAGTTAAAGTATAGAAAGTGTTCTATTGTTGAATTCAGAAGTTCCAGAGTAACACTGTATTCCCTTCATCCTGTTACTTACAGACAAATTTTGAGGATTAGAAAGAAATCAAGTGCAGTAGGAGGATACTGGGCAGCTCTGTGACCCAAAGAATCCATGACACCCTTGTGTTACTTAGCTTCCTTACTTCCACAATGGAATGTTATTAATACCCACACTACCAGTCACAGAGGGCTGCTGTGGGAACCAAATGCAATAAAGCTTGCAAAAGTGGATAAATGGAAGTTCAATTAACCTAATCCATCCTCACTTTCTCTTCCATGGTACAAACAGGAGAAACCTATAGCCAAAATTGAGATACAGTGAAGATCACCATGGCTGGCTGCCTTGCCCAGATTATCTATAAAGGCACAGCTTTTACCTAACAGGAAGCAGTTAGTGCAGCCCACCAAGTGCTTCTATGCTAGGAATCACCCCAGAGGCTAAAATTTATGATACTGCACCCTATAACCATTAAGTGAGAATCTTTAGAAGTATGCCCCAGGCGTCAGTACTCTTTAAAGTTACGCAGGTTATTCCAGCAGGTTATTCGAACACATAGCCACTACTCTAGCTGAAGGACACACTATGCACAATCCTTATCTAATTCCATCAGGTGTGCAAGTTTCCTAACCAAATGGCCTGGAGGGCCATGTTACACAGACTTCTCCACCATCCATAAGCTCAAGCAATTGGGGAGAAGTTATCGTCACTAAGAAACCAAAGCACATCTACTCACCAAACAAACTGCTTGAATGGCCTCCTTTTGATATAGGTTTGAGTTCATTTAATCCCCAGGCATAACCTTTATAATTATTCCAAGCATGTTTCATCATCTGAAAAAAAAAATAAAAACAGGATTATAATTTGAATGGAGATGTTTTTGCTACAAAATAGGTAATATATTGAAGAGCAAAGGCTAAAACATTAAAATTCATTAGTTAAAAGGATGACTAAGTAAAAGAATTATGATTATATAAACCAGAACACACATGCTCATACAAACATGCTGGTACACATACACACTACCCTTTTATGTTTACAAATGGGAAGTTTTCGTTTTTGAGTCCATTTAATCCTATTTAATGCAAATACCATTTTCAAAAGTCAGTTCCCAACAACAGGAATTTAGCTTATCTTAAAAGCATGAACCATGTCTACATTTATCTAGTTCATTTTCATAACAGATTAAATCTGCAAAGACTATCTTTAAAATTTATATTTCTGCACAAAGTTCTTCTTACTTTGTTGGCCTCACAGCATACAGACAAATATTCAGGTTATCCCTTTAAACCACTTTGATGTTTCCTGACGAAGACTATATGGAGAAGTATTTTAAAATATTTACAGGAAATAAAAAATAACACTGTGATTATGCCTAGATTTTGGAAAAACTTGTTTATTTTAATGTAATCAATCTTTAATTGGATACATGTGTGTATATGTATGTAACTGAAGATTGATCCAGTATATTCCTAATTCAGAGTCTACACACCAATAATGGTTTTAAAAGCCAAATCCCTCTGCCATAAATTAGTTGTATAAACTTTTTTCAATGACTCAAAGAACACATATAATTATTTTTGTATGCATATTTTTTAAAAGGATTGGGACTCTTCAACTGTCTAGAACTCAGTAATCAAAATATGGACATAATTGAAAAAGGTTCCAATCAGGCTCCATATTTTAGAGTATCTTAAAGCATCACACAAAGTTATAGATATTATTTACGGGCCATTTACCACTCAAAATCTTCATTGAGATCAGTATCATTTTATTAATAACAAAGTTTTCATATGTTCCTGAACACAACAATCAGCATCTTTAACCAACTTGTAAATTACCTTCCTAACTCACCACTATTACTACCAACAGTTACCAAGAATCAGTACTATCTGCTAAGTACTCTGCTAAATGCTATAACTTTAGTATTGTAACCAATTCTTGCTACAACCCTATGAAATATGTTTTATTACCATTGTTAGGGAGATGAAGAAACTGAGGTTTGGAAGTTAAAAAACAACTTTACTCAGTCACCACATTTTTCCACAGACAAGGTGCCAGGGTTCATCTCCAAGCTAGCCTGACTCCAAAGCCCATGGCATTAACCAACACATTGCATCACCTTCCTTTAATGAGTCAGCAAAAAAAATCTTCCTTTACTGAATCAGATTGTTGATCTTTCAACAATCAAAAGAATGTGTATATGGTAGTGTTTTCAGGATTTTTTTCTTATACATTAATTTTGTTGAGAAGTAAAACAGATTTGAGGGTCACATGACTTGATTTATAATCCCTACAACGCCACTGATGAGTCACATACTTAAGGATGAGTCACAGTTTTTGTGACTCTTATCTGAAAATTTGGGATAATTCCTTACAGGATGCATGTAAGGAATACATGATCGTGGTATATGTTTTTGCACCTTGCATACTGCTTGACAGATGGCAGGTAATCACGTTTATTAAATTTTAAATCTATATTAAAACTAATTAAATTCACATCACAGAAAAATAGAAACCAATGAGCCTCTGAAAGACTAGGTATATAAAAAATCTACAGAACACCTAGAGATTATATTTGATTTTATTTGGTTTTTCCATTAAATGTACTACATTTAGTAAATTCTTCATTCCTGTAAATTTCCAAAGATACTTTATAAATTCAAAAGCTTTTGGAATATACTGAACATCAAAACAGAAAAAAAAGTTACGATAATTTGTTTCAGCTTTGTCAAAAATGATCACTTATACAATGTACCACTAGTAAAGGATCTCCTAAAGTAACCTCTGTAGTATATATTAACTTTTCCTATCTTCTTCCCTCAAGGGAAAAGCTGACACTAATTGGTTAGTTTCCTACATTTCAAAAGTTGCTGACATATTTCTCAAAATGGGTTCCTGATCCCATGGGATTTCTATGAGTTAAAGTTAGAAAAGACGAAAATGATGTGGTCAAAATGCCCTGAACAAAGCACTGGGAGGGGTTTATCCAGCAATTATAAAGAGGAACAGTCATATTGTTAACCAATTCCACCAGCTGATCACTTCTGGAAATGATTTACCACATTAAAGCTAACTGTAAGACATTGTGTGAGTGTGTGTGTACACATGCATAGAATAACTATAAGCTTCAATTTAAAAGTCACATATAAAATCAACTTGTTAACTCAGATTTACGACTTACACAAATATTTGAAACATCAAAAGGCTACCAGCTTTTAATTTTGTAGTATTAAGCCATTACCCAGCTGAGTGGCGATGAGGATAAAGTCATTTAATTTCTCTAGACCCAGTTCTCATGAGCTGGCAGGACAAGGAAGTCACTTCTAAAAGTTAACTACTAACAAGGACAGAATTGATCACCTCTCTTCACAGGCTCCTTAGGTTTCTTTTGTAGTCTTTCATTAACTTAATTAGGGTTCTAAAGCCTGACATTCCACGTAGAAGTAAAATGGGCCCAAATTTCAAATGCAGTAGTGAAACCCTCACAAAAAAAGATAAACTGAAAGCAAGCCAAAGATGTTTTCTTCCTGAATACGTATATTTGCTCCTGGTGAAAGGTAGAGCTGACACGCTGTGTGAAAGGAAACAAAGGACCAAAATTTCATAATTGCAACCCATTATTTTAACCCAGAAAATATTAAATTGGGTATAAGGCATTAAAGAAATAGTATTACTTCCCCTTGACTCCATGCTTATAAGAAAAGATTCTTTGATTTGTACTTTCTTCTTAATTGGCATCAGGGCTCATTAATTAGGCCAGGTCATTTATTGAGTATCTGCTACACTATGAAAAGATTCTAAAGGACTAAAAGGGAAGTATACAGGATGCTGTCTCATTTACTATCTCATTGATAATGTATGGAAACATAAGATACTGCCTGTTTACATACTCAGTAAATGTTTGTGAATATAGAAGAGTAAGAAAACTAATTAAATGTTGTATACAACTCTATTGTTGTTTCTAACAAATTAAGTTTAATGTCCTGATCTAATCAAGCACGCTGAAGAAAGAAATACGTTGGAATTTCCCTAGTATGCATAGACTTCATATCTTGCATATTTATTGCTAGAACTACTCTTAGCAAATACTTCCATTTGCTGAAGTTTTAAACACATAATCTTTAAATTTTTATATTAGACACATCAAAAGTCTTTGAAAATTACATGATTTTTCCAGACAGATCTCAGGAAAACTTTGGGCTTTCATTGCCCTATTTCACTGAAGCCTACAAGTTCAAGTCCCACTTATGGCCTCCTTCTATGGGTTCTTACATAAAATTTCCGTAGTTTGTAGGATGTGATGCTGGCCCAGCTGAATGAACCAGGGCCTGGTGCCCAACTCAAAGGCAGATTGCTGAGAGCTAGCCATGAGCCTCCAACGTGGGGCGCCCTGGTGTGTAGTTCTCACTAATGGATGGGATGAGTCAACCCAACCATCCACTCTACCTAGGGAAGTGTAACTGGGAAACATTCAGAGAGAACCTAGAGGCCAGAGAGTGACACAGAAACAGAGAAGTACAAATACACAGGAGAAAGGGCTGTGAAGCAGTAAAAGCCATGAGAAAGAAGACAAGAAAGGCAAGGAGAAAAAAGTTAAGAGGAGGCTGAGGTACAGATGATTTTGCCACTTGGATGGTTCCCCAGTGGAACTGTGTTAGGCCTGTACAGCAGCTATAGAACTATCAACAATGCTGTGGAGTCCTGAATGTTGGTGAATCATCTTCCCTTTTCCTCTTTGCCTGCTGAGACTGTTTGTTTACTTCCCTATGTGTACTTGTAGAAAAGCTTCTCATTTACTGAGGAGTAAGGCGTAAAAGCGGGTCACGGGCGAACGCATATGAGAAACTGGGTCCATATCTGAGCTCTGCCATCGTCAGTGTGACTCTAAGCAAGGCAATTAATCTCTCTGAGCCCACTTTCTGCACACACAAAATGTGAATAAAAACACCTCACTGGTTGTGGTGATGATTAAATAAAACAAGGCATGTAAAGAGTTTAACATGTTGCCCGACACACATTAAGTGCTCAATGCATTTTAGGCATTATAATTACTTTTATTAAAAACCTAAGAATGTCTGTGATCTTTGCAATCTAAAAGAGCTTCATAATTTTTCCTAGTATAACACATAAATAGGAGGGACAAATATATGTGAAACCAGGCAAACTTACATTGTACACAAGCTCTTTATCAATATATACATTTAAAAATATACACAACTATTTGGTATCCAAAAGATGGAGGAAGAAAGGAAGAGTAGAAAGGTCCTCTCCAGGTGTAAGGCAATGTGGGGTAATCTTTAGCTATGCAGGTTCATACACTAGCTTTCATAAAATCTTAGTTGTGCCAAGGTACTGCTGTGTAGTGGGGGTTTGTTCGAGGGATTTGAGGTTGATCTGGGAAAAAGACAGGACCACAGAGGCAGTTAACACACAACAAGCTTTAATGAGTGGTGCTTTGTACAGGGTTGCATGGGAGGGCATCCAGAGGCTTAGGGTGAGGAGGTCACCATGCAGAAGGGGAGGAGGACAAAGGAACTCCCAAGGGAGAGGTGCATCGGAATGAGGGCTTAGGACTAAGTGATGTCACTTTGCAGCATGATGGAGTAACTCTATTATCAGAAGACCTTGAAGGGCAGTAGCAGCTCGGTGTCTTAAAACCACAAAGCTCTATCTTATCAATGGCCAACAGATGCTAGGTAAGGTTTCACAGAACGTGTAAGGCAGGCTCTAAATGCTAAAAATCTGCTTGTTCGGGCTATTTTTAAAATAATTAGATGTATTAAAAATTAGTTTGGTGTTGGCGGGCTCTTGAATTAACGGGTCTCAGCCTGCAGTGAGGAAATAACCTAGAGACCAACAGACAGAGGCCATGTTTGGCTCACTTATATAACAGTCCGCTGTTTGTCATGAAAGGGAAGAAGTTCTGTGGTCCAGTGATACTCATGTCCCTGCTGTTCTTGGGGACACAAGGGGCTGTGTCTGATTCAGGCAAGGTCTGAGGTGGAAGAGCAATCTAACTCACTGATTGTTAAACCTGAAAGTGATGTGCCATTTCTCTTAAAACTACACTTAGGGTTGATGCTTTGAAAAACAGTGATTTTAAAAGCCTGACAGCAATTTCCATCAAACTTTGCTTAAAATTACTTGGCTGTCATATAAAAGTAACTTCTAGAGCTTTCAGATAAAATATTTTTAGGGTCATTGAATTAACCTTATTTCTTTCAATCTTTGGTGGAACTGGAAAACAGAACGGAGAGACACAGATAAAAAGCAACTTGGGGGAAATTAATTCACAATTTCTCCAAACCTTCACTTATCCATTGGAAGAGAATTTCTCCATGGATCAAGAAAAGACGGCAATCTAACCACCCCTTCCACCGCTTATCTAATGCTATCCCCACCACCTACATTTCCTTATGGGAATGAAGATCTGGAGGGCCAGAAGGACAACTGGGCAGCAAGAGACCTGATACTAAGGCCGGTCTATCACAGCCACATGGCAGAGCAGGTCACAGTGGATAAGCCTGAGGCCAGCTGCCTCAGGGTCTGCCCTTCTACCCCTTAGTTCTCTCATCTTTCAAAAAGAATAACCCATTTTAACAAATGCACCACTGTGGGTTGAGGTGCTGAGACTGCGAGGTTGTGCCTGTGTGGGGACAGGGTGTATATGGGAACTCTCTATACTTTCTGTTCAATTTTGCTACAAGCCTAAAACTGCTCAGAAAATACAGCTTACTAAAAAAGTAAGTATTATCTCCCTTACAGCACAGTGAGGAGATCAGGTGTGACAGGGCACCTGACTAGAAGACACTCAATGAGCCTGGCTGACCTTTATCCACTCACGCCACCTCCTCAGAGTCCTCCTAGGCTTCAGGAGGTTAAACAGATAAGGGAGAACTTAGGAAGGAAGTTCTCCTTCCTTTGATGCTTTGACCTTTAGCTGAACTCAGAGTGGGCAGAGCAATTACGGGAAAGGAAAGAAAAGAGGCTAATGTCACCAAGAGGTGACAGTGCAGAGCCTGATGTGACTCCGCCTTCACAAAGACTGCCTG